>NC_000016.10:72441288-72744318 GCF_000001405.40 Homo sapiens | reverse complement strand
CTCTGTTTCTTATCACAGAGCCACACTATCGTCTGGTGTCAGCCAAGGAGGGATGACAAAAGCCTCCCCAAGAGCCTAGCTCTGCAATTACTGAGCAATCAAGCGCCTCTTTTAATAGAGCACATCCAGGTATACAAGGCTCCTCTCCCAGCACTGTCTAACCTTCTTCCTTTTTGAACTTATACATAGCAGGATGCACTTACCAAATATAGATATATTCCTCTCTTGGATGGCTTGTTTATTTAGGATTTCAATGATATTCTTTGGTTTAAATAACAGAGCTCACTATCATCCTCTTTGTTTTTAAATCTCTAATTTTTTAGCAATTATTTTCTTCTGATGATACAAAGTGATCATCCTTTTATCCATTAATCCATTTTTATGGTTTGTCATAATTAATGAAGTGAAGGAGTGGATAAATGAAAATCACAGTCTCTAAATTTTCTTAGTCCTGAATTTTCCCTAATTTTTCTAACCAAATTGCTAGAGCTATCAACAACAAAAATTTTTTTAACCTCAACAACTAGCATTTATTCTTTGTCAGTGATGATATAAATGAGAAGCTAAATGAATTGAATGCATTTAAGAGGAGAAACAAAAAAGCCTCTTTAATTATTTTTATTTTATTTGGGGGTTGGTTCGACTATTCCAAGGTTTGCTTCTGATGCTCAGATGTTCTAAACTCACTCAGAAATCTGAAGTGAAACAAACACGAAAAAATGCTCAACACCACTAAGCAGAGAAATGCAAATCAAAACCACAATGAGATAGCATCTCAGGCCAGTCAGAATGGCTATTACTAAAAAGTAAAAAACAACAGACGCCAGTGAGGTTGTGGAGAAAACAGAATCCTTATACATAGTTGCTGGGAATATAAATTAGTTCAGCCACTGTGGAAAGCAGTTTGAAGATTTCTCAGAGAACTTAAAATAGACCTACTATTTGACCTAGCAATCCCATTACTGAGTGTATACCCAAAGAAAAATAAATCGTTCAACAAAAAAGATACATGCACTTGTATGTTCATCTCAGCACAACAGCAAAGACATAGAATCAAGCTAGGTGCTCATCAACAGTGGACTGGATAAAGAAAATGTGGTACATATACACCACGAAATACTATGCAGCCATAAAAAAGAACAAAATAATGTCCTATGCAGTAACACGGATGCAGCTGGAGGCCATTATCCTAAGCAAATTAATGCATGAACAGAAACGAAATACCACATGTTCTAACTTATAAGTGGGGGCTAAACAATGGGTACATACGGACATAAAGATGGCAACAACAGACACTGGAGACTCCAAAAGATGGGAGGTGAGGGTGGAATGCTGAAAAACTACCTATTGGGTAGTATACTCACTACCTGGGTGACAATATCAGTGGTACCCAAACCTCAGCATCATACAATATACTCATGTAATAAACCTGCAAATGTACCCCCTGAATCTAAAATAAAAGTTGAAATTAAAAAATAAATAAATTGGGGATGAAATAAGATATAGACTGAGGCATTCAAATTAGCCTGAATCTATTATTGTAGATAGGCTTCTTGCAGTAACAGCTAAGCTTTGCCCCGTGTAGTATCTCTAATGTTACAAAATATACCACTGTCTTTGATTTTGCTCAAGTTATAGAACTCTCACCTGAGAATGTCAGTGTCAGAGGAAAAAACAAAAAAAGGTTATAGAGCTTTGCTAACATACCCTTATTGCCAAGGAAGAAGGAATGTTCAGGTGTTTAAAAAAAGTATGATTATAGTTGGGGTAGGGGAAGATAAAAACAGTGAGATACTATAAATGTATATGACACAATCCCTGCTCTGAGTAAACTTACAATCTAATTGGAGATACAAGCCTTTAATTTATGTACCAGGTTCAGTAATATGAATTAAGTAGCAAAAAGTATGCAACAGCATAAGTGTTGAGTAGCAGGGGATCGATCAAGTCCAGAGTTAGTAAGATTTAGTAGAAG
Source organism: Homo sapiens (assembly GCF_000001405.40). Taxonomy (NCBI): domain Eukaryota; kingdom Metazoa; phylum Chordata; class Mammalia; order Primates; family Hominidae; genus Homo; species Homo sapiens. The sequence continues at coordinate 72,742,343 of NC_000016.10, read as the reverse complement.
TAAGATTTGAGATTAATTTTGAAGAAAAAAAGCATAATAGACAACAAAAATAGTAGAAGCTAAAATGTAGTAGAAAACTGGTGATGGTCTTCTCAGGGGATTGTGATGTCAGCATTACTGGAGCAAATCATTTTTGAGTTTCAAGAAAACTTCTAGAATCAGTTTAAGTGATGATGTTAGTTTCCTCCTCTAAGACCAATGCCCAAGGTGCATCCCTCTTCCCTTTACTAGGAAGGGTGGAAGCGGTGAGGGAAGGGAAGAGAGGGAAAGAGGGAGAGAGGAAGGGAAGGAAAGAAGAAAAGGAGGAGAGAGAGAGAGGGAAGGAAGAGAGAGGGAGACAGAACAATGACATTAAAAAATGACACAATAAAGAAATGAAAAGCAGAGGTTGCCTTTTTGCAGATGGAGAACAAAGTGGGTTTTCACAGGCAGAATGTGGACACATTCTGTGCTATATAATCCCCATATGCCAGGAATGTCATTAATTAGATAGAAAGGAATGACTGGAGACTGGCCAAATGTAGCTCAGGAGATCAAGGGCTATATACTCAGGCATTTTCACCTATGCTATGGAATCTTTGGTATAGCTACACAGTATGTATAGGCTTTGTCAGAAGATTGACAGGAGCCTGAATTAATACTAGGATTTTAATAAATCATTGATTCCTGGCATTTTTGTTACCAAAAGATGGTCTCATAAACATACAGTGTCTTTGAGCTGGACAATAGAGAAAAAGATATCTGGACAGTGGCATAAGCTGGGGGAGGGGGGATGCCAGCATAAAAGTTTATTAGAACTACTTGAAAAAGTCTGCAGAAAAGGTTTACTGGGAGGTGATTTGAAAGAATAAAGATCTTCATGATAATATAACAGTAAGGACAGGCATGGTAGCTCACACCTGTAATCCCAGCACTTTGGGAGGTGTAGGTGGAAGGATTACTTGAGCCCAGGAGTTTGAAACCAGCCTGGGCAACACAGTGAGATCCCGTCTCTGCAAAAAATACAAGAGTTAGCCAGTAATGATGGTGTGAGCCTGTAGTTCCATCTAGTCAGGATGCTGAGGTAGGAGGATGGTTTGAACCCAGGAGGTTGAGGCTGCAGTGAGCCAAGGTTGTACCACTGCATTCCAGCCTGTGTGAGAGCAAGACCCTGTCTTTAAAAGACAAAGAGTAAGTGCTCCATAAACATTATCTATGTGCCAAGTACTGTGCTAAACGCTTCATGTGCTTGATCTCATGTAATTCTATAAGGTAAATAGTAGTTACCTCCATATATTATAGAGGAGGAAACTGAGGCTCAGGAGAAATTAACTAAGCTGCCCATGATGGCCTGACTCTATTATAACAAAGGCAGTATCTGCTTCAACATATATAATCACTATAGTATCTATTTCTTCAGCGTTTTCCTCTCTTCTATTTCCTTTGATAAGGTTACATGCAAAGGCATTAAAAAATCTGCATTTCCTTTGTAAATTTTGTTAAGAAGGCAAACAAAAATTGAAGAACATATTTCTGAATAAAGAGGGGAAATGGAGACATGGTGCTCGTAGCAAAATACTTCTTAGGACACTAGGGGAAAGTAGTAAAACAGTCAAGATAATTCTCTTCTTTAACATGCTTCATCTAGCTATGTAGAGACTCATGCAAAAACAAAAATAAAAATGTACAAATAAAGAAAAGTTAGTGTATTTGATCTTCCCTCATTCACTTGCCATTCTGCAGGCATGAGATTACAAATTCCAATGAGCTTTGCTCACTTCATAACCTGGTCTTGTCATTCTGGAACATACCAAGCTTCTTCCTATCACAGCATCTTCACACTGCTTGTTCCCTCCACTTAGAATTTACGGCTGACTTCTCAAGAACCGTGTCTCAGTTAAGGTGTTAGTTCAGATTGACTTTTCCTGAACAACCTAGGTAAAATGTTTCTCCTCTTCCCTACTCAAAACCTACCCCCTTCCTCATACACTATCTAAATATCTTGATTTTTCCTCTTCACAGCATGTATCATTACCTGAAGTTATTTTTAATTTTTATTATTTTTTAATAGAAACAGGGTCTCACTGTATTTATTTACCAGGCTGGTCTCAAATTCCTGGCCTCAAGCCATCTTCCCATCTTGGCCTCATAAAGTGCTAGAATTATAGGTGTGAGCAACCATGCCTGGGCTATTTTTTATGTTTTATTTTATGTATAAAAATTTACTCATATGAATATAAAGTTTTATTCATTACTATATCTCTAGTACTTACAAAAGTAGTTGGCACATAGTAAGCACGTAGTAAGTATCTGTTGAATGAATGAATGACCACTATACTTGCCAAAAGGAATAGGGCAAACCTAAAACAGATACATTTGGTAATGCTTCATAATTTAGAAAGTGCTTACATATACTTCAATAGTCAATATCCCACTGGGGACTAATCTGCATATCAACTGGTTATATCAAAACACCTACAAATCAAAGAATTCTATTTGCTATTACAAGTCTTAGTCTTATTTGTATGAAGGCCCTCAGCTCAATTAAAATTCTTGGCATAGTTGTGTGCTTAGTTACTGTCTAAACTCCTTTCAAAGCACTGGTAAGAAGGACTTTCGATAGAATACAGAAGAGCAACAAAATATGTTGTATCAATGAGTTCTGAAGTTTTTATTGCCATTCACAACAGACAAAGTTCCTGCTTTCATCTGCCAAAAATGTCCTTATAAACACTAAGGTTTTTATTTCTGCTTTTCAGACTAGTACAAGTTATACTGCTCTGCACAGCTAGAAGAGAACACCATGGTTAACACATGAAAAATAGCTGGTCAAAGCACGTAACTTTTTTGTTCATAACCCAGAGTTACTTTGAAATTTTCTGGGTATTTGAAGAGAGAATGACATCTAGGGTTGAGAATTCAATCTCATGTTCATACATTTTCTTTGCTGACTTATCCAGGAACTAGGATAAATTCTTTATGGATTTTATCCCATTCCAGTTTCACTGGCCTGGTGTTATCCTGAAGAATTAGCACCTCCATCTCCCACTTGGGGCTTGACAAGAATCAACATATTTGGAATCGGTAGAAGATACAGGTAGCAAACTCTGAACTTTCAGAAGTAATGGCATTTCAAAAACACTGAATTATTGGTGTCCCCTCTACCAAATGATTTTTTGTTTTCATTTGCAGAATGAGGCTTAGGTAAAAAATACCATTAAGAAAATCTTATGTTGGGGCCTGCAGCGGTGGTTCACACCTGTAATCCTAGCACTATGGGAGGGTGAAGTGAGGGGATCACTTGAGGTCAGGAGTTCGAGACCAGCCTGGCCAACATGGTGAAACCCCATCTCTGCTAAAAATACAACTAGCCAGGCATGGTAGCACACGCTGTCATCCCAGTTACTTGGGAGGCTGAGGCAGGAAAATCACTTAACCCCGAAAGGTGGAGGTTTCAGTGAGCTGAGATCACACCACCGAACTCCAGCGTGGACCACAGAGAGAGACTCCATCTCGAAAAAAAAAAAAAAAGCTAAACAAAAATGTTTCCCTTAGTTTTAATTTTAAAATAAGTATTAAAAAAAGAAAATCCTACGTTGAACTTGACAAAGAGATCCCAGGTCCTTTCAGTATCTCCAGTGGGAATTATAATTATTTTTGCTGAACTGATGACTGAAGGTTTTTCCTAGAGTATTTTCTTCTCAACAAGAGGCAGAGACTACAGTTCTCATTGACCTCCATCCATCCAGTTATCTGCTCTTAACTCATCAAACAGTTCTGTCTCATTTCTAGGACATTACACATTGTTTCAGACCTCTTTTCACTATAAGAAATGAAAACAGATGCCTAATTCCTAGGACCTATATGGTGGAAGACAGTCCCGCTCCTGGTGTAGACTCCAGTCACAAGAGTCCTTCTTAACTGACTGAAAACAACTAATCATTCTCTTTTTGTGATTTTATTACTGTGCAAATGTATATCCCATTAGGTATTCATTAACTGATAATTTAAAAGATTTTTGTCTATAAATAGCATGTTTATCTTGGAAACACTGCTAGCAATTTCAGCTTAAAAATTTGCAATGTGGTTCATTTGCCAAAAAAGGGGGTATTTTAAGTAAAATGCAATGTTCAATGCATCACATACAATTATTTTACGAAAGGCTTTTGGTTTTTTTAGCGCCATGTCAGAGCAGTACAAAGTGATAGAAGAAAGCTGATTGGATGAGCACATAGGGCAGTACTTATTGAACTACACATGGGTAAACAATATGGTAAGGAGACCATTAATAAACTCAATAATGGTATCAAGAAATTGCAACAGAATACAGAAAATGGTAGTGCAAGCATGCATCTTTGAAAAGCTATGTAAACATTTGAGATTACCCAAATGAAGTCCCCTCCCTCACTTTGGTAGCATCTAAAGTTAACAAACCCTGGCTTTTGTCCTTCCCCTCCTGTTCTCCATTTTAACAAGCTAGTTTTAAAAAAATGGTTGAGTGTGGTGGCTCATGCCTATAATCTCAGCATTTGGGAGGCCAAGGTGGAGGACTGCTTGAGGTCAGGAGTTTGTGATCAGCCTGGGCAACACAGTGAGACTTTCATCTCTACAATCAATCGAAATATAGAACACAAAAGCAAATAGTAACACAAAGAAGGGAAATCAACAAGATGTGGGAGCATCCAAGAGGTACACATATCAGTAAATGCTAAGTAAAATGAATAAAAGACCAAATTTTGGTCTTTAAATATATTTCTATCTCCATTCTTTAAGTATGTATTCAAGAGATTATCATAATAAATTAGTAACTTATTTTTCAACTTTAATTTCATTAAAAAGGGAGGATGTATAATATTACTGATGGTTAGATAAGCACACTAACTTTTATACAACAAAGTGAATATTTTCCTTTATAGTAATAATTGGGAAATTATACATTTATTCCACCACTAAATGTACTATACATTTTTTTAAAGCAAATCTCCTTTGGAGTGCCTTCAGTATCAGTTTAAAAATCCATAGGAGAAAATTTGTCTCATTACTTTAAAAATCCATCTCTTTCTGTTTTCTTTTTATTTTTTGAGATAGGCTCTCACTTTGTCACTCAGGCCGAAATGCAGTGGCACAATCACAGCTCACTGCAGCCTCAACCTCCCTGGGCTCAGGTGATCCTCCCACCTCAGCCTCCAGAGTAGCTGAGACCACAGGCACATGACATCACAACTGGCTAACTTTTGTACAGAAAGAGTTTTGTACAGACAGAGTTCCACCATGTTGCCCAGGCTGGTCTTGAACTCCTGGGCTCATGTAATCCGCCCACCTCAGCCCCCCTCAAGTGCTGGAATTATAGGCATGAATCATCATGTCTGGCCTCTATTTAAAACAAAAACAAACACAAAAAAACCCCACCTTGGTCACTATACTTATTTCCAAATGACTTTTGATTGTTTCAAAAACAGAGATACCTTTGGTTCAAACACTTGAAAAATATGGCAGGGAGGGGCCAAGATGGCTGACTAGAAACAAGTACGGTCAGAGGCTCCCACTGAAAATGAAAACAAGTGAATCCTGCACGGGCAACTGAGGTATCCAAGTTCTCTCATTGGGACTGACTAGGCAGTTGGCATGACCCACGGAGAGCAAGGAAAAAAGCAGGGTGGAGTGACGGCCCACCTGGGAGCCACACATGGCAAGGAGAACTTCCACCCCCAGCCAAATGAGATGGTGAATGATTGTGCTATTTCGCCCGGGAAACCATGCTTTTCCCACAGATCTGTGCAACCTGTGGATCAGGAGATCCCCTCAGGAACCCATCCCACCAGGGCCTTGGGTCTGTGGAGATTCTCAGTGGTCGCTCAGCTGGAGACTGCCTAAGACTACTGAGTTCCTGGGGGGGAGGGGCAGCAGCCATGACTGCAGCTCCAATCTGCTGTTTTCCCCTGCCTGTGCCAGGGAGACTGGGTAGTTTGGACCCAGTAGGAATTCCCCACAGCACAGCACAGCAGCTGTAGAAGACTGTGGCCAGACTGCCTCTTTAGGCTGGACCCTGACCCATCCCTCCTTGCCAGGCATGGTCTCCCTGTGGGAATTCCAGCAACTCCAGCCAGGGAGTTAGGGACAGAACTCTGATCTCCCTGGGATGGAGCCCCTGGGAGGAAGGGCGGTCGTGATCTCCATGGATCAGTGGACTTAGTCTTTCCCCCTGCTGGCTCTGACAAATCCAGGCAGTCCAGACAAGTGGGATTCCCCCCAGTGCAGTGCAGCCCCTCCAGCAAGGGGCAGCCAGAGTGCTTTGTTAAGCAGGTCCCTGATCCTGTGCCTCCTGACTGGGTGAGAACTCCAAACACGGGTCACCAGACACTTTATACAGGAGCATTCCTGCTGGCATTAGGTCGGTGCCCCTCTGGGATGGGGTTCCCAGAGGAAGGTGCAGGCAGCTATCTTTGCTGTTCTGTAGCCTCCACCAGTGACACCTTCAGGTGCAGGAGAGACCCAGGTGAAAAGGGTCTGGAGTGGACCCTAGGCAAATGGCAGCAGCCCTAAGGAAGAGGGACCTGACTGTTGAAAGAAAAACAAACAAACAGAAAGCAACAACAACATCATCATCATCAAAAAAGTCCCCACAAAAACCCCATCCAAAGGTCAGTAGCCTCAAAGATTGAAGCTAGATAAATTCATGAAGATGAGAAAGAATCAGCGGAAAAACACTGAAAACTCAAAAAGCCAGAGTGCCTATTCTCCTCCAAATAATCACAACACCTCTCCAGTAAGGGCACAGAACTGGGCTGAAGCTGAGATGGATGAACTGACAGAAGTAGGCTTCAGAAGGTGGGTAATAGCGAACTTTGCTGAGCTAAAGGAGCATGTTCTAACCCAATGCAAAGAAGCTAAGAATTATAATAAAACATTACAGGAGTTGTTACCAAGAATAACCAGTTTACAGAGGAATATAAATGACACAATGGAGCTGAAAAACACAAGAGAACTTCACAATGCAACCACAAGTATCAATAGCTGAACAGACCAAGCAGAGGAAAGAATTTCAGAGCTTGAAGACTATCTTGCTGAAATAAGATGGGCAGACAAGATTAGAGTAAAAAGAATGAAAAGGAATGAACAAAACCTCCAATAACTACTGGATTATATACAAAGACTGAACCTATGACTGATTCAGGTTCTCCCCGATCCCTGAAAGAGATGGAGAGAATGGAACCAGAATATCATCCAGGAACACTTCCCCAAGCTAGCAAGACAGAATAACATTCAAATTCAGGAAATCCAGAAAACCCCAGTAAGATACTCCATGAGAAGATCAACCCCAAGACTCATAATCATCAGATTCTCTAAGGTCAAAATGAGGGAAAAAATGTTAAGGGCAGCCAGAGAGAAAGGCCAAGGGAAGCCCATGAGACTAACAGTGGACCTCTCAGCAGAAATGCTGTAAGCTAGAAGAGAGCGGGGGCCAATATTCAACATTCTTAAAGAAAAGAATTTCCAATCCAGAATTTCATGTCCAGCCAAACTAAGCTTCATAAGTGAAGGAGAAATAAAATTCTTTTCAGATAAGCAAATGCTGAGGGAATTCATCACCACCGGGCCTGCCTTGCAAGAGCTCCTGAAGGAAGCTCCTGCCTTGCAAGAGCTCCTGAAGGAAAGGAATTTAGGAATTCCTTTCCTAAATATGGAAAGGAAAAGCCATTACCAGACACTACAAAAAACACACTGAAGTACAAAGACCAATGACACTATGAAGCAACTACATTAACAAGTCTGCAAAATAACCAGCAAGCATCATGATGACAAGATCAAATTCACAATAACAATATTAAACTTAAATGCAAATGGGCTAAATGCTCCGATTAAAAGACCCAGAATGGCAAGCTGGATAGAGTCAAGACCCATTGGTGTGCTGTATTCAAGAGACCCATCTCACAAGCAAAGGTATGCATAGGCTCAAGGAAAATTTACTGAGCAAATGGAAAGCAGAAAAAAGCAGGGGTTGCAATCCTCGTTTCTGACCAAACACACTTTAAACCAACAAAGATTTTTTTTTAAAAGACAAATATTTTTTAAAAAGACAAAGAAGGGCATTACATAATGGTAAAGGGTTCAATTCAACAAGAAGACCTAACTACCCTAAATATATAATTACCCAATACAGGAGCACCCAGATTCATAAAAACAAGTTCTTAGAGACCTACAAAGAAACTTAGATTCCTACACAATAATAGTAGAAGACTTTAACACCCTGCTGTCAATATTAGACAGATGATCAAGACAACAAATTAACAAAGATATTCAGGACTTGAACTCAGCTCTGGATCAAGTGGACCTGATAGATATCTACAGAACTCTCCACCTAAAAACAACAGAATATACATTCTTCTTGCTGCCACATGGCACTTACTCTAAAATCAATCACATGATTGGAAGTAAAACACTCCTCAGCAAATGCAAAAGAACTGAAATCATAACAGTCTCTCAGACCACAGGGCAATCAAGTTGGAACTCAAGATTCAGCAACTCACTCAAAACCACACAACTACACAGAAATTGAATACCCTGTTCATGAATGACTCCTGGGTAAATAATGAAATTAAGGTAGAAATCAAGAAGTTCTTTGAAACCAATGAGAACACAGAGACAATGTACCAGAATCTCTGGGACGCAGCTAAAGCAGTGTTAAGAGAAAAATTTATAGGACTAAATCCCCATATCAAAAAGCTAGAAAGATCTCAAACTGACACCCTACCATTACAACTAAAAGAACTAGAGAACCAAAAGCAAACAAGCCCCAAAACTAGCAGAAGACAAGAAATAACCAAGATGAGAGCAGAAGCGAGCGAGACAGAGACACAAAAACCCTTCACAAAAACCCCCAACAAATCCAGGAGCTTTTTTTAAAAAAAACACCCTAATAAAATAGACTACTATGTAGACTAATAAAGAAGAAAAGAGAGGAGAATCAAATAGACACAATAAAAAATGATAAAGGGAATATCACTACTGACCCCACAGAAATACAAACAATGATCAGAGAATACTATAAACACCTCTATGAAAATAAACTGGAAAATCTAGAAGAAATGGATAAATTCTTGGACACATACACCCTTCCAAGACTGAACCAGGAAGAGGTTGAATACCTGAATAGACCACTAACAAGTTCTGAAATTGAGGCAGCAACAAATAGCCTACCAACTGAAAAAAGCCCAGGACCAGACAGATTTACAGCTGAATTCTACCAGAAGTATAAAGAGAAGCCAGTACCATTTCTTCTGAAACTATTACAGACAATTGAAAAGGAGGGAATTCTCCTTTTCACTGCCGGGAGCAAGGCTGGTTCCACATACACAAACCAATAAATATAATTTATCACAAAACCAGAACTAAAGACAAAAACCACATAATTATCTCAAAAGACATGGAAAAGGCCTTTGATACAATTCAACATCCCTTCATGTTAAAAACTGTCAATAAACTAGATATTGATGGAATATACCTCAAAATAATAAGGTATTATTATTTAATGACATACCCACAACCAATATCATACTGACTGGGCAAAAGCTGGAAGCATTCCCCTTGAAAACCAGCACAAGACAAGGATGGCCTCTCATCACTCCTATTCAACATAGTACTGGAAGTTCCAGCTAGGGCAATCAGGCAAGAGAAAGAAGTAAAGGGTATTCAAATAGGAAGAGAAGAAGTCAAACTGTCTCTGTTTGCAGATGACATGATCCTGTATCTAGAAAACCGCATTGTCTCAGCCCAAAAGCTTCTCAAGCTGACAAGCAACTTTAGGCAAAGTCTCTGCATATAAAATCCATGTGCAAAAATCACAAGCATTCCTATACACCAACAACAGACAAGCAGAGAGCCAAATCATGAATGAACTCCCACTCACAATTGCTACAAAGAGAATACAATACCTAGGAATACAACTAACAAGGAAAGTGAAGGATCTCTTCAAAGAGAACGACAAACCACTGCTCAAGGAAATCAGAGAGTACACAAACAAACGGAAAAACATTCCATACTCATGGATAGGAAGAAACAATATCATGAAAATGACCATACTGCCCAAAGTAATTTATAGAGTCAATGCTATTCCCATCAAACTACCATTGACATACATTCTTCACAGATTTAGAAAAAAAAAAAATCTCCTTTAAATTTCATATGGAACCAAAAAAGTGCCCATATAGCCAAGACAATCATAAGCAAAAAGAACAAAGCTGGAGGCATCACGCTACCTGACTTCAAACTATACTACAAGGCTACATTAACCAAAACAGCATGGTACTGGTACCGAAACAGACACACAGACCAACGGAACACAATAGACAACTCAGAAATAAGACCACACATCTATAACCATCTGATCTTTGACAAACCTGACAAAAACAAGCAATGGAGAAAAGGATTCCCTACTTAATAACTGGTGCTGGGAGAACTGGCTAGCCATATTAAAAAAACTGAAACTGGACCCCTTCCTTACACCTTGTACAAAAATTAAATCCAGATGGATTAAAGTCTTAAACATAAAACCCAAAACTATGAAAACCCTACAAGAAAATCTAGGCAATACCATTCAGGACATAAGCACAGGCAAAGAGTTTATGATGCAGTGGCCAAAAGCAATTGCAACAAAAGCAAAAATTGACAAATGGTATCTAATTAAACTAAAGAGCTTCTGCACAGCAAAAGAAATTATCATCAGAGTGAACAGGCAACCTACAGAGTGGGAGAAATTTTTTTGCAATCTATCCATCTGACAAAGGTCTAATATCCAAAATCTACAAGGAACTTAAATTTACAAGAAAAACACAACCCATCAAAAAGTGGGCAAAAGACATGAATAAACACTTCTCAAAAGAAGACATTTATGTGGTCAACAAACATGAAAAAACACTCAACATCACTGATCATTAGAGAAATGCAAATCAAAACCACAATGAGATATCATCTCACACCAGTCAGAATGGCAATTATTAAAAAGTCAAGAAACAACAAATGCTGGCATGGCTGTGGAGAGAGAACGCATTTACACTGTTGGTGGGAATGTAAATTAGTTCAACCATTGTGGAAGACAGTGTGGCAATTCCTTTCCTCAAAGACCTAGAATCAGAAAAGCCATTTGACCCAGCAATCCCATTACTGGATATATACACAAAGGAATAGAAATCATTCTATTATAAAGATATATGCATGAGTATGTTCACTGCAGCACTATTAATAATAGCAAAGACATGGAATCAACCCAAATGCCCAGCAATGATAGACTAGATAAAGAAAACATGGTACATATACACCATGGAATACTATGCAGCCATAAAAAGGAATGAGATCATGTCCTTTGCAGGGCTATGGACGGGGCTGGAAGCAGTTATCCTCAGCAAACTAATGTAGGAACAGGAAACCAAATACCGCATGTTCTCACTTGTAAGTGGGAGCTGAATAATGAGAATACATGAAAACAGGGAGGGGAACAACACACGCTGGGGCCTGTTGGCAGGGGTGGGGGATGTTTAGGGGAAGGAGTACATCAGGATAAATAGCTAATGCATGCTAGGCTTATTACCTAGGTGATAAGTTGATAGGTACCGCAAACCACCATGGCACATATTTACCTATGTAACAAACCTGTACATCCTGCACATGTATCCTGGAACTTAAAATAAAATAAAAAGTATGTGCATGTTATGGGGACCCTCCAGTGTTTCTTGCATCCACCCCCTCCTTTTCATTCCCATAGCTATTGCTCCAGTGCAATCTGGCATTTCCCCTTCCCAGGATCTCTCTTAACTAGCATCTCTCTCATGATCAACTGTACACAGTAGTGCCAGGATCATACTCTTAAAGTATAACGCCTATCTTTTCACCACCTTGCTCAAAAACCTTCAGTGGCTTCCAGTACAGTAGAGAAGATACTCCACTCTCTCATTTTCTAACACTTACATGGTGCTTGTTATGTGCCAGGCATTGTTTTAGATGTATTATTATATATTATTCCTCATAACAACCCTGTGATGTAGGTACAAATCTTATCCCCATTTTACAGAGAAGAAAACCAAGACACAGTTCAAGTCACTTGTCAAAGGACACGGTATGTTTCAGCACTGAGGTTAGTACCCCGGGACTCTAGCTCCAAAATTCTATCTCCGTTTCTTTTTCTGTCTCACCATTCTCTGACTGAACCAAATGCTTTTCTGCTTTGGGGTCTTTGCTTACAATTTTCTCTTTTCCTGCTATACGCTTCTCCCATATTTTCCTATCTATATCCATCGAGATCTGAAATGCCACCTCTTCCATGATGCTCACCCAGAGACCTTGTCGATTCCACTGTATACATTTATCTGCTATAACACTGTATTTTCTCTTTTTTTTTTTTTGTTTTGGACCGCTGAACTTTTCATTGGCCTCCTGCTCCCCAAAGGGTACCCTGCTTCTGCTGGCTTAAAGTTTCAGAACTTTGGGGTCATTGGTCTCAGACACCACTTTGCCATCCACTATCCGGCAGGTGGTGGTCTTTTGAATGGTTTGCATGGAGTTGCTGCTGTCCAGGGCATCACCAAGATTGAAGTCCTCGCCATCTTCCAGCAGGCAGCGGTAGGTGGCGATCTCATCCTCCAGGTTGACCTTGATGTTCTGCAGGGCCTCATACTCCTCGGCCTGGCGCTACCCCTCTGCCCGGGTCTGTGCCAGCTCTGACTCCAGGTAAAGCAGGATCCCGTTGAGCTGCTCCATCTGCAGGGTGTAGCGGGCCTCCACCTCCCTCAGGCTGTTCTCCAAGCTGGCCTTCAGATTTCTCATTGAGTCCAGGTCAGTCTCCAAGGACTGGACTGTATATCTCAGCTCCGTGAGTGTCGTCTCAGCAGCTCCAACCTTGACGGACTGCGTGGTGACCACCGTGGTGCTCTCCTCAATCTGCTGAGACCAGTACTTGTCCAGCTCCTCTCTGTTCTTCCGAGCCAGCTTGTCATATTGGGCCCAGATGTCTGCCATGATCTTGGCGAGGTCCTGAGATTTGGGGATCTACCTCCAAGGTCAACCCAGAGCTGGCAATCTGGGCTTGTAGGCCTTTTACTTCCTCTCCGTGGTTCTTCTTCATGAAGAGCAGCTCTTCCTTGCGAGCCTTGATCTCTGTCTCCAGCTGCAGCCAAGTGACACTGGTGTCATCAATGACCTTGCAGAGCCCATGGATGTCATTCTCCACAGACTAGTGCACGGCCAGCTCCGTCTCATACTTGACTCTAAAATCATCAGCTGCAAGACGGGCACTGTCAATCTGCAGAACGATGCAGGCATTGTCCACAGTATTTGCGAAGATCTGAGCCCTCAGGTCCTTGATGGTCTGGAAGTAACGGCTCCAGTCTCTGAACTGGGGTCCCTTCTTCTCCAGGTGCTCCCGGATTTTGCTCTCTAGCTTCCAGTTCTCCATCTCCAGGTTCCTCACTGTGTTCAGGTAGGAGGTCAGGCAGTACTTCAGGCTTTGCATGGTCTCCTTCTTGTTCTGGATGCCTCCCATTCTTGCAAGACCCCCAGCCATCCCCGCGGACAGGCCCCCAGACCCCATGCCGCCCCAGAAGCTGGCGGAGTGGGACATGGAGATCCAGGAACCAGAGCCCCTGGTGCCTGCATAGACGCTGGCCATGCTGCTGACTGGCCGGGCACTGTAGCTGGGCGCCTGGACAAAGCCCAGGGACCGGTAGTTGGTGGAGAAGGTGGAGCGAGTGGTGAAGTTCATGCTGTCCACAGAGGAGAGTGAGAGGACAGGACTCAGGCTTTGCCGACGACCTGTATTTTCTAGTATGTTAATTTGAATGTATATTTCTAAGTTATAACTCTTGGAAGAGAACCATTTCTTATTATTCTATTTTTATCTTATTATTTCTCACTGTCCACCTTCAGTACTTATTAACTGTTCCTGACACAAGGGAGACTGCTGTGCAATAGCTCCAACTGCAGTAAATAAGCTAATGGGTGAAATCATGATACTTAAAAAGCACAGGCCAAGTGTAGTTGCTTATCCCTGTAATCCAAACACTTTGGGAGGCCAAGGCGGGAGGATTGCTTGAGGCCAGGAGTTCAAGACCAGCATGGGCAACATAGTGAGAACCCCCATCTCTACAAAAAAAATTGAAATATATATATTATAGACACTAAATAAATATTAATTGACCTGCAAAGATAAGTATATTCAAAAGACTCTAACACAAGCTCTGAGGGCAATTCCAGAACTGTTTTGGACACTGATATAATAAATACATAGGATTCCAAAAGAATCACTTTGAAAATGACCAAAGATTTTCATGGCTTCAACTATTATTGAGTACCTACTACATGCCAAACATAAAAATATGAAAAGACAAAAATAAAAGTCCTGAAGTGTTTAATTAAAATAAAATCACTCTAGCTCCCTCATATTTTTAAGGAGGTCTAAATGATAAAGTATCATTGGGAACTCTGCTGTGGTATAAAAGCCTCTAAAAAACATGCCAACTGGGCACAGATGGGAATAATCATCACTTCAGTGGGAATAATCATCACTAGGAACCCAAAAAAAATTCCCAAAAACAATGGGATATAATGCATATACCCACCACACCCGCTCCACACCCTGCCAGGAATTTGCAGGAAGCCTCATGTTTTGTATATTTTACATATAACAACTACTATGTATGAAATTTGTGGGAATTTGAGATTCCTGGGTAAAAGATGCCATACTTGTTCAAAGTATAAAAAAAAAGATAGCTTCATCTGCCATTAAAAACACAGCTTTAAAAGAAAATTAAACAAAAAGAGGGGAAGAAGGAAATTCGGCTTTAATATATCTATTAAGGGGTATGTTTAAAGCTGAGCTATTTCCTAGATCTCTATATAATATCCTTAGCAGAGAGTCTAGGTTTTTAAGAACTGTAGATTTTTCTTCATTTCCACAGATGTCTGCTTCTATTTTGAGATGTCTGATTCTTCTGATGAAATAAACCCAATCAAAATGTTCATTTTCCTTCAGTTTTTGTTTATTTAATTAACATGATTTTCTACATGATTATAAAGGCCATAATTATATTATCAAATCCCTGTCAAAGTAATAACTTAATGTAAAACGTTAACACTTAGCAGTGTTTAAAACGATATTAAAAAAAAAAAACCCTGTGTATGAATAGGGTGAATTTATTCAGACTATTTCCTCTGGAATGCAAATGAAAATTTTGGCTATGCTTATTTTTTTATTATATATTATTGCAAGGAGAAACAGTTTTTAGCCTTTATGAATAATAAATGTCTATCCCAAACCAAGACCTTTTTCTGATTGGTTTATAACGGACACCAGCTATTATGAATAATAATATGACAAAAGAACACAGGACAAGCAAGGTACACATTACCAGGTAATATTTATAGTTAAAATATTTGAGGATAACACAATCAGAAGTATGGGGCTAAAAGGGATTTCATTAGAATTTTCTCTTCCCTTTGGTTGGAAACACATGCACATAGCCATTCTAAATACATTAAGAATATTCTTTGTTTTTAGCCTCTCAGAGTTAGACAGTCTATCATCCTCTTTTGTCTTCCATGCTGTGTTTGTATGCTCCACTGAAGTAAATTTCTCTTCTTCTGTCCTGAAGATGGAGAGCTGGCAGCCACCTTTCTGTAGCAAGAACCTTTGTGTACTTGAAGACAATGTTTAATCACTCATCAGCCTTATTGTCTCCAGAATAAAAACAAAGTAGAAGGTTTTGTCTTTTGTTTTTTAAGGATGTCAGAGGATATGGTTTATTATTGGCCCATATATAACATTCAAAATCCTTACAAGCATGTGAGGGAAGAGGAAAGGAATACACAAGAATAAAGGTCCAGCAGGCCAGCTGGAATGTAAAAGAAAGGCTAATAGGAAGAAATAAAGAAAACATTCACGGAGAGCTTCAAAAGTAATATTTGAGTGCTTATGATACGCAAGGCATGGTGCAGAGTCCTTTATACAGTTGTCATCATCACCATCATATTAGCTAACACTCACTGAACACATACTTTTGTGTCAGGTACCATTCTAAGTGCTTTTCATGAATGAACTCACATAATCTTCAGGACATCCCAAGGGTGGGGTTATTACTACATTTCAGAAAAGAAACTAAAACATAAGTTCATAATACCTTCATATATTTGGTGCTTTCTATAAGGTTAGACATATTACTTCTTTTTGACAGATAAGAATACTGAGGATCACAGATTAAGTAACATGCTCGACGTCAAAATGGCTAGTAAGTGACAGAGCTGGGATTTAAACCCAGCATTGTCTGATTCCAAAGTAGTTTTTGACTACAGTAAATCTTCACTATCATCAATAGGTTCTTGGAAACTGACTTTAAGTAAAACAAGATATATCAGGTCTTCGAATAACACTGTTATTATAATGTTGATGATTAAAAATTGGTTTATTTGTTGAATCACTTAAAGTCAGTTTTCAAGAACCTCTCAATGATGTTAAGTGAGGACTCACTGTACATGCTTAACTTGATTGAGAGCAGAAAAATAATAATGATGATGACAAGCACGAGCAGTTACAGAGCATGTATTATATGCCAGGCACTGTTTAAAGTGTAACTATTAACATATTTAATCCTCATAACAATCCTATGAGAATGAGTACTATTATTATTTCCATTTCACAAATGAGGAAACTGAGACACAGAGAGACTAATGTACTTAGTGTTATTCAGCTGCCAATTAGGAAATCGGGCCTCAAATCCAGTTCCAGAGCCATGCTCTTACTAAAGCACTATTAAAATATATAATGAAAGCAACTGTTTGGGATACTAAGAATGGTCTCCCAGGTAAATATACATTGACACTATTATATAGCTAATATTTACTGAGTGCTTACTAAACTCTTCTAATAGACATTGTAATGTGCCACCCAACTCCCCCTAAAATAAAGAATAAAGGATTTATTTCCACAGCTAAAAAGACTGCTAAAAGACGACACCCCTTAGTTGTTGTCAGCTCCCAGGAAGCTGAAAAAAACCTGCCTCAGTGTTGGCTGAGGTCTTTGTTGGAATGCACCGCAGCTCACCTTCCACAGGTATTGACAGCACCCCCTAATAAATACACTGAATGTTAATCTCAGGTCTGCTTCTCTAGGAAAGCAACCTGTGACAATACTTAATCTCATTTAACTTACATGATCCTATACATTAAGTGTTATTATCCTCATATATTCATTTTACGAATTAAGACACTCAAGCTTAAATCGTCCAAGGTCACAGAGCTAGTCAAGGATGGAGTCAGAACTTGAACTGAGATTGTCTAATTCGGAGGCTACACTCTCAACATCTGTGTGATTGCAGAGGAAAAGACTTCAGTAAGTGAGACCTATCATTGGTTTAGTATGTATTTTTTGTTTAAAGTAGAGGTAAGAATAGTAGTTGGAATGACCTGAAATGCAAACAAGGTCTCCTGAAACAATTTTTCCTCTAGGCCTTCTACAACTTATTTCTTGGGAAGAAACAACTGAGGACAAAGTTGCCATATGATAGGGAAGAGGAAGATATTCAATTAAAAATATACCCTTATATATTAAATTACCTTGAATTCGAAGATAAAGGTTTCACTCTCCAATATGAAATGGTTATCATTTAATACATCTGTGTAGCATCTTTCCTCATATGAAGGAATTTGAAAACATAAAATGCCAGCATGTGGCCCTAACTTTAACAAGAAGTTACAGTATGCTATCTGTCTATAATATCCTAAAAATATGGAGTAGTGTTAAAAAGTAAGATGGAATGAGACGGCTTGAGGTGGCATAGAGCCATAGCTTTTGCCTCAGTTATGATGGTATACAATCACAGATTTTATCCAGTGTTGTAAATTTCCTGGTGCTTTTCTCCATCTTTATTGCTTTTTCCAGGATAGAATGATTCAAGACATATACAAATCTCTTCACTCATGTAGGCTTAAATTGTGTGGAATCCACTTTTTAAAATTACACTTTTTTGTAATTGCCCATTATTTCCAGTGGAGAAAAGGGAAAATTTGCAACTAAAAAAAATCCAAATATTAAATGTATCCTCTCAGTATTTGTATGTTCTGGGTACATCTTTGATTTCACTTAAAATATAGAGTAAATAAAAAATATACCCAGACATAAGAGGGCCTGAAAAATCCAGTTCAGAGAAAATGAGATGCAGTTAGCAAAGATTACATGCATCAATGAACTGTACTAAATTGAACACTTTTAAATGCCAGAGATTTTCCCCGTGAAACTGGGGAGTTTGAAAGAAAAATCAATAATGTTGGGGAAGGGAAACCTTCTTCACACACCTCTAATTAGTCATAGCAGAATCTGGTGGATTTCCATATTATGACTCGATCAAACTTGCGAAATTGGTTTTGATCCCAGACTCATTTGGTACATCTTCCAGAAGAAGCTCCACTCCAGACAATGAAAGGTTTTTTCAACCTTGAATGAGCCTCAAGATCACTCGTTCAGTTTGTACCCATCCTATATTATGTTCAGTATCTGTATAATGTTGACAACAGCAATCTCCCTGGGATTACCCTGTAAAAGCTCCATTTCTAAGAACAGGCAAAGTATCTTCAAACTGGCTGGCTTCAAGTTTAGCATGAGCCTTCAAAATCTATATTAGTAAGTGAAACCAGGCATAAAGAGGCACACTTCTTCAGATCTTTCATTTTTTAATAAATCGAATAAATATTGGCCATATTGTTTATATTAGGGCATGCAATGCACCCTTCTGTAAAGTCATTGCTTGAGTCTAACAATGGAGTAGGTAAAAGGTTTCTGTGTTTTTCTGCATAATCAATACCAAACCTGCTGATGCAAATTTATCTGAACTCCAGGGAACATATCCTTTGAAGTTCTGGGAAAATTTTAAATATTGTGTGCAAATCAATAAGTGGACAAAAACATCTCTGCCAATGTGTTCATTTTTATTCAGAGAGGAAATATATATTTAAGTGTAATCTCTCTCTCATTCCCTCTATGAACCTTTTCTCCAAATCATTTCTTTTACAAAAGAAACTCATGACAATCAGCTGAACATAAAACATTCTTTTTGGCATAATTATAAGTGGTATGGAGGTACCTCTCTGAACAGGATGATTCTTCAAGCCCTAAAGAGTCTTCCTCTTTCTACCCTTTTATAATGTTCTATTTTTCTCTTTTCCCATCATTTCACGTCCAAGTTTTGGAACCTGAGTTAACTAGGACGGTGTGAGAGCATTTCCAGAGGCCTAATTTGGTAGCATGTCTTATTCTGAATGGGATGCATCTATGAAATTAAAAAAATTTTCTTTTTGTGACTGCCTATTTTCACAGTCCACTAAGCAAAAACACAAAGCAATTTTTTTTCTTACCCCCATTTTCCCTTTCTCCCTTCATTTTCTTTCTTCCCCTGTGGAGTTCAAATTAAAAAAAGGTGAAAATTGAAGCTGTTGTATGGAAGGCGACTGCAACATGCATATTTGATTTTTATGATGGATCTAAATTGCTGAATAAGGCCATGGAACAAAGGGAGACTGCGGCTTCCTGCCCATCACATGCAGCCACTGAATGCAGAACAAAAGCTTCGGCCATTAGGGGCTCAGCAGGGAGACACATTACATAAATGACTTTGTCTTCTCTGCCCCCTCCCCCCCACTGGGTGCACTGGACAGGGATGGGTGTGTGTGTCTATGTGTTATGGTTTGCTAGGGCAAGAGATAAGAAATCCTAGGAGAAGCAATGGGAATAGAAATGAACAGCACGTTATGATTCAAAAGGGCCACGCTTTCCTCACTACACCAGTGTAGCTCTTAGTGCTGTGGTCAGAGTGTCACCTAAGACAACTACTCCCCAACAAAACTTGGTGTGTATTCAGAGTAACCTGTAGCTTTTCTTTATACTGTTTTCTTTCTTTCATCAGGAATGATGAAGTAGAAGGAAAAAACATTTAGAAAAATATAGAGCCCTAGTATTCCAAGGTAATTGCTAGGTCAGCTTCAAGAACAAACAGACATACAGTTTACTGTGGCACCAGTTTCCTAGGAAAATACACTCTAATTCCTCCTTCCAGGCTCAAGGCTTTTCTTTCGGCAGGACAAGAGATGATATCAATAAAAACGTCCTAAGCTATCACATAGCAGTCGGTCTATTTTTAGGAGGCCCCCTGTGGTGGTGACTTGAATAGGTACTACTGTTTTATCTAGTTTGAAAAACCAGCAATTCTGCACACACCTTCTCAATAATCTCTGCACGGTATTGCAGTTTTGTAGAAGAATTTTATTAATTTTTTTCTATTTTTTATTTTCCTCATCCCTGTGAATTACCTGAAGATGCAGAAGAATTTTAGTAAGCTTCACAAAGGTCAATCTTTCTACTACTTCTGGTATCAATGAAAGGGGTAAGGAACAGGAGAGAGTCTCTGCAGATTCTAGGTTGAAGCACAAACTGTACATTATTAAAGGTGACACAGTGAACTGGGTATGTTAGGACTGACACCCAGGTCAATGGACCCCTATTTCCACCCCAACTGTCACTAAACATTTCATGTGGGGAAACGTCTCTGTGGTTAAGTTTGTACTTCAGAAATTGTACTAGGATTTTCCAATAATCCTCCAACTCTCTAATGGGAGAAAGCAGTCCTACCATGAGCCAAAATAACTGAAGGCCTTTCTATCATGTGCGTGGAACCAGAACTGAGGGTTCTTGGAGAGAATCAATCTCAAAGACAAAACCAACTTAAGGGTGTATCTTGAAGTCACCTAACAATAACTGAATTGTGTAAAGCTAGCTAAGGGAAATGCCATGAGACAAGTGCCATTTGTCACATACCATCATTACTCTGTCAAAATGGGCTATTCATTTAAAATAAGGTAGAATCTTATGACTTATATAAAAGTTGAGAGGTTATGAGGGACAAAGAGTGGGTTGTCGCTGTAAAGTAATTCAGTTCTGAGCTACAGAGGTCACCAGGCTATCTTTTTATCAGTTCCTTTGGGTCTCACTTTCAGGTGTTATTTAAATATTTTTTTAAAAAGATAAATCTTTTTTATTGGATGGGAGAAGGTCTCTGCTTCATGGATTGTGGATAATAGACAGACTTATGCTTATCAATAGTTTTAAGTAACTGGGATGAATAGAAGGTTAGGGAGAGTCCTTTAACCCTGTATGCCCAGTGGTGAGGGGGTAACAGTCAATATGGATAAATAAGAAGATGGATGAGTACAGTAGAGATGAGACTGCTGAATACTTTATTCATTTATTCAGTTATTAAATATTCATTAATCGACTACTAGGATTTCATATACTGTGGATTCTATGTGAATAAGACAGGCACAGTCCCTGCCCTAAATAATATAATAATCTTATGGTTGGGTGTTGCACAGAAGATATAAAATAGTTATACAAATATATACATAGGTTAACAAATGACAAAAGACAGAAAAAGTGAAATGTTCTATGAGAATGTTAACTGAGACAAACTATCTCATCCTTTAATGAGCAACAGACATTAAGCTGAAGCAGGAAAGAAAAAGTTACATATGCTGTCACCACTTACATTTCACCTTTTGGAGGGCATCTTAAGATATCAATTAAAAATATGACTCAAGGAAATTATGTATTTCTTTAGGCTCTTATATATCTTCACCTCTCCTTTATCCTATCAAAAAAGGAAAGTTTATTATTTTGCTTAAAAGTAAAACAAAATACCAATTTAGCTACAGGCCTTAGGTAATTCAAATTTAATTACTTCAGAGTAAAAGCCAAAGGTCACAAGGCTGTAACTGTTCTATCCAACATGGTAGCCACTAGCCACATGTGGCTGTTCCTACATTTAAATAAAATGAAGTAAAATTTTAAAAATTCAGTTTCTCCACTACACTATCTACCCTTCAAGTGTTCATTAGCATACCGTACACTACAACTAGAGGCTATTAAATTAAAATTAACTAAAATTAAATATGCAGTTCCTCAATGGCACTAGCTATGTTTTGAGTGCTCAATTTCAAGTGAGTAATGGCTATCATAGTGAACAGTGCAGACAGAGCATTTCCATCATCGCAGAAAGTGCTATTGGATAGTACTGCAAAACTACCTGGCACACTCTCCAACTGTTCCCTCTCCAATTTCATTTTTTACTCTTCTCTCCTTGCTCATGTCCCTCCAGCCATGGCGAAATCCTTGCTGCTGCTTGGGCGCACTAGGCATGCTCCTACTTCAGGGCTTTTGCATGATTTGGCCCCTACTTTCCTCTCCAGTTCCTTGTCTCTACACTAGCCATGCTGGCTTCCTTTCTCTGTCATTCCCAGTCTTTCTTGTCCCAGGGCTTTACACATATCGGTACCTTTCCCTGGAAGGCTCCTCCCTCCCTGCTTTACTTTTCCTTCAAATATCACCTCATTTATCACTTCATTAAGAAAGCCTTTTCTGACTAGATCAAATTTTCCTGTTACAAACTCATGTTCCTTTCTCTCATAGAACTTATTACAGTGGCAGGTTTACATTTATTGTGTCATTTTTAAATTCATGACAGACTCTTCAAATCCACTGAGAGCTCCACGAGGGTAGGGACCATGTCTGTTTTTGATTACCACTGTATTCTCAAAAGGTAGCAGAATGAATGGAAAAAGTAGGAGTTTAACAAACATCTATAGGCCGGGCGCGGTGGCTCACGCCTGTAATCCCAGCACTTTGGGAGGCCGAGGCGGGCGGATCACGAGGTCAGGAGATCGAGACCATCCCGGCTAAAACGGTGAAACCCCGTCTCTACTAAAAATACAAAAAAAAATTAGCCGGGCGTAGTGGCGGGCGCCTGTAGTCCCAGCTACTTGGGAGGCTGAGGCAGGAGAATGGCATGAACCCGGGAGGCGGAGCTTGCAGTGAGCCGAGATCCCGCCACTGCACTCCAGCCTGGGCGACAGAGCGAGACTCCGTCTCAAAAAAAAAAAAAAATCTATGACTGAATTATGAATGAATGAATGCTGGGGAATGGCAGCCAATGGTATAATAAGTTAAAAGATGTATGTTGTGTTGCTTCTTCCATGGATATCAAACACCCAAATTCCAAAGGTTATACACAGTGAACAAAAATGAATGACAGGGATTGTAAAAATGTGGGAGGTATAAAGTACTTCTTTTAGGTTGATAAAAAAATACTGCCCCCCCAAAGAAAAATTGTTATTTGAAAATGATAGAATTATGAGTGTTATTTGTATTATTTTTGCTCAGCTAAATTTTCTAATATTTTCCATAATAGTGTATTAATATTGTAAGCATGTTATTTTTTACTGCAACATAAAATCATTCTGGCTTCAGTGCAGCAGAAAACCAAAGTACCTAGGAGGGGCAGCAGTTAACCATAAGAGAGCTTTTTCCCGCCCCTCTTCTAGACAGATAAGAGTTGAATTCTTGGTTCATGGCTAGCTGAGCATAGATCTCAATAATCATTCTCATTCTTATATATTAATTTCAAAGCAAAAGATTTTAGTTTACAGATTCCAACTTTGGTTTCTGATACTGGGTTTGCTCCCAAAATTGTATGATCTTTCTTTTGAATGTAACAAGTCCACATATTCTACCAATTGAGATTAGTTCTGAGGAATTAAATCTATTCACTTCTTCAACAAACATTTTTGTACGCCTTTTTTTTTTTTTTTTTTTGAGACAGGGTCTTACTCCGTCACCCAGACTGGAATACAGTGGCACGATCTTGGCTCGCTGCAACCTCCGCCTCCTGGGCTCAAGCGATTCTCCTGCCTCAGCCTCCCAAGTAGCTGGGATTACAGGCGCACACCACTACCACCTGGCTAATTTTTGTATTTTTACTGGAGATGGAGTTTCACCATGTTGGCCAGGCTAGTCTCGAACTCCTAACCTGAAACGATCCACCCACCTCAGCCTCCCAAAGTGTTGGGATTACAGGCATGAGCCACTGTGCCTGGGCTTTTTGTATGCCTTCTGTAAATAAGGCATTTTGCTGGGGAAATGGTCAGCAAAACACATATTAATACATCTCTTTCAGCCTTACTAACCTAGCTAATTCCTAAGTGAGCATGTAAGATAAAAATTCAGTTACCACCTGTCACACACATTATTTCATCATACCCACAAGAAAATGTTTTAATAAATAATTTTTTAATGCGTGCTATTTGTAGATGAGTGAAAAATGCTTTTATTTATTGGTATTATTTTCATAAGGGGTATCTGTCACCCAGGTTGGAATACAGTAGAACAATCATAGCTCACAGTAGCCTCAAACTCCTGGGCTCAAGTGATCCTCCCACCTCAGCCTCCTGAGTAGCTGGCATTACAGGTATGAGCCACTATGCCAGCTGAAAAGTAATTTTTTTTGGTGGGGGGGCAGATATGGTTTTGTTCAGTCACCCAGGCTGGACTGTGGTGGTACAATCT
Source organism: Homo sapiens (assembly GCF_000001405.40). Classification (NCBI taxonomy): domain Eukaryota; kingdom Metazoa; phylum Chordata; class Mammalia; order Primates; family Hominidae; genus Homo; species Homo sapiens. Next base: position 72,717,940 of record NC_000016.10, on the reverse strand, counting down.
CAGCTTACTGCAGCCTCAACCGCCCTGGGCTCTGGTGATCGTCCCACCTCAGCCTCCTGAGCAGCAGAGACTATAGGCATGCACCACTATGCCTGGTCAATTTTTTTATTTCTTGTGAAGTTGGGTTTTTGCCATGTTGCCCAGGCTTGGAAAAGCACTTTTACAGAGATATTATCTTAGCATTGTTTTTGCTATTGAAAATTTAAGTGCTCAATATAGTTACACAAATGATAATATATCCATATTATGGAATATTACACAACTATTAAAATGTAGTACAACTATTAAAATGTAGTGGCAGAAGTATATTTACTGCTACAGCAAGATAATGATATGCTGGTAAACGCAAAAGGTTTCAAAACTGTATGTTAGGCAAGAACGTATTTATATAAAAATTGTATAAGCAAAAAGGTTGGAATGATATCAAAATGTTATTTGCTATATCAATGGTTCTCACCTGTGCTTCATATTAGAATCAACGGGGGCACTCAATAAATATACTAATGCAGGATTACAATTAGAAATTCTGATGTAATTGACCATATGAGAGGCCTGGGCATCAATATTAAAAAAAACAAAAAAACAAAAAAAACACTCTAGATAATTCCAGTGTGCACCCAGACCTTCTTTTTAAGGCCTGAATTTGGTTAGTTATGCCTTTCTTATCCTTCCTCTAGAACCAATTTTTGGCTTTGCTGATGTCCTATATTGAATGTTTGTTTATTATTTCATTAACTGCTATTTTTAAATTATTTTCTTTCTTCTAGTTCTTTTTGGTTTTCATTTGCTCTTTTTTCTACTTTCTTCAGCTGGATGCTTAGATCACTGAGTTTTTGTTTTTTTTTCTTTTCTAATATAGGCATCTAAAGTTAAGATCCTTCTTCTATAAGCATCCCTTAGCTATGCCCCCCACAAATTTTGATATAAAGTATTTTGATTATAATTTATTTTAAAATATTTCCTATTTTTCTATTGTGATTTTTCTCAAGGCATGGGATATTTAATAGTGTATTTTGAAATTTCCAAAAACACAGAGCTTTTCTAATTATCTCTACGTTGTTCTTTTCTAGTTTAATTCCATAGTAATCTAAGATTATACTCCATCTGATTTCAATTTTCTCTGAAATTTGTTGGTACTCTATGGCTAAAATATAGTTGTTATAGACTGAATATATGTGCGCCCCTACCCCCCGCATATTCATATGTTGAACTCCCAATCACCAATGTGATGGTATTAAAAGGTGGGACCTTAGGGAGGTAATTAAAATCATAAGAGAGGAGCCCTTATGAATGAGATTAGTGCCCTTTTTGAAGAGATCCCAGAGAGTTCTCGACCTCTCCTCCTGCCATCTTAGGATACAATAAGACAACAATCTACAAGCAAAAAGAAGGCCTTCACCTGAACCCAACCGTGCTGGCACCCTGACCCTGGACTTCCAAACTCTGAAACAAGAGAACACATTTCTGTTCTTTATAAGCAACCCAGTCTATGATACTTTCTCAAAACAGCCTGAACTACCTGAGACAATGGTCCAATTTTTAAGTGTTGTGTGCACTTAAAAATAATGGGTATTATGTAGTTATGTATTCTGAAGTTTTTACATACAAAATAAATAAGTCATGTTTGTTAATTGTGTTGTTCAAATTTTCCCTCTATAAATTTGTGTTTGTTCAAAAAGTTATTGGGAATGGTATGTTAAAATCTTCTACTGTAAATATGAATTTGCATTTCTCCTTGTCTTGTAAGTTTACATTTTGAGGCTATGTTATGAGGTGCATACATTTTCAGAATTATTTTAGTTTCCAGGTGAATTAAATATTTTCTCAAGAAGTATCACTATTTTTCTCTAATATGTTTTTAAATGACATCCTTATATGATATTAATATACCTTTCCCATATATGTTTCGTTAAGATTTGAATGATTGGTACATTGTATTATTGGTTCCAGTTCTTCACCCCTTCCTGTATCCATATCCTTTGCCACATGACTGCTGTTCCTTAAACTAGAGGCAGGGTACCCTCCCTGCCCTTTGACTTTGGGTTCAGTCATATACTCACTCTGCCTTGAGAAGTTAGTAACTGTGCTGCAATCAGAGCCTTGAATTGCACTCATTCAACTGAACTTGCCCATGCTTCCACCATCACCATGAGATTATGTCCTGACTTCTAAGGAAGAACAGTAGACCTGGACCCAAACTCCAGTTTGAAGCCAAGCTAAACTTAGATCTGTTCATCCCAAGATGCATGAGAAAAAATAAATTATTTTTGTCACTAAATTAGAAGCGTTACTGTAGCAAAAGCTAATAGATAGAGAAGATGGTAACCTAGACATAGGATGCTCCAGTAGCAAAAACCTAAAATAATGTGATAGATTTGGAATCAGAAAGCAAGTAGTATGAAACTAAAATAGCAAGCTGGAAAATGGCAAGGAAAACAGTTACAGAAGACTAGAAAAATGATGACTCATAGTGGCAAAACATTTGGTAAGAATGTTGCATGGGATAATATGAGAGAAAAATTATATAATAAACTTGTGGAGTTCAGGTAGTAGAATATGAGGGAAAATGAACACATGAGCTGTCTGTTTTGTGCTGCATTTGGTAAGGTACTACAAGAAAGAAATGACATCAAAAAAAGTGGTCCATTTCCAAGTAGGATTAAAGTGACAATGAATTGTCCAGACATTTTAGAATTGTAAAATAAAACTGTGGTACCAAGTAAAAGCTATGGCCATTAAGAAATAGCTTCAGAGAGAAGATCAAACCCAGGGAAATGGGTAAAGACCACATTAAGAATACGGCTGTCAGACCCTGTGCTAAGACCTCTGAAAGATAGAGGTGCCTCACAGGTCATCTCTACTTGAGAAAAAAGGGTGACTTCTAGAAATATAAAAGGCTTACTCCCACAGATATGTGATGTACCCCCAGGTACCTGTAATATAAGTCTAAAGAGAACAGCATGTCTAAAAAAGAATTGTGGGTGTGGGTTTTGGCATATAGAGTGAATTGGAACCAAACATGAAAACCTAGACAGTTTTTGAGAGAGACAAATTAGTAGAAGCATGGCCGGCCTGGCCTAAAAGAAGTGGTGATTATTTGAGGTGTGACACACTTGTGGGGCAGAGGATTCTGGGAAATTAGTGGAGTAAGAGACACCAAGAATCCATCTCACCACCTAGACAAAAATTTCATTGGCAGAATCTAAGATAACTATTTTAAAACACTGGGAACTACTTTGAAGGCTTGCAACTTCTAGAGGAAGGCTTGGACAGTAAACAGTGATTATTTTCAGGTAGCTCTTAGCAAGGTGGCAGCTACGCATTCCGCATCCCCCAGCCCCATAGCAAGCAGCCATGCAAGCGTGTTCCTGGAGCAGTTGGCACACAATTATAAGAGCCAGGTTGGGCAATAAGTGCCCTGTGCTCCAAATATTGGGGAGCCATGCTGATAATCACTGATTGCTCATGATGGAGGGACAGACAGAGAGACAGGCAGCCATTGCTTTAAGTCCCTACCACCCCAGCTGAATCAATTTCCAGGGGATTTAAAGGACTAGCATATTTTGTGCCCCTAAAGTTTTATCTTTTTCTCTTTTTGGGAGTTTAGTATTTAAGAACTAAGGGATTCAAATGCAGCCACATATACAGAGGATTTAGAAAGTCATGGCATAGGCCCAGGGAAAGGCATAGGCTTAGAAAACAACTTGAGTTTTTAAAATCTTAAGTTGAACCCTCAGGCTGATGCCCAGCATGGAGATAACCTAAAACAAAAATTTTTAAAGCAAACCCTGGGGAAGAGGAGGATGTGATTTCCAGAGTAAAAGTTCAATTTCTGTACAGTTATCAACAAAAAATTCACAAAGCATACAAAGCCATAGGAAAGTATGGCTCATTCGAAAAAAATATTAAATAAACAGAAAATGTCCTTGACAAAGACAAGATGGCACTTACCAGACAAAACCTTCCAACAAATATCTTACAGATGCTCAAAGCCCTAAAGAAAAATTAGAAGAAGTCAAGAAAACATAGTTTGAACAAAGTAGAAACACCAATACAGACAGAAAACATAAGAAACTAAAAAAAATTCTTGACCTGAAAAGTACAATAATTGAAATTAAAAAGTTTACTAGACATATTCAAAAGCAGGTTTGAGCAGATAGTAGAAAGAATCCGTAAACTTGAAGACAATTTAAATTATCAAGTCTGAGGAAAAGAAAGAAGAAAAGTGAACACAGCCTAAGGCAATCAAGGTGACCAACACAGTGAAACCCTGTCTCTAATTAAAATAAGAGCCCCAAAAGAAGAGGAGAGATTATTTGAAACAGGAGTCAGAGAGATTATTTGAAGATAATGTGTGAACTCTCCAAATTTGATGAAATGCATGAATATAAACATCCACAAAGCTCAACTAACTCCAAGTAGGATAAAATCAAAGAGGCCCCACCAAAACATACTATAATCAAACTGTCAAAAGCCAAAGCCAAAGTATCTTCAAAGCAGAAAGAGAAGTAACTCATCACATACCAGATTTCTTCAACAAAAGTATCAGCATATTTCGCATCAGAAATTTTGAAGTCCAGAATGCAGTGGGCCAATATACTCAAAGTGCTAAAACAAAACAAAACAAAACTGTTAACCAAAAACCTTTATCCAGCAAAATTGTCTTTCAAAAGTGAGGGAGAAATTAAGACATTCACAGATAAACAAAAGCTGAGGGAGTTTGTTACCACCAGACTTGCCCATAAAGAAATGGTAAAGGGAGTGCTTCAAGTGGAAATAAAAGACACTAGAAAGTAACACAAAGCCATATGAAGAAATAAAGATAACCATAAAAGTAAATACGTAGGCAATTATAAAACTAGCATTATTTTAACTTTAGTTTATAACTCTACTTTCTGTTTGTACATGACTCCAAAGTCTAATGCATAAAAATTATTAAGTCTATGTTTCTGGACATACAAAAACTATCAGTCTATGTATAAAGATGTAATTTTGTGATATCAAAACGGTAACTGAAATGGCAAGGAGTTATATACAAGCAGTGATTTTGTATGGTATTCTGTATTTGTATGCTATTGAAGTTAACTTTGTGTAAGTTTAAATTTGAATGTTGTAACTTAAGGATGTTAAATGTAATTCCTATAGTAACCACAAAGAACACAGCTATGGAATAAACACAAAAGGAAATGAGAAGGGAATTAAAACACCATACTATAAAAAATTAATTAAACATTGAAGATGACAGCAATGTAGAAAATGAGGGGTAAAAAATGCTATAAGGCATACAGAAAACAAACAGCAAATGAAAGAAGTCTCTCCTTAGCAGTAATTACTTTTAATGTAATTGAATTCAGTTTTTCAATCAAAACAGAGATCAGCAGAATGGATTTTAAAACATGATTCAAATATGTGCTGTCTATAAGAGACTCATTTTAGATCCAAAGACATAAATAGGTTGAAAGTGAAAGGATGGAAAAAGATATTTCATACAAATAATAACAAAAAGAGAACAGGGACAGTTATACTAATATTAGACAAAATACATAAAAAGATATTACAAGAGGGTAGGTATGGTGGCTCATGACTATAATCCCAGCACTTTGGAAGGCCAAGGCAGATGGAACACTTGACCTCAGGAGTTCGAGACCAGCCTGGGCAACATAGTGAAACCCTGTCTCTAATTTTTAAAAAAATTACAAGAGATTAAAAATGACATATATTTTAATAAAAGACTCAATACGGCAAGAAGATACAACAATTATAAACATTATACCTTATAACTGACCATCAGAATATATGAAGCAAAAATGGTAAGAATTGAAAGGACAATTCTACAATAATATTTGAAGGTTTAATACCCTACCCTTAACTAACTGAGATTTATTCCTGGAATGCAAGGATGGTTCAACATATGAAAATCAATCAGTTTTCTTCAGTTGGCTTTTTCCATTTTATATTTTACATGCATAGATACATGTAAACATATCATGTTAACATGTAACAGATATAATATATGTACAGATACATGTAAACAGATACAAAGTTAACAGAATGGAGGAAAGAGAAAAAAAATAGATGATCATCTCAACTGATGCAGAAAAGCATTTGACAAAATTCAACATCCTTTCATAACAAAAACAACACAATAGGGATAGAAAAAATCTACTTTAACATAATAAAAGCCATACATGAACAACCCACAGCTAATATCATACTCAATGGTGAAAGACAGAGAGCTTTTTTTTTTATAAGACCAGAAACAAGGCAAGGATGTCCACTTTGCCACTATACTCAACATAGTAGTGGAAGTTCTAGCAAGGGCAATTAGTCAAGAAAATGAAAAAAAAAGGACATACATATTCCAAATAAAGAAGCAAAATTATCTCTGCTTGCAGATGTTATAATTGTTTATATAGAAAATTCCTAAATATGCCACACACAAAAATTGCTAGAATGAATGAATTCTGCAAAGTAGTAGGATGCAAAATGAATACTCAAACAGCAGTTGCATTTCTAAACACTAATAATGAACTGTCCTAGAAGAAAATTAAGAAAACAATGCATAAACAATAGCATCCAAAAGAACAAAATATTTAGGAACAAACTTAACCAAGGATGTGAAAGGCTTATATAATGAAAACAACAGAACATTGCTGAAAAATATCACAGGTTAATGGGTTTGAAAACTTGATATTGTTAAGATGTCACTAATACCCAAAGTGATGTACAGATTCAATATCAAAATCTCAGTAACATATTCTGCAAAAACAGAAAAATCCATCCTCAAAACCATATGGAATCTTAAAGACTCTGAATAGCCAAAACAATCTTGAAAAAGAAGAACTAAGTTGGAGTATTCATACTTCCTGATTTCAAAACTTACTACAAAGCCACAGCAGTCAGAACAGCATGGTACAAGCATAAAGATGACATATAGACCAACATAATAGAATAGACAGCACAGGAATAAATCCTAACATACATCATCAAATGATTTTCTTCAATGATGCCAAGACCACTGGGGAAAGACCAATGGGGAAAAGACTGTCTTTTCAAAAAATGGTACTGGGACTTTGGGAGGCCGAGGTGGGTGGATCACAAGGAAAGCAGTTCGAGACCAGCCTGACCAACATGGTGAAACCCCATCTCTACTACTAAAAATACAAACAAATTAGCGGGGCGTGGCGGCGCGCGCCTGTAATTCCAGCTACTCAGGAGGCTGAGACAAGAGAATTGCTTGAACCCAGGAGGCGGAGGTTGCAGTGAGCCAAGATTGTGCCACTGCACTCCAGCCTGGGCGACAGAGCGAGATTCCATCTCAAAAAAAAAAAAAATGGTAATGGGAAAACAGGATATCCATATGCAAAAGGGTGAACTTGGACCCTTACCTAATACTATATGCAAAAATTAGCTAAAAATGAATAAAAAGCCTATACATAAGAGCCAAAACTATAAAACTCTTAGGACAGAACATAGGGCAAAAGCTTTATTTACTACAATGGATTTGGCAATTATTTCTCAAAAGTGACATGAAAAACAGTAAAAGGAAAAATAGATAAATTAGACCTCACCAAAATTAAAAACTTTTGGGTATCAAAGGTCACTATCCACAGAGTAAAAAGTCAATCCATAGAATGGGAGAAAATACTTGTAAATCACATGTCTCATAAGAAATATCTGGAATAAATAGAGAACTCCTACATTAAGCACAACCATTTTGAAATATGTCTGCAAACTCCATTATATGAATCATCTGTGTGATTCTGTTTATACTGAGTGTTGCTTCTCTTGGTTTTCTATTAGGCAGTACTTTCTTAAGCTTTTTATTTTTGATAGAGTACCAATAGTGCTTACAAAAACATTGCGGTGAGACAATTGATGGCCTAGGATAATTTCATCTTCCTCTAAAAATGGTTTAAATTTGTTTCTGTGATGGGAAAGGGCACTAGCAATTATGAGTCATCTAAATCAGATTAGGATTTCAAGTAATTTGAAGTTGGTTTTCACTTGCGTGGGTGACCTGGTCTATTATAGGTTTAACCTTCCTCTTAGATTTAATTAGACATTTCTCCCCTCTCTGTGGGCCTTGAACTCCAATTTTCCCCTGGGCTTCATGATTCTGGGTATCTCTATTCAGCTTTGTAGTCTTTTAGCCATCATCACTGGAAATGGCAGATATTTGCATCTACAGGAAGTGGCACACACCTGAAGAGGGAATACACTTCTTTTTGAGACTGAGTCTCCCTTCATCACCCAGCTTGGAGGGCAGTGGTGCGATCTGGGCTAACTGCAACCTCTGCCTCCCGGGTTCAAGCGATTCTCCTGCCTCAGCCATCCAAGTGGCTGGGACTACAGGCACCCACCACCATGCCTAGCTACTTTATGAATTTTTAGTAGAGACGGGGTTTCACCATGCTGACCAGGCTGGTCTTGAATTCCTGACCTCAGGTGATCTGCCTACCTCGGTCTCCCAAAGTGCTAGGATTACAGGCATGAACCACTGTGTCCAGCCTAGGGGCAATGCACTTCTAAGTGCCGGACATCACTCTTGGATGTTCTCTGAGTTGGGCTCATAATTTTTCAGTATTTTGTTAGTATTACAAAGCCTCAGGTTTTTGTTTCCATTTCATCCAGTTTTCTCATTTATTTTTTTTGAAACAGGGTCTCACTCTGTCCTCTGTCACTCAGGCTGGAGTACAGTGGCCCGATCATGGTTCACTGCAGCCTCAACCTCCCAGGCTCGAGTGATCCTCCCACTTCAGCCTCCTGAGTAGCTGAGACCACAGGCATGCACCACTACAGCCTGCTAATATTTTGTATTTTTGGCAGAGATCAGGTTTTGCCATGATACCACGCTGGCAATCTTTCTAACTATTGTCAGCATTAGGAATGGTCCAAATTACTTAGTCTACCATTATCACTAGAAACCAAACGGCATGCCTTAATTTTTAAAAGCATATTTAACTGTCAAAGTAAATTTTCACAAAATGGTAGTCATATCATTTACATAAGAATCATCTATGATGCTGGTTTAAAATGCAAATTCCTAGATTCTCTCTCCAATCTAGCTGAGTCAGAATTGTATTTTAAACCAGAATCCCAGTTCACTGAGTAACTATATGCATATAAAAATAAATTATTGGAACAATACCTTATTTATATAATAGTACTTGACCATCAGTCATAAATTACTACTTTTCAGATGAGTTAATGGAAATATATGTGTTCTAATACAGTTCTTAGTGTAAGTTGCATCTTTAATATGAAATTAGATGAAAAGAAAGACAAAAGTGAAGAAAACTGCTATAGTTTCCAAGTAATCATTCTTAAATGGATAGGCAAATACATTGTTAAATTTTCCACATAGAAATATCTTCCTGATTTTTTATTTAAATATAAACTATTAGTTTAAAATATGGTGGCTGGGCACAGTGGCTCATGCCTGTAACCCAAGCACTCTGGGAGGCCGAGGCGGGCGGATCAGCTGAGGTCCACAGTTCAAGACCAGCCTGACCAACATGGAGAAACCCCGTCTCTACTAAAAATTAAAAATTAGCTGGGCGTGGTGGTGCATGCCTGTAATACCAGCTACTCAAGAGGCTGAGGCAAGAGAATCGCTTGAACCCAGGAGGTGGAGGTAGCGGTGAGCCAAGACTATGCCATTGCACTCCAGCCTGGGCAACAAGAGCAAAACTCCATTTCAAAAAAAAAAACAATAACAAAAAAAAAACATGGCTATAAGATCTGTATCTACACATGTAAATTATGCAATGAAAAGAGCCAAATGAAGAAAATTTCTTCCCATTAATAAGATCAAGATGTGTTATAATGGGAAACTATCCAATAACAGAAACTGTTTTATCTTTTCTGTCCTGATTTAAAATTCTTATTTAGCAAACAGTCAGATAAAAGAATTTTAAGATCAAGATAAATGATAAGAGTGAACACTATAGAATATATTTAAAACTTAGCCTAATGAATCTTGATTAAAACTTCCTAATGGTGAACTTAAAATTTCATGTTTAGGAAGAAATGAGAAATAAATTTGTTCTCTTACATACATAACTCCCAGTAACATGTTAGACAGCTTCTATATCTTCTTGAAATTTTAAGTGTTCACTGCCTGTCTTAGTTTTTGCTTAGACAAGCCATACATATTAACTTCCATTAAACTTGACTGAGAGATTAGTTCCCTTTAACCCATTAACGTCTGTGAATATAGTCTTGTTAATTTCTTCCAATTTCCTTTTAATATAATGTTCAAAATGCAACACAATTGTCTTGTGTAGTCTTGCTGGAATAAATAGAAGTACATAACTATGTTCTTCCAGTTACAGTAGTCTCCCCTCATCCACAGCAGATACTTTCCATAACCCTAAGTGGATGCCTAAAACTGCAGAGAGTACCCAACCCTACATATACATTACCCTTTTTTCCCCCACACATATACATAAGTATGATAAAGTTTGGTTTGTAAATTATGCACAGTAAAAGATTAACAATAATAATAAAATGGAACAATCATAACAATATACAGTAAAGTCATGTGACTATGGCCTTTCTCTCTCAAAACATCTTATTGTAAGGTACGCATTTATTTTCAGACTGCAGTTGACCACTGTTAACTGTAACCACAGAAAGCAAAACTGTGAATAAGGGGGGACTACTGTATATGCTCCTTTCATTTTATTGCTTTACCAGGTAGGAACATTTTAATCAATTTTTTATTCCCCTTTTGCTTGTCTCTACCTACTGCTTAGTCATCTTCCTAAATGTTCTGTGCGGTCCTTGATCTTTTAACTCAATCTAATCACAGTGCTTCCCAGCATGCTATTCATCCTTGCAGGATCTTCATCTTTGGTAAAAAGGTAATGTTCAATTTTGAATTGAAGGGATTTTGAATTGTTTGATTTTATCTGTCTCTTATAACCAATGTATTTTCCCCCACACTATAACTGACCCTCATTGTAAAGCTTTTTATGAAACATTTTACCAAAACTAAATTCAAACTGCATGTTCATAGGGGAAAACAGAATACCAACAAGACAAATCAGCTCCACTAGTCTTTGTAAAAATAACTTAAAGTCTGGAGAACGCTAAACACATAAGCAGAGTCCATAATTGATCACCTCTCTTAGTTAAGTTGTTAGTTAAGTGAGAAGGCATAATGCCAAGGTGAAGGCTAGGATTCAATTAATGGAATCATTAATATTATTCATTAAGTAAAAAATAATATTTGTCCAAATTTCATGCATTAGGAGCAGTTACTTTTTATGTATTTGGTTCATATTTGTTATGGAAATATTAAAAGAAAAATCACACGAGAATAATGTTAAGATCAATGAAAGTAAAATTTTAGAAAAAAACTTGCCACATTAGAAATCCATTGTTATAGCCATAAAACTTCATACTTCTCACATTTTCTTTCTTAGGCTCAAAAAAGAGCCTAAGATTTGAGTTAGGGGCTTAGAAGGTTTTCTCTTTCTCCTCTCTGTAAAAGTGAGAAGATAAAGAAGGGTGAGAGGAACAGGACTGCTTAGACTCCCATTCCTCTATGATGCCACCTTCAACATAAAACACCTAAAATGGTGGCAAACCAAATGATGTCTCAATAAAAAAGAAGTCTACAAAAATGCTGTAGGCATTTAAATTACACTTTTTGTTCACTGCTTAATCTTTATTTGTTCAAGGATTTGCAGTGGGAAAGGAAGCTATGCCCCTGAGAAACAATTCCCAGAATGCACTATGATCTGTGTTGCATTTGAGGACTCTGCTTATTAAGGAAACCTACAAATTTCTTCTTTGTGTTTTAAGAGGGCGGAATCTAGTAATAACTCAAATGCTCAGAACTCTCCTCAGACATCATTTTTCTAACAGTCCAAGAGGAGCTGATTCAAGGTCAGAGGTCATAGGCTGTGCTCCATTTGCCAGCTGGCAGTAAGCTCCAAGGACAGAGGGTGCAAGAAGCGTGACGATTCCTCAAGATGCTCATTCACAGAGCATTGAGAGTATCCCCACGGATACCTCAGAAATACTCATTTTGTCTCAGTTCGGTGGGTTACAGAAAAGGGGGTCAATTTTCTGGGATAGACTTGCAGAGCTTCACATGCTATGATCCCATCTCACTGAGGCTGACTTTATTTTACACTAACACAATAAAGCTTAACAGAGGACAAAAAGTTTCTATTATAGATAAATATTATCTGCTCTGTGACTCTGAACCGAGCAATACTGACTAAAAGGCAAACATCTGGAACTTCAGTTGAGGCAGAAACCGTGACTAACGTGAACACTCTATCTGGAGCGATAGGAAAACTTCCACAAGGAAATCATATTAAAATGTTGATCTATAATTATTTTGGTCGAGTTCTTTCCTATCTCAAACTTCTACCTCAGATTTTTTTGTGCCAGTCTCATACCTCATCCAGATTTTGACTGTTTTTCCCTTCTTAAATGGCTAAACTGAGATGCTGTGTGTAAGAAATAGAAAGTGACAAGATATGACCAAAGCATTGGAAATCAATCCAAATGAAATGTGCTTCTTAACTATAAGTGAACAGTTGAAAACAATCCTCTTTTATAGCCATGGAGATAAATACTCTGTTTTTATTAGGAAAAAACTGCTTTGGACTGAATAAAGTCATTTGATTAACAAGTCAAAGCAGATGGTTTATTGATATTTCAAACAGGAGTTTACAAGGTCTAGTGAAAAGAGAGACCCAGGTCTGAATTAACAAATTACCCTAGTATATGGGACACTGACAGTTCACTGCTAATAGATTTATGGGCTACTGCTGGGTGTTTCATCCCCATTTGGGTTATTATGATAAAATATTGGGGCATGGGTAACCTATAGCCTTACTGCAATATACTATGTTGACCTTTGATCTTTAGGACCTGACAGCAAAACTATGTATTAGATTTTTAATTTGTCTTAATCTCACAGGATCAACATGAGTATTTTGTGGTTTATTTTGAAGAGGCTATGCAGTGTAACTAACACATGGCGTGCTGCCTTGAGATTTGCTAGAACTCAGTAAGTTAGCTCTCAGAGGTTATAGGAGTCACATGTTAAGATCCAGAAGTCACTGGCAAAATATGCTACGTGGCTTGAAGGTGCACATAAAGAATCTCACTGTTCAACAGAGAAGGAAGTATTTCTTGCCTCTTGGAAAATTTCAGAATTTTTTTATTTGAAAATGGATCTTTTAATTTCGATGAATTTAGTTTTTTATCTCTAGCGCTTCCTTTTATTCCTCCCAAAATCTGCCTGGATATTCGATACTCCCTGTTCTTTTCTCATATTTTCCATTCCTTCTTTTTTTATGACATAGGGTCTCACTTTGCCAACTCTGCCACCCAGGCTGGAGTGCAGTGGTGAAATCACAGCTCACTGCAGCCTCAGCCTCCAGGGCTCAGGTGATCGTCCCACCACAGCCTCCAAGGTACCTGGGATTACAGGTACACACCACTACGCCCAGCTAATTTTTTTGTTTTGTTTTGTTTTGTTTTTTTGGTAGAAATGGTTTCACCATGTTGCCCAGGCTGGTCTCAAACTCCTGGGATCAAGAGATCCACCCAGCTTGGCCTCTCAAAGTGCTGGGATTGCAGGTGAGTCACCGTGGAAATTTAACCCAATTCTGCCATTTTAGAAATGTATTGTTTTCTGCTCAGATCCAAAAAAAAAAAGGGAGATTAAGAATAAAAGAAAGGTACTTTATAAAACATGTCTAAGTTACTGTGATACTTTCCTTTTGAAGGTAGAGGAAGCAATAGAATAAACTGGAGTAGCTGTTATTTTTCAAAAATTACACTTATAAATTCAATATTAATTCTGGTGCAAGAAAAAAAATCAGCCATACATTTTGAAAAATCATCTAAAATAAAATGAATTAGATGACATTTTCCTTCGGAAAATAAAAGGGAAAAAGGCTGAGTTATTCTGAATTAGTGGAAGAAAAAATATGTAATCAGGGAGTATATGTAAATTTGCAACAAATTTTAACTCTGCAGCAGTGCAGATGCAATATCTGCATCTGAAGATGAAATTGTGATGAATGGGACACAAATGCATCTTTTATTTCCTCTCCCAATTTTTTTTAGTCACTGGTAGACAGATGGATACAGGAATTCTTATGATTTGTTCTGCAGTCTCTCCCTGCCCATCCAAAGCCCCAACTCTACTAGGATCTGCAGAAATAATTTAAAAGCCTGAAAGATAATTGTTTTCTCTAAGCTTACTTTCTCTACCCCCTCTACATTTTCCACAAGCACGAGGTACCCTCCAAGTGAACTAACCCTGTTGTAAAATACAGTATTTCTTATCTTTATTCTTCTAGTCTATCAGTTGTCTTCAGTTGTATGTATAAGGCTTTAGATTAAATTGATAAAAATTAGTATTCTGATTTGTCTTCTCTTTAGACTTGACTTTGTATCATTTATTCCTTTAAATGCTATTTGTGTTCCTCCCTCTATCTCTCTGTCCTCTTTTTCTGTTTGTCCATGAGAGGGGTATTATATAAAATAGAATTGTAAAATCCCAGTTTCCATTCTATCTCAAATTTTCTTTTTCTAAAAAGAATCCCTGCTTTTTAGAAAACTAAAACCCCAAGTACTAATATGGCTTTAAATATCCTGAGTTACTCTTTTAGTAAGTGGAAACTTTAGTTTTATATTTGAAAGTTATAAACCTGTAAGTGAACCTATAGAATAATAAATAAGACTTGTTAACCAGTCTGGGCAACATAGTGACACCCCATGTCTTAAAAAAAAAAAAAAAAAAAAGTACAAAAATTAGCTGGGTGTGGTGGCTCGTACCTGTAGTCCCAGCTACTCAGTGGCTGAGGCAGGAGGATCCATTGAGCCCAGGAGGTAAAGGCTGCAGTGAGCCATAATCGCACCACTGCATGCCAGCCTGGGCAACAAAGCGAGACCCTGTCTCCAAAACAAAACAAAACAGACCTGTTAAATGATACAGCTCAAATTCAGAGTAAGTTGTAGAAGAGAATGTTTGACACCGCATATTCTCACTCATAGGTGGGAACTGAACAATGGGAACACATGGACACAGGAGGGGAACATCACACTCTGGGGACTGTTGTGGGGTCGGGGGAGGGAGGAGGGATAGCACTGGGAGATATACCTAATGCTAGATGACGAGTTAGTGGGTGCAGCACACCAGCATGTCACATGTATACATATGTAACTAACCTGCATATTGTGCACATGTACCCTAAAACTTAAAGTATAATAATAAAAAAAAAAAAAAGAGAATGTTTGAACAGCTAAGAAGCTGGGCATATTGGCAGGTGACTCTGGAACAGAATCTACTCTTCAAGGACAGAATACTGATAATGTGATATCAAGTCTACAGAGTTAGCCTTAAAACAATAGAAATACAAACCTAAGCATTTTTTTGTTTCCATAAAACCACCTCTAATGAGATTATGGACATGTTTCAGAAGGTAGTGAGGCATTTTGAATTGTGAGTATCTTTCACATCTGAACTAACTGTCATGGCTCGTGTTCCTCCATTCCTTTCTCCTTTGAAGCAATCTTTAGGAGTTGGGTCATACTTACGGAGAAATATATGGTGGACCCCCAAGCCAAAGCCACCTAGTTTTAAGAGCACGAGTTGTGATAAAAGGCAGTGGTAGGTATAAGTGCCAGCCTAAGTAAGCAATGAATAACTCTGCTTAGTTAACCAAGTCTTTCAAGTAGTTCCAGCATGAACCCATAATGATATCCCAATTTCTACCACTCCACTCCAAAATTAGCATAAATTTCCTTTTATCAATTGCCCATGGCTTATCTTTCATCTTGAGTTTTTAACCTATATAAAGAAATAAAAGCATATTTACAGGTAGAAGGTAATGTGTGAGTTTGTATGCAAAAAAAAATAAAATTTATAATATAAAGGAAGGTTACATTTACAACTAGACACAGTGGAATACATTCTTTAAAAGCAAACAGTTAACAATTAAGAATGTAAGAGGTACTGTAAAATATTTTATAGTTGGAAGATAGGACAGAAGAATGAGAGAGTTTTTCAAAGTTTAAAAAAGATTTTAAAAGGGCAAACAATTCCACCTCAAATTAAATATACAGGAAGGCAAAAAAAATCTGTTTGGATAGAATGTTGGTGAAAGAAATGAATAAAAGAAAGAACTGTATTAGAAATAGAGAAGACAGGCAAATGAAAGGATACAGTATACTAACTGCCAAGGAAGGCAGACTTAGAAAAAAAAGTAAAATGAAATAATGCTCAATAAGGGAATTAAAGGAGATCAGAAAGGATCAAAAATACATTCAAAGGGAGTGCGACAGGACTACCATAACATATGAGAAATGAGTATTTCGCAGGAATGTTAAAAAGAAGCCAACGCGGCGGCTCACACCTGCAGTCTCAGTACCTTGGGCGGTGGACGCAGGAGGATAACTTGAGCCCAGGAGTTTGAGACCAGCCTGGGAAACATCGTGAGACCCCACCTGTGCAAGAAATTTCAAAATGTAGCAAGGCATGATGTGCACCTGCAGTCCCAGCTACTCTGGAAACTGGGATGGAAGGATCACTTGAGCCTGGGAAGTCAAGGCTGAAGTGAGCTATGATTCATGCCAAGTGCACTTCAGCCTAGGTGACAGAGTGAGACCCTGTCTCAATAAATACATAAATAAACAAATAAATGATAAAAATAGCTCTTTTGCTTAGCTTCTGTAAAAAGGAAAATGATAAGAAAATCAAGAACATGGGTGAGTCTGGTGACTCATGCCTGTAATACTAGCTCTTTGGGAGACCAAGGCAGGAAGATTGCCTGTGCTCAGGAGTTCCAGACCAGCCAGGGCAACTTAGTGAGACCCCATCTCTACAAGAAAATTAAAAATTTAGCTAGGTGTGGTGGTGTACACCAGAAGTCCCAGTTATTTAGGGGGGCTGAGGTGGGAGGATTGCCTGAGCCTGGGAGGTTCAGGCTGCAGTGAGCTGTGATTGCACCACTGCAGTCCAGCCTGGTCTACCGAACAGGACCCTATCTCAAAAAAAAAAAAAAAAAATCAAGAAGAAAGAAAAGAAAATCAAGAACTTTATACAAGAAGCCAGCAGTTGAAGCCACCAATAATTGAGAAAAAAAATACTATAAACCTAAAGGATTAATAAAGACACTGAAAAGACAATTATATTTAATTTTATTTACATATACAGATTTGTATGAAGTAGACCCAAGAATGTTTAAAAAATACTGTGGAACACCCATAACTCATCTTGGAGTCCACAGTTACATTCATGATCAAAGGACAATGATGACAACAATGACAACAACAACAACAACAACAACAAAAACCAAAGGGATTCTACCTCAACATTCTCAAGATAACAGAATTTGAAATCTTGTATTATATGTTCTGGCATTGGCTCCATGAAAACTATAAACTCACTGCTAATTCACACCTAAAGAGCTAAGAAAAAGACAACTAACTGATTACTAGTAATGGTAACTTTTACTAGATAAATCTGTGTCAAATAAACCACATAGGCTTTGCATAAAAGTTAGAATTTACTTAATAATGACAATTTAGAAGGGAGACAGCAAGAACATTTCGATATTCCTGAGATCATCAAGAATTTTGTAATACCTAATTTTCATTTAATAAACTTCTTGTGACACTTAGTAGATTCCAAGAAAATTTATTATAGTCTGGTTTTTATATGACAGAGTCTGTAAAGATGACACTGAAGTCCCGCTATTTCATTTTGGTCACATATTGCCTGATAACATGCAGTTGCAATAAATTCAGTACAAAAAAAGGTGAACTTAAAGCTCTCCATACCATATGTTAGAGTTTGATTAATGAGCTAGTAATAAATACTGATCTACACAGTAAAAAAGAACTTAAAAAAACTGTAAGAAATGGAGTTAGACCCCATATTTCTTTCCATCAGTATGTAAAATATGAACAGACTCTTATTTTAAGTTAATACAACAACATAGCCTATTCCCAGGCTTTATGCACAAGGAAAACATGTGACTGTCTTGAAATTTCTTGTCCAAATTCTGTGGAAAGATAGAGATTCTGCTCTATCTTTCCCTATAGCTATAGGGAAAATAAGTTGGGAAAAAAAAACACCAAAAACAATTTAGTTTGTCATTTGCAGATATTAGCAGAAATCAGGGATGCTTCAAAACTCCATATGGGACCACTGACTTAAAATTGCAGATTCTATCATGAATACCATTATAAATGTCAATATCACTGTAAGGAAAGTAACATTACCCCCAATAAATTCAAATTATGATGAAAGGATTACAGAATAAACATTAGATGATGTTTTCCAAGTGATCTAAAGGGTCTTACATTTTGTATCCACAGTCTGCATACTTGCTTTTTGTCTACGCAGTGTAGGAGGTAGATTACAATAAAAAAAGAATATAGAGATGATCTCATCCCATAGTTGGGATTTGTGCATAACAATAAATCAGGAAAACATGGAAATTCAATGCCATGATTAAGATAATTCTGTAGTTCTTTTAATATTTGTTTAGTTTAAATCAAAATATGAACAAAAAGGGTCAATAATCTGAGCTTACAAAAAACTTCTTAGGAAATTCTCTGAAGAGAGTACAATTGAGAAAGTTTTAAAAGGAAGGCAATAATGGAGAAGCCAGAATCAGAATAAATTATCCATTTGATAAGAATAAATAGTAATGATATCTTTAAAATCATAAATTCCTGGCCAGGCACGGTGGCTCATGCCTGTAATCCCAGCACTTTGGGAGGCTGAGGCGGGCAGATCATTTGAGGTCAGGAGTTTGAGACTAGTCTGGCCAACATGGTGAAACCTCATCTCTATTAAAAATACAAAAATTAGTCGGGCATGGTGGCAGGCGCCTGTAATCCCAGCTACTCAGGAGGCTGAGGTAGGAGAACCGCTTGAACCTGGGAGGCAGAGATCTTGGCTCACTGCCACCCCCACCTCTGGGATTCAAATCACTGAGGCAATTCTCCTGCCTCAGCCTCTCAAGTAGCTGGGACTACAGGCGTGTGCCACCACACCCAGATAATTTTTGTACTTTTAGTAGAGATGGGGTTTTACCATGTTGGCCAGGCTGGTCTCAAACTCCGCCCACCTCGGCCTCCCAAAGTGCTGGGATTACAGGTGCGAGCCACTGCACATGGCCGGTTATAACATGGTAAAAGATTTAACAATAAAAAGATATGCCAAGCATCAAACAGCTCAAGGTCAAGGGAATATTTCTGATTTTTAAGAAAGTGATACAGACGTTAAGACCTAAATAAAACTCAAGAAATGCTAACTAGTAGCATCTAGAATGACAAGGATATTGAAAATTCTTAAAGAAATTAAGTTCTGGGTAATCAGAATTAGATATTTAATATCAATAGTAAACTGGATGCTTTTATGGCTTAAGTCAGTGGACATGATTAGTTTACTATTTTTTCGTTTTTTTTTTTTGTTGTTGTTGTTCTTGTTGTTGTTGTTTGACACCGAGTTTCACTCTTGTTGCCCAGGATGGAGTGCAATGGCACGTGACCTCAGCTCACTGCAACCTTTGTCTCCCAGGTTCAAGCGATTCTCCTGCCTCAGCCTCCCGAGTAGCTGGGATTACAGGTGCCTGCCACCACACCCGGCTAATTTTTTATATTTTCAGCAGAGATGGGGTTTTGCCATGTTGGCCAGGCTGGTCTCAAACTCCTGACCTCAGGTGATCCACCTGCCTCAGATGGGATTACAGGCCTGAGCCGCCGTGCCTGGCCTACTAACTATTGTTGAAGTGATTGTAGAAATGAAAGTTATGCCTCTGACAGATGGGTAAGGACCAATATTATGACAGGGTTACCTCAAGGAATATAAAAAAGGCAGCCTCTTGGGGTTTGCTACTAAAAAAAAAAAAAGTCCAAAATACTGAACAACATGACCTAT
This sequence comes from Homo sapiens, assembly GCF_000001405.40. Lineage (NCBI taxonomy): Eukaryota > Metazoa > Chordata > Mammalia > Primates > Hominidae > Homo > Homo sapiens. The sequence continues at coordinate 72,698,007 of NC_000016.10, read as the reverse complement.
TTCAGGTATAGGAGCAGCATTCCCTTTTTTATTCCTCATTACAAAATTTTACAAGAAATTAATGATAATCACATTTATGCCCAGCCTTTTATCCTCCTTATCCTTCTGGCCTTCTGCATTTTACTGGAGTACCAGGTTGTCTAGTAATAAATAATGTAATAACCAAGCATACCACTTTAGGCAACTAGAGATAAACTGAGGGAGCAGTTCTTGTTGTACCTTATATACTCATTCTTGTTGCATATTATATGAAATTTGTTATGTTTCATATGGAAAAGCTGTATCTCCACAGTTGGGAGGTTTATTGCAAGAAATAGACGGGTAATGTTCTAGTTCTCCTGTAAAGCTTTTAAGACAACCAAATTGTCTTTGTATTGTGCAGGTATTCAAGTAGCCAAATGATCAACACAATATATCCTCAAAGCACATGAAGGGACCTTAGAAATGATTTGGTCCAATCATCCATCCAATGTAGGATTCTCCTCCATCCAGTGTAGGATTCTCCTCAGTTTCTCAAAATAAAGATCAACTTATTTACAAGTAACACCTTTTTCCAACCAGGTGGGAGTGTTCTTTCCTTCTTCTCCATGCTCTACATGACTTTATGCATAAAAGAAGGAGAATACCTTCGAACTCACTGCTTCTCAAATATTTGTTGCTAGTTGGAACATACCAAGGGCCTAAATATTACACGTGGCCTCACGAATAATTTTTTTCAATGCAAAAGTTAAAGAAAAAAGCTTTCCTAAACTACAAAAAATAGAGATTCCTAAAGGGTTTTTTCTGTTGAGACAATTTTTTAAAAAGCATCTATCACATATCATTTAGTAAGTACAGATAGTCATCCAGGTGGGTGATAACATCTTGGGGTCACCTGATTTATGCTGTGGTCATTAAAAAACTGTATTGCTAAATGAATTCAGATCTATGGTTTATTTCTTTATCATTCATTCAGGTCTCAATTGCAACACAGTTCTGAGATGTTACTCTTGTCTACACTCTTTGTTCCATAGTTGCTGATAACATATACCTGTATTTGCAAATAGTGCATGCAGCAGTGGGACACAGACATGACCTAGACCTAAGATAGTTTCAGCAAGTAATCAAGGAATACTATATGTACTTTAATATAGACGGAAATAAAACGTATTAGGAAGAATCACTTTGTAAGTTTAATTACGGAGACAAAGGAGGTTAAAGAGAGGTAAGGTGCTCTGAATGAGGCCCAGTATAAGTTACATATCTAAGGATGGGAGTTACCTACATTCGATAAGAAGTAGAATCAGCAACTATGAATGGAAAGACTTGTAAAATAGCCCAGGGTAATTTGCTGAAGATGAATATACTTGTCTGCAGTGTTATACGGCTTAATCATTCTTATTACTACTTCTATTTTGTCAGCAGTGGTTAGGTACCAACTTGCGACAAAATGAGATGTCTTCCTGAAGTCTTTTTACTGGAGGTATGAAGAACGAACTATGATGGGAGGAGCCAAGATGGCCGAATAGAAACAGCTCCAGTCTACAGCTCCCAGCGTGAGCGATGCAGAAGACGGGTGATTTCTGCATTTCCAACTGAGGTACCGGGTTCATCTCACTGGGGAGTGTTGGACAGCGGATGCAGGACAGTAGGTGCAGCTAACCGAGCATGAGCCAAAGCAGGGCGAGGCATCACCTCACCCGGGAAGTGCAAGGGGTCAGCGAATTCCCTACCCTAGTCAAAGAAAGGGGTGTGAGACGGCACCTGAAAATCGGGTCACTCCCACCCTAACACTGAGCTTTTCCAATGGTCTTAGCAAACGGCACACCAAGAGATTATATCCCGTGCCTGGCTCGGAGGGTCCTATGTCCACAGAGCCTCGCTCATTGCTAGCACCGCAGTCTGAGATCAAACTGCAAGGCAGCAGTGAGGCTGGAGGAGGGGCGCCCGCAACTGCCGAGGCTTGAGTAGGTAAACAAACTGGCCCAGAAGCTCAAACTGGGTAGAGCCCACCAAACCTCAAGGAGGCCTGTCTGCTTCTGTATACTCCACCTCTGGGGGCAGGGAACAGCCAAACAAAAGGCAGCAGAAATCTCTGCAGACTTAAATGTCCCTGTCTGACAACTTTGAAGAGTGTACTGGTTCTCCCAACACACAGCTGGAGATCTGAGAACAGACAGACTGCCTCCTCAAGTGGGTCCCTGACCCCCGAGTAGCCTAACTGGGAGGCAACCCCCAGTAGGGGCAGACTGACACCTCAGACGGTCGGGTACTCCTCTGAGACAAAACTTTCAGAGGAATGATCAGGCAGCAACATTTGCTGTTCACCAATATCCACTGTTCTGCAGCCTCTGCTGCTGATACCCAGGCAAAGAGGGTCTGGAGTGGACCTCCAGCAAACTCCAACAGACCTGCAGCTGAGGGTCTTGACTGTTAGAAGGAAAACTAACAAACAGGACATCCACACCAAAACTCCAACTGTACGTCACCATCATCAAAGACCAAAGGTAGATAAAACCACAAACATGGGGAAGAAACAGAACAGAAAAACTGGAAACTCTAAAAACCAGAGCGCCTCTCCTCCTCCAAAGGAAGGCAGCTCCTCACCAGCAACGGAACAAAGCTGGACGGAGAATGACTTGGCGAGTTGAGAGAAGAAGGCTTCAGACGATCAAACTTCTCACTAAAACTCACTAAAAACTGCAAACTACGTGGAAACTGAACAAGCTGCTCCTGAGTGACTACTGGGTACATAACAAAATGAAGGCAGAAATAAAGATGTTCTTTGAAACCAATGAGAATGAAGACACACATACCAGAATCCCTGGGACACATTCAAAGCAGTATGTAGAGGGAAATTTATAGCACTAAATGCCCACAAGAGAAAGCAGGAAAGATCTAAAATTGACACCCTAACATCACAATTAAAAGAAGTAGAGAAGCAAGAGCAAACACAGTCAAAAGCTAGTAGAAGGCAAGAAATAACTAAGATCAGAGGAGAACTGAAGGAAATAGAGACACAAAAAACCCTTCAAAAAATCAATGAATCCAGGAGCTGGTTTTTTGAAAAGATCAACAAAATTGATAGGCTGCTAGCAAGACTAATAAAGAAGAAAAGAGAGAAGAATCAAATAGACACAATAAAAAATGATAAAGAGGATATCACCACTGATTCCACAGAAATACAAACTACCATCAGAGAATACTATAAACACCTCTACGCAAATAAACTAGAAAATCTAGAAGAAATGGATAAATTCCTCAACATATACACCCTCCCAAGACTAAACCAGGAAGAAGTTGAATCCCTGAATAGACCAATTACAGGCTCTGAAATTGAGGCAATAATTAATAGCTTACCAACCAAAAAAAGTCCAGGACCAGATGGATTCACAGCCGAATTCTACCAGAGTTACCAGGAAGAGCTGGTACCATTCCTTCTGAAACTATTCCAATCAATAGAAAAAGAGGGAATCCTCTCTAACTCATTTTACAAGGCCAACATCATCCTGATACCAAAGCCTGGCAGAGATACAACAAAAAAAGAGAATTTTAGACCAATATCCCTGATGAACATCGATGCCAAAATCCTCAATAAAATACTGGAAACCGAATCCAGCAGCACATCAAAAAGCTTATCCACCATGATCAAGTGGGCTTCATCCCTGGGATGCAAGGCTGGTTCAACATAAGCAAATCAATAAACATAATCCAGCATATAAACAGAACCAACGACAAAAACCACATGATTATCTCAATAGATGCAGAAGAGGCCTTTGACAAAATTCAACAATGCTTCATGCTAAAAACTCTCAATAAATTAGGTATTGATGGGATGTATCTCAAAATAATAAGAGCTATTTATGACAAACCCACAGCCAATATCATACTGAATGGGCAAAAACTGGAAGAGTTCCCTTTGAAAACTGGCACAAGACAGGGATGCCCTCTCTCACCACTCCTATTCAACATAGTATTGGAAGTTCTGGCCAGGACAATCAAGCAGGAGAAGGAAATAAAGGGTATTCAATTACAAAAAGAGGAAGTCAAATTGTCCTTGTTTGCAGATGACATGATTGTATATCTAGAAAACCCCATCATCTCAGCCCAAAATCTCCTTAAGCTGATGGGCAACTTTAGCAGTCTCAGGATACAAAATCAATGTGCAAAAGTCACAAGCATTCTTATACACCAATAACAGACAAACAGAGAGCCAAATCATGAGTGAACTCCCATTCACAATTGCTTCAAAGAGAATAAAATACCTAGGAATCCAACTTACAAGGGATGTGAAGGACCTCTTCAAGGAGAACTACAAACCACTGCTCAAGGAAATAAAAGAGGATACAAACAAATGGAAGAACATTCCATGCTCATGGGTAGGAAGAATCAATATCGTGAAAATAGCCATGCTGCCCAAGGTAATTTATAGATTCAATGCCATCCCCATCAAGCTACCAATGACTTTCTTCACAGAATTGGAAAAAAACTACTTTAAAGTTCATATGGAACCAAAACAGAGCACACATTGTCAAGTCAATCCTAAGCCAAAAGAACAAAGCTGGAGGCATCACGCTACCTGACTTCAAACCATACTACAAGGCCACAGTAATGAAAACAGCATGGTACTGGTACCAAAACAGAGATATAGACCAATGGAACAGAACAGAGCCCTCAGAAATAATACCACAAATCTACGACTATCTGATCTTTGACAAACCTGACAAAAACAACCAATGGGGAAAGGATTCCCTATTTAATAAATGGTGCTGGGAAAACTGGCTAGCCATATGTAGAAAGCTGAAACTGGATCCTTTCTTTACACCTTACACAAAAATTAATTCGAGATGGATTAAAGACTTAAATGTTGGACCTAAAACCATAAAAACCCTAGAAGAAAACCTAGGCAATACCATTCAGGACATAGGCATGGGCAAGGACTTCATGTCTAAAACACCAAAAGCAATGGCAACAGAAGCCAAAATTGACAAATGGGATCTAATTAAACTAGAGAGCTTCTGGACAGCAAAAGAGACTACCATCAGAGTGAACAGGTGACCTACAACATGGGAGAAAATTTTTGCAATCTACTCATCTGACAAAGGGCTAATATCCAGAATCTACAAAGAACTCAAACAAATTTACAAGAAAAAAAAAACAACCCCATCAGAAAGTGGGCGAAGGATATGAACAGACGCTTCTCAAGAGAAGACATTTATGCAGCCAAAAAACACATGAAAAAATGCTCATCATCACAGGCCATCAGAGAAACGCAAATCAAAACCACAAAGAGATACCATCTCACACCAGTTAGAATGGCGATCATTAAAAAGTCAGGAAACAACAGGTGCTGGAGAGGATGTGGAGAAATAGGAACACTTTTACACTGTTGGTGGGACTGTAAACTAGTTCAACCATTGTGGAAGTCAGTGTGGCGATTCCTCAGGGATCTAGAACTAGAAATACCATTTGACCCAGCCATCCCATTACTGGGTATATACCCAAAGGATTATAAATCATGCTGCTATAAAGACACATGCACACGTATGTTTATTGAGGCACTATTCACAATAGCAAAGACTTGGAACCAAGCCAAATGTCCAACAACGATAGACTGGATTAAGAAAATGTGGCACATATACAACATGGAATACTATGCAGCCATAAAAAATGATGAGTTCATGTCCTTTGCAGGGACATGGATGAAGCTGGAAACCATCATTCTCAGCAAACTATCGCAAGGACAAAAAAACAAACACTGCATGTTCTCACTCATAGGTAGGAATTGAACAATGAGAACACATGGACACAGGAAGGGGAACATCACACACTGGGGCCTGTTGTGGGGTAAGGGTAGGGGGGAGGGATAGCATTAGGAGATATACCTAATGTTAAATGATGAGTTAATGGGTGCTGCACACCAACATGGCACATGCATACATATGTAACAAACCTGCACATTGTGCACATGTACCCTAAAACTTAATGTATAAAAAAAAAAAAGAATGGACTATTGTATTCTTTCTGTGACATGCAGTACATGTGGCTGTAATCTTCAAAATCACTGTTTCATAAATTTATATCTACTTTGTTATTCACTGCCACCCTTAGGTCTTTTTGACCATTTGATGACTTTCAGATCTTGTTCCCTTTGAATACTTATTTTGTTTTATTGTTTTTCTCCTAATGCAGTAGTAGTTTCTACCTTGGAAGAAGAGAATCTAATTTTGTTATTTCCACTCCATATATCTAAGCTCTCTGAGTACCTTTACCTTGCTTTTGTTGCCCTCACTGCTGTTTCCATTACCTCCTAATTTAATAGCATCTGTGAATTTCATTAACACGCTTTTCACTCCCTTTTCTACATCATTAATGCAGCAGCTGTATAAGACAGGACATAACACTGATCCTTGCAGCACCTAGACACATTCCCCAACTTGATACATTACCATTTATGGTTTATCAATATTTTTTATGGTTCTCCAGCTAGTTTTTAATCCATATGACTCTGCTTATATCCAGGACAACTTAAATTAATTGTACACAGATGTCATGAGATACTACATCAAACGCTTCACTAAATTTAAGAAAGACTATATCTACCATATTTTTTCATTTACTGATATTATATTTAAAAACATAATTTCAGACTAGCTTAATATTTATAATTCTAGTGATATATTTACTTCTCTTTCAATATTTGTACCATTATTTTCATATGAATACAGACTACACAATAATCTTTAAACACTCCTTTTTTTACTTTTGTAATTCTGGAATAATTTTAGACTTACAGAAAAGTTACAAAAACAGCAGAGTTCCCTTATGCCCCTCCCCACAACTTCCCCTAATATTAATATCTTCCAAAACCACAGTAAATTTATCAAAATTAAGAAATTAACATTGATATAATGCTCTAAACTACAGACTTCATTTAGATGACACCTGTTCTCCCACTACCGTTCTTTTTCTGTTCCAAGATCCAATCTAGAATATCACACTGCATTTAGTGGTTATGCCTCCTTAGTCTCCCATGATCTGAGACAGTTTCTCAGTCTTCCTTTGTTTTCCATTACTATTATAGACTAAATATCTGTGATTCCCCACCTCAAAATTCAGATGTTGAAGCCAATCCCCAGTGGTATCTGGAGGTGAAAACTTCAGGAGAAGATTAGGTCATAAGGGAGGTGTCCTCATGAATGGGATTAGGGACCTTATACAAGTGACAGAGAGCTCCTTTGTCCCTTTGGCCAAGTGAGGTTATAGCAAGAAGGAAGAGGTCTACGAACTAGGAAGCGGGCTCTCAACAGACAGCAAATCTGCTGATGTCTCAACCTTAGGCTACCCAGCCTCCAAAACTGTGAGAAATAAGTTTTTGAAGTTTATAGGTCACCCAGTCTATAGTATTTCATTATAGCAGCCAAAATGGACTAAGACAATTACCTTGACACCTCAGAAGAGGTCAGGTATTTTGTAGAATGTACCTCATTATGGGTTTGCCTGATGTTTCTCCTAAGACTAAAGTTATGAAAAGACTACTACAAAGACAAAATACCGTCCTCACTGCATATGAGGGTATATGGTATTAACATGACTTATCACTGGTGATGTTAACTTTGATCAGTTGATTAAGGCAGTGTCTGCCAGGTTTCTCCAAGTTAGAATTTCTCCCTTTTCTCACTCTATTTCATGTATTCTCAGTGGGGGTTGTTAAAATGCCACGGAAGGAAAAAACTGGTTCTTGGTGGGCAAAAATAACTTACTATTTTATGCATAAAACATGGATACTCATATAGCAAAACACATATACAGAATATTTGTGGCATTAATATTTCACTGGGGCAGGGAGGATGTTAGAAAAAATTTTCTAAAGAAGCTCCTGCATGTCTGTGTTTGGGAAGGAGGAGGAGGTAATAACAGAAAAAAATACTATTTTATTCACTGGAAGCAAGTTACTAAGCACAGACCACACTCAAGGAGACGGGAATTGTGCTCTCCCTTCTGGTGGAGGGAGTAGTTACATACATTATTTGGGATTTTTCCGTAAGAACATTCTTTTTTAAAAGTCATCATTTTGGTACCTTTTCTGACACTAGTTTGGGTCTGTGTTTCTTTATTACTCTGGATTTTCCAAGAAGCAAATGCCAAGATGAGACTAGATATGCAAAAAGATTTATTAGGAGATTTACCTATAAAAGATGAAGGAGCGGGAGGAAAAGAAGAGAGCCTTCAAGACTGTGACACAGTTTTGTTACTTGTGATGGAGAAAGGGAAGGAAGGAGGATTGGGTAGGAAGGGTCTCAGACTGCAGCACATTTCTACAAAAGTTTTGGCCCAGCTGATCGGAAGTCCCTAAGCCAAAGTGTCTCATTAAAGGGTCCTGCATTTCACAAGAAAGAGCCTGCATTAGAACTCCTACCATACACAGTCACTGCCTAGAAAGACCACTTATAACCACAGTCTTGGCACAAAGTTGGGGGTGAGTTCTAAAGGGCAGCAACTGTGGCCATAAATCACTTACGCTCCCTGCAGCTGGAGATCTAAGCAGTATATATTTTCATGCCCATAGTCCCTAATTTTACAGTCTTATGGAGACACTAGAAATTATTTTTTTAAGATTGTCTAACTCTTTTTCCCATTCTAGGTAGTATCTTTACTTTTCCAAATATGGCTGGGTAAAATTTTAAAAACCAGTAATTTCTTAGAAACCACCCCTTTATTTTTCCATTTAAAAATACTGCTTTAGTAACTGCTGGCTTTCATAAATAGTGGCATATCTTAAATGAGATAACCCCTCTGATAATAACAATTATAAACCCTTCCTAAAATATAAGAAGACAACTATTTGAAGGCACTGTGGAGCAATCAAAAGCAGACAGAAACTGAAGGTGATATGACCCTTGAAAGAAGGAAAGCCAGGTTGGGCATGGTGGCTCCTGCCTGTAATCCCAGTACTTTGGGAGGCCAAGGTGGGAGGATCGCTTGAGCTCAGGAATTTGAGACCAGCCTGGCCAACATGGTGAAACCCCTTCTCTACTAAAAATACAAAAATTAACTGGGCGTGATGGAGCATGCCTGTAATCCTAGCTATCTGGATGACTGAGGCAGGAGAATCGCTTGAACCCGGGAGGTGGAGGCTGAAGTGAGCTGAGTTGTGCCACTGCACTCCAGTCTAGGCGATAGAATGAGACCCTGTCTCAAAAAAAAAAAAAAAAAAGAACGGAAGCAGTAGATGATACCTACATTTATCTTGACTTTTAAAATGAGGTTATTCCCCAGTTTGCATGGTACACAGGGAATAAAGCTTACACAGAAGGCAGCAGCTTCTCGTCTGAGGAGTCAGAAGTTAGAGTCTGAGGCTGCTGATGCAGCTGGAGTAAGAGCGAGGAAATCTTCAGTAAGGGGAAGTCATGGGGTGAGGGGGAACAGGGGTTGCTTCAAAATCTGACTCCTGAACTGTGTACATGTAGGGCAAGACCCAAGAAACCTAGAGGAAAACAACAGCGAAAAAAAAAGGAATAGCTAAGCAGAAATTTTCGCAGCTTCCAAATGATGAATCAGTTTAGAGGGTGAATCCCTTTAAGTTGAAAGGATATATATAACACTAGACTTTCTAGAAACCCCAGAAGAAGCATACTGTAAGAGTATGGTTTATGCCTCAGAATAAGGGAAAAACTGAAGTAGATAAATTTGAACAAAGCCTAAAACCAAGCCTCCACAAAATCAAGAAAATCTATCAGTAAATTAACTACCTGCTGGAACAAAATTAAAAACTCTCTTCTAAGATAACAAAATCAAGAATGTCATAAACTTATTACTTACAATAGTAATACATAGTCAAAAAATTATAAGATAAGAGAAAAAGCAAGAAAGTATGACCCATAGTCAAAGGAAAACAGTCAATAGAAACAGAATCACTGACAATCGCGATGTGAGGATTAATAGGTAAGTACTTTAATGTAGCTATAATTCATATATATGATAAATGATGTACAAGAAAAGGAGGATATAATGAGCGAAAATATAAGGAATTTCAGTAGCAATTAAAAACTGAAAATAAAAATCAAATGGAAATCCTGGAACTGGAAAAGACAGTATCTGAAATGATTAAAGAAAAGAAAACCACTATAAAGTTAACAGCAGACTGGACAATGTAAAAGAAAGGCTCAGTGCACCTGAAGACAACCTTTAGAATAGAAATTATCTAAACAAAAGCACATAGAGAAAAAAGATTAGAAAAAATTAACAGATCCTCAATGACAGGTGTATTCAAGATTAGGCTAACATATTTATAAATTGGAGTCCCAGAGAGAAAGGAGAAAGAGAATGGGGTAAAGGTTTTGATAAAATATTGGTCAAAATTTCCAGAGCTGGTTTAAAACATAAACCTGTACATCCAAGATGGACAGCAAATCCCAAGCAGGATAAATGGAAATAAAATCACAACTAGGCACATCACAGTTAAATGGATGACAACCAAAGATAAAAAAGAAATCTTGGCCAGACGCGGTGGCTTACACCTGTAATCCTGGCACGTTGGGAGGCCAAGGCGGGCGGATCACGATGTCAGGAGATCGAGACTATCCTGGCAAACACTGTGAAACTTCGTCTCTACTAAAAATACAGAAAATTGGCCGGGTGTGGTTGCAGGTGCCTATAGTCCCAGCTACTTGGGAGGCTGAGACAGGAGAATGGCATGAACCCGGGAGGCGGAGCTTGCAGCGAGCCGAGATCGCGCCACTGCACTCCAGCCTGGGTGACACGGCGAGACTCCATCTCAAAAAAAAAAAAAAAAAAGAAAGAAATCTTAAAAGTAGCCATAGAACCAAAAATTATACAGAGGAACAACAATAAGAATGATGACTCGCTTCTCATTAGAAACAACAAAGAACAGAAGATAATGCAACAATATCTTTATTTTAAAGTCACCCTAATATTCTATAGTCAATGAAAATATCCTTCAAAAATGGTGAAATAGACATGTTCAGATAAATGAAAGCTGAGATAATGTGATACTAACAGACTCGCACTACAAAACTTGCTAAAGAAAGTTTTTTATCTGGAAGGGAATACTGTATGAAAATTCATATCTATGGGAAGGAATACAAAGAATTAAATAGTAAATATATGGTAAATAGACATTATTTCTTTCTTTTCTTACATTCTTTAAAAGTCAGTTGACTTTTCAAAAAATGATGCTGGGAAAACTGGGTAGCCACATGCAAAAGAATGAAGTTGGACCCTTACCTTACACCATATACAAAAATTAACTCAAAATGGATTAAAGGCCTAATTATAAGTGCTAAAGTTATAAATCACTTAGAAGAAAAGATAGAGGAAAAACTTCATAACATTGTATTTGGCAATAATTTCTTGGAAACAATACCAAACGCACAGGTAACAAAAGTAAAAGCAAATACATTGGACTGTATCAAAATTAAAAACGTCTCTGCATGAAAGGACACAATAGAGTGAAAAGGCAACATAGAGAATTGAAGAAAATATCTGCAAATAATCTAATAAAGCATTAATATGCAGAATAAAGAGCTCCAACAACTCAACGACAACAAAACAACCAACAGCCTAATTTTAAAATGAGCAAATTACGTGAATAGACATTTCTCCAAAGAAGATATGCAAATGGCCTAGAAGCATATGAAAAGATATTCAAAATCACTAACTGGGGAAATGCAAATCAAAACCGCAACACCCATTAGAATAGCTACTATGACAAAAAATAGAAAATAAATAAGAGCCTTAAAAAGAAAAAAATTGTGACACATGTTGTAACATGGATGAACCTTGAAGACATCAGGCTAAGTGAAATAAGCCAGTCACAAAAAAGGCAAATACTTTATGATTATATTTATACTAGGTACCTAGGGTACTGAAATCACAGAGATCAAGTTAGAATGGTGACTGCCAAGTGTTGGAGGAAAGGGAATAGGGAGCTGCTGTTTAATGGGTATAGTTTCAGTTTTGCAGGACGAAGAGCTCTAGAGATTGGTAGCACAACAAGGTAAATGTATTTAACACTATTGAATGGTATGACTAAAAATGATTAAGATGGTTAATTTTATATTATGTGTATTCTACCATAATTAAAAAAAAATTGATGATTTTTTTCTTTTTTGAGACAGTGTCTCACTTTGTCGCCCAAGCTGGAGTGCAGTGGTGCAATCTGAACTCACTTCAACCTCCTCCTCTCACATTCAAGTGATTCTCCTGCCTCAGCCTCCCGAGTAGCTGGGACTACAGGTGTGCACCACCACACCAGGCTAATTTTTCTATTTTTAGTAGAGATGGGGTTTTACCACGTTGGCCAGGCTGGTCTCGAACTCCTGCCCTCAGGTGATCCACCTGCCTCAGCCTCCCAAAGTGCTGGGATTACAGGCGTGAGCCACCACGCCTGGCCAAATTAATGACTTTAAGCAAAAATAATAATATACTGTGGAGTTTATAACATACATAGATGTAAAATATATCACAAAAGTATAAAACATGAAAGAGAGGTAAACAGAATTATACCATTGTAAGGTTCTTGCATTGCAAGTAAGGCAGCATATCATTAATTCAAGGTATAATGTGGTAACATAAGTACATATATTGTAATCTCTAAAGCAATCAATAAAAAACAAACCCTGTGGCCAAAAAAAAAAAAGAAATCAAAAAATACTTTATTAACCTAAAAGAAAACAGGAAAGATGAAACAAAGGCACATAAAACAGATGGGACATACAGAAAATAAATACCAAGATGGTGGACTTAAATTCAAACAAATTAGCAATTAAATGCAAATTGTCTGAACACATCAATTAAAAAATGCTGCATTTTATTTTTATAGACAAGGTCTTGCTCTTATATCCAGGCTGGAGTGCAGTAGTGTGATCATAGCTCACTGCAGCCTCAACCTTGTGGGCTCCAGCAATCTTCCCGCCTCAGCCTCCAGAGTAGCTGGGACTACAGGTGCACACTCTCACACCCAGCTAATTTTTTTGTATTATTATGTTTTTGTAAAGTTGGGTGTCTCACTTTGCTGTTCAGGCTGGTCTTGAACTCCTAAGCCCAAGCAATTCTCCCACCTTGGCCTCTCAAAGTGCTGGGATTACAGGGATGAGCCATGCTTTGCCTGGCCCAAATTGCTGCTTTTAGAAAATACACTGACAAATATTAACAGTCCCATTTGAAAACCCCTTCTAAAAACAGGGTTTTAATGTAAAAATTTGAATTATAGAAATGATGCCCTCTATTCTTCAGATAGTTCTGATCTTCCCATATATCACAGTTATATACAAAAGAAATGTGCGTTAATATATATTCTATTATTGTTATCTGCATTATGGATGTTTAAAATGCTTCCAATGAGACCTACTATCAATAGCACTGCTCCGAGGTAAAAAGATAATAGTACAAAACCAAGAAAATGTCTATTAAGTGGGTTGTTTTTGGGAGAACTTTTGTCACCAATGAAGCTTTGTTTTTTGTTTTGTTTTGGTTTTGTTTGAGACATGGTATCACTCTGTCACCCAGGCTGGAGTGCAATGGCACCATCACAGCTCACCACAGCCCCAACCTCCCAGGCTCAAGCGAGCCTCCACCTCAGCCCCTTTTGCCCCACCATGCCACAAAACCTGGGACTGCAGGTGCATGCTACCCTGCCTGCCTAATTTTTGAACTTTTTGTAGAGATGGGCTTTCGCCATGTTGCTAGTCTCTAACTCCTGGGCTCAAGTGATTCGCCCACCTCGGCCTCCCCAAGTGCTAGGATTACAGGCATCAGCCACTGCGCCCGGCCAACCTTAACCTTTTTGTCTAAATTGTGTCTCACTCTTTTCTCCAACTGTTTCTATAGTCTGTCTATTTTTAGTTCTATGGATTTTATAGAGACAGAGTATAAAAAGACAGATTATCTAAACTTCTTATGAAAACTGTTTATATATCAAGCCAGCCTGTAGAACCAAGTTCACATTAGCAAAAAGATTTTTTAAATGGGTATATGAAAGAAGGAAACAGGGAAACTAAAGCATTTCCCATATATATTACTATATAATCACTCCCTCCTTTTTTATAAACTCCTATATATCATTAAAATAATGTTTGGTGGACCCTTCCTTGTATTCCTTCACAAATATTTTGTCATATTATAATTGGTTGTCATCTTGGTGCTGCTAAAATCATAGACTAGCTAATCCAGATAGAAAGTAAGTGGAAAATAACTTTTTACCTGATTTTTTTAAGCCTAGAAAGCAAAGTTTTATAAGTTAGGTATAGTAATGCTTCTGTCCCAAGATAAAATTCACCTTAAGAAAGTAGCTAGTTTGCATGTCATTTACGTTTTTGATCTGTCTCAAGTAATCCTGATAATCCTAGACATTTTCTTTTTTTTTTGAGACAGGGCCTCACACTGTTGCCCAGGCTGGAATGCAGTGGCACCATCATGACTCTCTGCAGCCTTAACCTCCTGGGCTCAGGCAATCCTCCTGTTCCAGCCTCCAGAGTAGCTGGGATAACAGGCATGTGCCACCACTCCAGGCTAATTTTTATATTTATTTTTGTAGATACAGGGTCTTGTTATGTTGCCCAGGCTGGTCTCAAACTCTTGCAAGGCTCAATGGATCCTGTAGGTTCTGTCTCCCAAAGTGTTGGGATTACAGGTGTAAACCACTGCACCTGGCCTAGTATTTGCCATTTTTAGCTGTGACCCTTCAATAACTTTGTCAGTAGCAGCAACACTACAGAATGAAACAGGTTTTTTAAAAGACTGACAAAAAATGAAATTGGAATTAGTTTGTCTAATAAACGATGGCAATGATGTATCTGATGGATAGCAATGGGAAGTAACCAAGCAGTTTCAGGAGATACTTGACTGTCCTTTACAGTCAAATACTCCTTCAAAAAGGAATGGTGAATATTCTTTTATGCATAATAATAGCTATGGTAGACACCCATTCCCCCCTTATTAATAGAACACCAATGTTATTTAGGCATCCACCCTTTAAAAAAATGATACAACAAAAAACCTGGAGATAAACTGATTTGTGTAAACCCATCCCCTAGGTAATTCATAACCCCACTCTCTTCACCAGTAATCATTCAGGAGGTGGGGATGTGACTCAGTCAATCCGTTAGGAAGGGAAGTATGCTAGAAGGCTTCTGGGAAAGATTTCCTTGTTCTTAACAAGAAACTCAGGTTAAGAGATAGATGCTTTTCTTTGTTTTTCTGGATGCTGTTTTGACTGGATTTGAAGACTGCAACTGCAGCAGTCACCTTGTGACCATAAGGTTACCTAGTCTGAAGACAACGACTACCTCTTTGAGGATAGCAGAGTGGAACAATAGAGATCTGAATTCTGATGAAGTCACTGAACATCTGAAATAACCAATTTGGGAGCTGTCCAACTTTGAAACTTATTAGAGAAACGTTTTCCAAATATTTAAGTAATTTTGAGTTAAATTAATCATGGCTGAAGTTACCCATATTTTTTACTTACTAGGTATCTGGCATTGTGCTAAGTGTTCTACCTGTGCCATTTAATACAATAAACATGTAAGATTGTTATTATAATGCCCATTTAACACATGAGGAAACTTTGTTTTATACAGTTTAACTACATCACCCACAGACACATAGCTAGTAAATGGCACAACTGAGAATCCAACACTTTAATTTTAAAGTTAGGGTCTTAGCTACAGTAGTTCTTGAGGTACTGGCTCAATGTTATTTTATCATTAATTCCACAAAAAATTACTGACAACAGATTATGGGCTATGTACTGTGTCAATTTCCTGAAATTTTTTTTTTTTTTTTTTTTTTTTTTTAGAAAAAGCAGTATCTTAACTTAGACTGTACATGAGAATAAATATTAAAGGCAACCCAACAAATAGGCTTGGTAATAGTGTTTTCTATTTGGTAAGGAATACCTTCACTAGGTAAGTAATCTGCATTACCTATTTCAGTAGCCTCAGGTTTAGAGTATCTTGGAAAGCAACGTAGATTGCAAAGATCTGTGTTATGGATTAGAGAGGTATAAATCACTCTTATCAGGTCTGCATCTTCTGGGATACACAGGAAGGTTACCTTTGACTGATGAGAATTCTCAGGTGTGTAGCAGCAATCTCATGTTCAAAGTAACATTAATTCCAATTGCAATTATGATGTGCTTAAGAGCTTACTTAGAAATCACCAATTGCTAAAAATAAACAAATGTTTACTGAGTATTTGACTAAGTACATAGTGCTTCATGTAGGAGATACAAAACAAATATGAGCTATGAAATATTAGTATGTATAGGAGTGTATATACTGGTTTGGGAGATGAAATTAACGCCCACAAAATAAGAGCAAAATGCAAGGAAGTATATAATTAAACAATTATATAATGAAAATAAGGACTTCAGAAAAAAGATTATAATCAGTTGTCAAGTGAATATCTACATACCAACTTACAATTTTCAAAAAGCTCTTACACTATGTCATTTGATGTCCGCCAAACTGTATGAACATAGAAAAAGCCAATTAATATTCAATCAATAATGACAACTGCCATTAATGATAACCTGAAGTGTATCAGACACTGTGAAACACTTTACATTCACTCATTCTCATTTTATCCTTACAAGATTTCCATGTGGTAGGTACTACTGTCCCCATTTCCAGATGCTGACATTGAGTTAAAATTAATTGCTTGAGAACATACAACTAATTCACACAACTAATTTACACAGTTGGTTCTTAACACTAGCATCAAAGTTGATAACTGTATCAAAGTTGAGAGTTCTACTGAATTTTGCCAGTACTATGAAATAACGAATCTCCAAAACCTGTAAATATCTCATCTCTAAAGAAATCTTGTCCTTATTTTGTCTGAAATAAATTTTAGCAAATCTAAACGTCACTGAAACATCACATAGCTCACTGTGAAGAAATTTTTTAAATGTAGGTTACTATGAAAGAGCCACTGACAGATCATCATATGAAATCTGCATTTTCCACCTTTGAGGTAGTTAGATTGGTACTAAATACAAGAGGAACTTGAGCCTCTCTTGTAGATAGTTGTTGATGAGAAGGTAACATCGCACAAATTTAGGGATTTCTTTCCTCCTGCAGCACAGCCTATCTTATCCTGACTAATGAAAAGGTAATATTTTGTTTTTAGAGTTACTTCAATACATAATGTCAAATAGGTAATTTGAATTACCCTGTTTGCACAGCACAACAGTTATGTACTTTGTTTCTATTGGGCCTCCGGGTTTACTATCACCAAGATATTCAACATTCTGGACTCTCAGTGTCAGAACCCCAGCTCAACCAACTCTAATCAACCCCAAAAAGCTAGGCCTGTTAACAAATTCTTCTGAGAACGACTGGTTATTTGAAAAGCACTCATTAAATTATAAAATTAACAGCAGAATACTAGAATATTCCTGATGCCTGGCCAGTATGTTTTATTCTTTTGAGACAGAGTCTCGCACTGTCACCTGGGCTGGAGTGCAGTGGCGCGATCTCAGCTCACTGCAACCTCTGCCTCCCAGGTTCAAGCGATTTTCCTGCCTCAGCCTCCCAAGTAGCTGGGATTACAGGAGCCACCACCATGCCCAGCTAATTTCTTGTATTTTTAGTAGACACAGGGTTTCACCACATTGGCCAGGATGGTCTCAAACTCCTGACCTTGTGATTTGCCAGTCTTGGCCTCCAAAAATGCTGGAATTACAGGCATGAGCCACCGAAAAATCTATTTGGAAAACCCAAATAAGATTGAAAGATAAAGAATTTGAATCAAAAAAACCTAAGGGTTTTCTCATTAACTGTTAGGTTAGAGTAGTGATTCTCAAAAGTAGTAACTACACTGAATTCTTATTCATATACATACATAATATAGTTTGATTGTGGAAAAAAGTTTATAACATAAAATGTACCACTATAACTGTCTTTAAGTGTATGATTTGGTGGCATTAAGTACATTCACAATGTTGTGCAATCATCACCACTATCTATTTCCAGAACATTATTATCCAAAACAGAAACTCTGTACCTGTAAAGTAGTAACTCTCCATTCCCCCTCCTCACCCTGCAGCCCCTGGTAATCTACTTTGTCTTTATGAGTCATACAAATTTTGAATCATACAATATTTGTCCTTTAGTTTATGGCATTTCAACTAGCATATTTTCAAAGTCCATTCATGTTATAGCACATATCAAAAACTTTATTCTGTGGCTGAATATTCCATTCTGTGGGTATACCATGTTTTGTTTATCCATTCATGTGTTGATGGACAATTGGGTTGTTTCCACATTTTGGTTATTGTGAACAGTGCTGTTGTGAACACTGGTGTACAACTATCTCTTTGGGTATATACCTAAGAGCGCAACTGGTATGTTTAACATTTTGAGTAATTACCAAGCTGTTTTCACAGAATCTGTATCATTTTACCATCCTACCAGCAATGCACGAGGGTTCTAATTTCTCTGTATTCTTGCTAGTATTTGTGATTTTCCCTCTTTTAAAGTAATAGCTACCCTAATGGGTTTGAAGAAGTATCTTATTGCTTTTAATTTGCATTTCTCTCATTACTAACAGAGTTTAGCATCTTTTCCTATGCTTATTGGCTATTTGCATATCTTCTTTGGAGAAATGTGTATTCAAGTCCTTTGCCCATTTGAAAGTTGGGTTTGTCTTTCTGTTGTTGACTTGCAGCAATTCTTTACATATTTTAGATGGTACACCTCATCAGATACATGGTTTGCAAATATTTTCTATTCTGTGGGTTGTTTTTTCACTCTTGATAGTATTCTTCGATGCACAAAAGTTTTTACTTATGATGAAGTCCAATTTATCTATTTTTTCCTTTTGTTGTGAGTGCTTTGGGTGTCATATTTAAGAAATCATTGCCAAATCCAAGGTTATGATAATCTGTCCCTATGTTTTCTTCTAAAAGGTTTACGGTTTTAGCTCTAAAATGTAGTCCTTTAATCCATTTTAAATTTTGGATACAGTGTAAGAGTCCAGACTTATGCTTTTGCACGTGATATCCAGTTTTGCTAATACTATTTGTTGAAAAGACCCTATTTTCCCCATTGAATGTCTTGGCACTTTGAAAAAAATCATTTAACCATATATGTGAGGGTTTATTTACGTGCTCTCGCTTCTGCTTCATTGGTCTATATGTCTATCCTTATGCTAGTATCAAATTCTTTGGTTACTGTAGCTTGTCCCTCAACTTTTTCAAGATTATTTTGATTATTCAGGATCTCATGAAATTCCATATTAATTTCAGGACGAGTTTTTCTACTTCTATAAAAAAAAACACCATTGGGATTTTTTATAGAGATTAAACTGAATCTATAGATTGCTTTGGGTAGTACTGCTAACTTAACAATATTAAGTTTTCCAATCCATGAACATGAGATGCCTATTTGTCTAATTTCTTTCAGCAATATTTGCAGTTTTTAGATTACAATCTTGTGCCTCCATGATTAAATTTATTCCTAAATATTTTATGTTAATGTTTTGGGTGCTATTGTAAATGGAATTGTTTTCTTAATTTGTCAGGTTGTTAATTGCTAGTGCATAGAGGTACAGTTATGCATCACATAATGACATTTTTGCCAACAATGGACCACATATATGATGTTGGTCCCACAAGATTATAACGGAGCTAAAAATTCCTATTGCTAACTTAATGTCATAGTGCAATGTATTACTCATGTCTGTGGTGATGGTGGTATTAAAACATCTGCACAGCCAATCATACAGAAGTGAAGAGTAATGTGCAAGGCCTTCACATTCACTCCACTCACTGACTCACCCAGAGCAATTTCCAATCCTGCAAGCTCCTTTCATGTTAAGTGTCCTATACAGGTGTACCATCATCTTTTGTGCCTTTTTATTGTACTTTCTCTGTTTTAGATACACAAATACCATTGTATTACAATTGCCTGCAGTATTCAGTACTGTAACATTCTGTACAAGTTTGTAGCCTAGGAGGAATAGGCTGTACCACTTAGGTTTGTGTAAATATACTCTATGATGTTTACACAAAGACAAAATTGCCTAACAATGCATTTCTGAGAAGGTATCCCTGACACTAAGTGACTCGTGACTGTATAACTGACTTCTGAGTATGAACTTTGTATCCTACAACTTTGCTGAATTAGTTTATTACATCTAACAAAGTGTTTGTGTGTGTGTGTGTGTGTGTGTGTGTGTGTGGATTCTTTTGGGTTACATATGATTACATCATCAGTGAATAAAGATAGTTTTACTTCTTTCTTTGTCTTACCTAATTGCTCAGGACAGAACTTCCACTACTATGTTGAATACAAGTGGTAAGTGTGGGTATCCTTGTCTTGTTCCTGATTTCAGGGGAAAAGCTGCCAATCTTTCACCACTGAGTATAATGCCAGCTATAAGCTTCCACAGATGGCCTTTATCATGCTAAGAACTTTTTTTTTTTTTTTTTTGAGACAGGGTCTCATTTGTCACCCAGGCTGAAGTGCAATGGTACAATCTCGGCTACAGGCATGCACCATCAGGGTTGGCTAATTCCTTTTTTTTTTTGGTAGAGATGGTGTTTTACCATGTTGCCCAAGCTGGTCTTGAACTCGTGAGCTCAAGTGATCTCCTCACCTCGGCATCCCAAAGTGCTGGGATTACAGACGTGAATCACCACACCTGGCCTGAGTACATTCCTTTCTATTCCTAGTTTACTCAATGTTTTTCATCGTGGGATGTTTCCAGATTTTTCAAGTACTTTTCTACATAAATTAAGATCATGCAATTTTATTTCTTTATTAATGTGGTATATAAAATGATTAAATTACCTATGTTGATCCACCCTAACTTTTTTGGGATAAATCCCACTAGGTCATAGCGCATAATCTTTTAAACAGGCTGCTGGATTTGGTTTGCTAGTATTTTGTTGAGGATTCCTGCATCTATATTCATAATGAATATAGTCCTATAGTTTTTTGTAATATCTTTGCCTGGCTTCAGTATCAGGGTAATACTAGCCTCATGAGTTAGAAAGTGTTTCCCACCTCTTCAATTTTTTTGGAAGGATTTATGTTAACTCTTAAATATTTGGTAGAATTCATCAGTAAAGTCATGTGATCCTGGGCTTCTCTTTGTTGGGGGATTTTTTTTTATTTTGATTCAATCTCTTGTTATAGGACTATTCAGTTTCTATTTCTTCTGCGATCAGTTTTGGTACTTTGCATCTTTCTAGGAATATGGCCATTTCAACTAGGTTATCCAATTTGTTAGCGTAATATTTGTTGGTATACAACTTTTCATAGTATTCTCTCACAATCCTTTTTCATTTCTGTAAAGTCAGTAGTAATGTCCCCATTTTCATTTGATTTTAATAATTTGAGTTTTTTCTTAGCCAATCTAGTTAAAGGTTTATCAATTTTATCTTTTCAAAGAACCAGGTTTTGCTTTGTTAATTTTTCTGTCTTTCTATTCTCCATTTCTCTCTGTTCTCATATTTATTATTTTCTCCCTTCTAGCTTTGAGTTCAGTTTGCTCCTTTTTTACTCATTCCTTAAGGTATATACTTAGGTTATTGGAGCTCTTTCTTCTTTTTAAATGGAGACATTTATAGCTATAAAATTTCCTCTTAGCACTGCTTTCCCCACATCCATAATTTCTGGCATATTGTGTTTTAGTTTTCGTCTCATAGGATTTTCTAATTTCCCTTGTGATATTTTTCTTTTCATTTCTTTTCAAAGAGGGAAGCCCTTGTGATTTCTTCCTTGACCCATTTGTTATACAGCAGTTTGTTTTTTGAATGTCGCATAGTTGTGAATTTTCCAGTTTGCCTTCTATCAGCGATTTCATTTTTCTTTTCTTTTTTTTTGAGACACAGTCTCACTCTGTCGCCCAGGCTGGACTGCAGTGGTACAATCTCAGCTTACTGCAAGCTCCGCTTCCAGGGTTCATGCCATTCTCCTGCCTCAGCCTCTGGAGTAGCTGGGACTACAGGCACCCGCCACCGCACCCAGCTAATTTTATGTATTTTTTTTTAGTAGAGACGGGGTTTCACTGTGTTGGCCAGGATGGTCTCAATCTCCTGACCTCGTGCTCCACCCGCCTCAGCCTCCCAAAGTCCTGGGATTACAGGAGTGAGCCACCACGCCCGGCCTTCTTTCTTATTTTATTTGAGACAGAGTCTCACTCTGTTGTGGATAGAGTGTGAGATCTCAGCTCACTACAACCTTTGCCTCCTGGTTTCAAGTGATTCTTGTGCCTCAGCCCCCTGAGTAGCTGGGATTACAGGTGCCTGCCAAAAGATCTGGCTAATTTTTTAAAATATTTTTCATAGAGATGGGGTTCCACCATGTTGGTCAGGCTGGTCTTTAACTCTTGACCTCAGATGATCCACCTGCCACGGCCTCCCAAAGTGTTGGGATTACAGGCGTGAGCCACCGTGCCCAGCCCCTAATGAATTTTTAAGATAGAAATCATACAAATTATCTTCTCCAGGAACAATGAATTGCTTGAACCTGGGAGACGGCAGCTGCACCGAGGTGAGATTGCACCATTGCACTCCAGCCTGGGCAACAAGAGCAAAACTCTGTCTCAAAAAATAAAAATAAAAATAAAAACTTATTAGGACTTCCTTTGGGGCCTACCATATGGGATATATCCAGGAGAATGTTCCAAGGGCACCTGAAGAAAAATGTGTATTCTGCTGTTACAGGAAGTGAAGAAAAGTGATCTTTATGTCTCTTAGGTCTACTTGGTTTATGTTGTTGTTCAAGGCCTCCATTTCCTTATTGATCTCCTGTGTGGTCGTTGTTTCAATCCATTATTGAAAGTGAGATATTGAAGTATCCAACTACCACTGTAGAACAATCTATTTCTTCCTTATATTTTATCAATATTTGCTTCATATATTTCAAAACTTTGCTATATATGTTTATAATATACTCTTGACAAATTCAACCTTTTATAAAGAAATAACGTTCTTTGTTTCCTGTTAACTTTTTGGCTTAAAGTCTATTTTTCTGGCTGGGCATGGTGGCTCATGGCTATAATCCCAGCACTTTGGGAGGCCAAGCCAGGTGGATCACTTGAGCCCAGGAGTTTGATACCTGCCTGGCAACATGGTGAAATCCTGTCTCTACAAATAATTTTTTTTTTTAAATAACAAGGTGTGGTGGTGGCACATGCCTGTGGTTCAAACTACTCAGGAGGCTGAGGTAGGAGGATCATTTGAGCTTGGGAGGTTAAGGCTGCAGTGAGCTGTGACCACAGCACAGCACTCCAATCTGAGCGACAGAGCAAGACTCTATCTAAAAAAAAAAAAAAAACAGTCTATTTGGCCAGGCACGGTGGCTCGCGCCTGTAATCCCAGCAATTTGGGAGGCTGAGGAGGGCAGATCACCTCAGGTCAGAAGTTCAAGGCCAGCCTGGCCAACATGGTGAAACCCCGTTTCTACTAAAAATACAAAAATTAGCTGGGTGTGGTGGCAGGTGCCTGTAATCCCAGCTACTTGGGAGGCTGAGGCAACAGAATCGCTTGAACCCAGGAGGCATGGGTTGCAGTGAGCCAAGATCATACCACTGCATTCCAGCCTGGGGGACAAGAGCGAGACTTCGTCTCAAAAAAAAAAAAAAAACACATAAAAAACCCAGTCTATTTTTCTGACACTAATATAGCCACCTCAGCTTTCTTTTGATTACCACTTGCATAGACTATCTTTTCCTGTTCTTCTACTTTTAACTTCTTTGTATTGAAAGAGAGTCTCTTGTAGACAGTATATAGATGGATTGTGTTTTTCCAATTCTGACAATATTCGCCTTTAATTTGCAGAGTTGAATTCAACTACTTTCAAAATAATTACTGATAAGGACTCACTGCTATCATTTAGCTATTTGTTCTCTATATATCTTACATGTTTTTTGAACCTCAATTCCATCATCACTTAAAAATATATATATTTAGTTAATATTTTGTAGTGTACCATTTTGATGTGTGTGTATGTTATTTTCTTTGTGGTTACTGTGGGGATTACAATTAATATCTTAAAGTTATAATGACCTAGTTTGAATAATGTCAACTTTGTTTCAATTATATATATATATACACACACACACACACTATTCCTATACACGTCCATCTCTATATTGTCACAGGTAACATATTTTTACATCATATACTATTAACACAAATCTAAAATTATTGTTTTATGCATTTATCCTTTAAATTACATAGTAAAATGAAACATCACAAACCAAAAATACAATAATGCTTTTATATTTACTTGTGTAGTTACCTTTACTAGTGTAGTCACCTTTACTAGTAGTTACTTTTACTAGTGTTATTTGTTCATATGGTTTTCATTTCAGCCTGAAAGACTCCCTTTACCATTTCTTGTAAAGCAAGTGTACCAGTAATAAATTCCCCCAGTCTTTTCATCTGAAAATATAATAATTGTTTCTCCATTTTTTTTTTAGGAGTGGAGGGTGCTTCCAGTGAAGACTAGGAACCAGTTAGACAAATTCTAAAAGAGCTGTCCTACTTTTCTCCACTCTTGAAGGACAGTTTTTCCAAATATAGAATTCTCAGTTATTTTCTTTTACTATTTTAAATATGCCATCCCACTTCCTTCTGGCCTCCATAGTTTTTGATGAGAAATCCACTGTTAATCTTATTGAGGATTCCTTGTACGTGAAGAGTTAGCTCCTTTTGCTTTCTAGATTCTCTTGCTTTGTAGAATTTGAGTATAACATGTCTTACTGTGGATCTCTTTGACTTCATCCTGCTTAATGTTTAAGTTTTTGGATGAATATATTCATGTCTTTCATCAAATTTGGGAAATATTTGCTCTGTTTTTTTCTCTCTCATCCCTCCTGACACTTCCATGATGCATGTGCTGGTATGCTTGATGGTGTCCCACAAATCCCTAAGGTTCTGTTCCTTTTTTTTCATTCTTTTTCCCTTCCGCTCTTTAAATTGCATAATTTTAATAGCCTTATCTCATGTTTGGTAATTTTCTCTTTTGCCTACTCATATTTGCAATTGAACTCCTCTGGTGAATTTCCATTGAATCTACTGTACTTTTATGTTCAGAATTTCTATTTGATTCCTTTTTTATAACTTTTATCTTTTTATTGATATGCCCTATTTGGTTGTACATTTTTTATTTTTATTTATTTATTTTTTTAAGAGACAGGGTCTTACTCTTGTGACTCAGGCTGGAGTACAGTGTCAGTTCAGCCTCAAACTCCTGGGCTCAAGGGATCTTCCTGTCTCAGCTTCTCAAGTGGCTAGGACTACAGATATGTGCCACCAGACCTGGCTAATTTTTTTTTTTTAATTTTTGTACAGATTGGAGGTCTTGTTATATTGACCACACTGGTCTCAAATTTCTGGCCCCAAGTGATCCTCCCATCTTACCCTCCCAAAGCACTAGGATTACGGGTGTGCATCACTGTGCCAGGCCTTATACATTGTTTTTCTGATTTTCCATAGTTCTTTGTCCATAGTTTCCCTTTAACTGATTAAGCATTTTAAGAGAGTTGGTTTAATGTCTTTGACTAGTAACTCCAATGTTTAGTATTCCTCAGAGATGGTTTCTGTAAAACTTCTTTTAAAAAAAAAAATTCCCATGAATGGGCTATACTTTTCTGTTTCTTTATATGGTGACTTTTTTGTTGAGAATTAGACAATTAGACATCTTGAGTACTATAACGTGGTAACTCTCAAAATCAGATTCTACTGCTCTTCATGGATTGCTCATTTTTGCTTGCTTAAGGCTGCAGTATTTTATGTGGATAAAGAAGTTTCTCTTCTGTTATTGCTGTAGTCAGGCACTGACCTGACAGAGATTTAATTAAATGTATGGATCCAAAGAGAGAGAGAAAAGAGTGTGTTCCTTTACATTTTCTGTTAGTTGCCATGAGAAAGCTGCTACAAGCCAGGGGGGCTGAAAAATAAAAAGTGTCTTTGCTGGTTCCTTAGGGAACTGCCAGACTGACCAAATGCACAACTCCTAAAATTTGTAGGAAAAGTTCCTTACTGCCACCCCTGGCAATAGCCAGCTACTCCAGAAATGCAGACTACTATCCCCATGGCTGCAGCAGGGTAGAAGAAAGGGGATTGCTAGCTGTATTGCAATGAAATGTTATTGCATTTCAGTTATACTTTTCTTCATCAAGCACTCCTCAGGTTGCTGTAAGTGTTCAATCAGTTTCCAGAGTTCTAAAATAGTTGATAATACCTTTTTCACATTTAGTGGTTGTTTTGTTAGAAGACCAAGCTCTGAAACTTCTTATTCCACAATTTTCCAGGATATCACTCTTCTTTTTCCATAGTCACTGATGTGACAGTAAAAATCCACCCAAGATGTACAACTAGGTGCATTTTCACAAGAAAGCATTTTGAGAAGAAAGGCAGGCAATGGCCATTGAACCATCTTTTGTTTTTTGAACCATTTTTAAAAGGAAAAAGTTGTGTCATCTAAAAATCCAAGAACTATGTGTATCTAGATTTGAAATTTGAGAGTCTTTGTCATTGTTAATTTCTGTCATGTGGTTCATCCAATTCTTCTCTTACAACATGTAGGCCAAGAACTTAGAAAGAGATCCATTGTTCCAACAGAGAGAAGGCTTACGTTTTAAGATGTCTTTATTTTTGACATAAATTAAATGTAAATCTTATTAAAAAATAAAAGTTGTCTATGCCAAAAGGTTACAATGGTTAATCCATTTATATAATATTCTCAAAATGGCAAAACTGTAAACCTGGAGAATAGACTAGTGATTTGCAGGGGTTAGCAGCTGGGGTATAGGAGGATCAGTTGTGGCTATAAAAAAATGTGGCATGAGGAATACTTGTGGTGACTGAAGTTCTACATCTTGAATGTAGTGGAGGTAACATGAATCTACACATGATACAACTGTATTGAACTAAATGCACACACACACAAATGCATGTTAAACCTGTGAATTCTACATAAGGTCACTAGATGTCAATTTCTTGATAGTGATACTGTACTATAGTTATACGAGATATAGTTACCACTGGGGGAAACTGAGTGAAGGATACAAGAGATCTTTCTGTACTATTACTAACTGCAACTACATGTAAATCTAATATTTAAAAAATAAGCTGTGGCTGAGTGTAACAGTATACAATAAATCATCTCTTCTGCTGTCTTAGCTGAAGAATTGAAAAAAATTTTCAAGACAGAAAGTTAAAAAAAGAAGCCTTGTGAGTTAAATGCATGTTGAGAAAGAGAACGGGCCTGGAAATAAGAGGACTGCTTGTTTTGCACTAAGTTGCTCAAGCTTTCTGCATCTCATCTGTAAAAGGGACTATCACAATATTGTTGAAAAGACTATATGAAGAATATATTTAAAAGCACTGTGAAAATTGTGATACGTGTCATTTTGAGATTTTTGATAACAGTATTTAACATTTACTGAGTGTTTTTATGTGTTATGTGTTATTCATACTACAAGATCTTCTAATAACCCTAATTTTCTAATAACTTAATCTTCTTGATAACCCTATAAAAACATCAGACAACTAATCCCATTTGACAGAAAAAAAAAACTTAAAAATTCAGAGCAGTTAAGTAAATTGCATAAGGTCATTCACTTAATAAAAATAGCTACCATTTATTGAATGCTTTATATAGTTGGCACATACTTAACATTATATCATTTATTTAATGTTATAAGGCAGGTGTTATTATTTTCCATTTTATAGAACAGGACTAACTTAACCAAGGTTGTATACACAACTTGTAAGAGGCATGCCAGATCTTTTATATAGTTGACCACCACAGTCACTATCTACTTATAAATAGCTTATAAGACTGGCATATAACATGCAATGTTTATAAAACTAGTTTGTTGCTAAACCTAGAAAAAATATTATTTTCCCTCCAACTATTTTTCTTCTTTAAAATTTAAAAACTCCATTCCTCAAATTACCTTTATTCTTTTGTTTTCTTCTACTTCTTAAAAAGAGGACTTTTAATCAATTTTATTAATTCATTTCTTTTACCTTCCCCTACTATTCAAGAAGAACCTTACAAAAATCTATGTTTGGCTAATAATGAATGATTACTATTAATTTTATCACGGCCATTTTATCTCTCACTTTTTATTTCCTTTGATTCTGCTCTTAAAATTATTTTGTTATAAAAAATGGAAGTCTCGGCTGGGCACATTGGCTCACGTCTGTAATCCCAGCGCTTTGGGAGGCAGAGGTGGGTGGATCACCCGAGGTCAGGAGTTCGAGACTATCCTGGCCAACATGGCGAAACCCTGTCTCTACTAAAAATAAGAAAATTAGCCAGGCATGGTGGCGGGTACCTGTAATCCCAGCTACCTGGGAGGCTAAGGCTGGAGAATCTCTTGAACTGGAGAGGCGGATGTTGCAGTGAGCCGAGACTGCGCCATTACACTCCAGCCTGGGCAACAAGAGCAAAACTGTCTCAAAAAAAACCAAAAAAAAAAACCTCTATGAATTACAAGTAACTTGAGGGGTCACCTCTTTGTTATAATAATTTCTCACTCTTTTTTCCACATTATAAATTATGCTTAATCACCTAGGTTTGATTTTGCTGTGAATTTATTCTTCAACTCGTAGAAACCCCAACATTCTATAGAACTTCTTCTATTCAACAATACAGATACAGGTCAATTCCAGAAACCTCTCTACATCCACACAACCCCTGTATTTCTTATTCACCTGCTATAAATATTATTTGCTTGAGACTCTTGTTTTTGGTTTCTGCCAGTTTGTTTTTCTTTCCACTTTGTTTCATATGCTGCCTCTTTCAAGGTCTCTAAAAGGAGAAATACTCCCTCAATTCTCTGTATAACCATTTTCTTTTTCTTTGATCTCTTAGAAATCTTTATTAAACAAAGATTTTCCAATTTTTTCTTCACTCATACCTCTTTTCCAGGCTCTTAAATGACATTTCTTACTTGCCGAATTAATGGCTTATCATATTCCCTGTCGCTCAAGATTTAATCTTTAGAATTCTTTTTCAATAGTCCCTCTTCCCTACTCACTATGGTTAATAGATCAGTGTGTTCTTAAATCGAGGTTTTTAATTTAAATAATCTAAATCAAAATCATGAAGAAGGGTTGTTAAAAATGCTAGATTCATGTGCTTTACCCTGAATTAGCTGAAAAGGTTTTCAAGGATAGATCCCAGAAATCTTTTTAAATCAACAACCCATGTAAGACTTAGGCATACTACATTTTGAGAACTACTGCATTATATCAATTTTCACCTAAGTCTGCTCATTCTACCTTCTCAGTGTTTCTCATCCATTTATCTCCTATTGTCTCTACCCTAGTTCAGGGCTGCTTCATCTCTTAGCTGGACATCTGTAATAGGATTTTCCTGCCTTTAGGATATTTCCCACTTTAATTCATCCTACACACTGGAGTCTTATTAATCTTACTAAATTGCAGCTCTGCTCATTTAATGTGACAACAATTTACTGAGAGCATACTATATACTAGGTGCTCTAGGGCAGTAGATTCTAAATGGTGTGATCACCAGATTTATTAAGTGAGGGAAAACTTTTCAAAATAGAGATCCTCCACCACCTCTCCAGGCCTACTTAATTACAATCTTCAGAGCTAGAATTAAGACAAGTTTCTTTTTAAAAAGTTCCCCAATTGACTCCTTTGGGTAACACTAGATGCTTTTGAATAACATTAGACTGGAACAAATAAAGATTATGACATTCTTGTGTATTTCAGAACGTACTGGGAGGGATATGAACATAAGCAAATAGCTACCATATAATATGCCGATTAATGATATATTAGAGGTACCAAGTGCCATGAAAAGATTAATTCGAACTGCATTAAATACCTTCAGCACCACACCCAGCTGGATGAAATCTGTTTGTCCTGTAATCTTCCATAGCACTTTATCTATAATCCTCTTATGGTCTTCTTTCATCTTGCTCAATAATTATTTTTTTATTTGTCTCATTTCCTCTACCCTTGTACTTGAGGCCACAGTCTTGGTCTTTGTGGTGCATGTAGTCTGACAAGAAATTTTTTTTGGAGTTCAAATTTATTTACACGATAAAGTTACACAAAAAATTAAATTTTGTAAAGTTAGGTATTTAATAAATGATCTCAAAAATAGGTCCTTGTAACTCTAGGATATATGTAGCCAAACGTATGGATCTTAATCCCTGCATGGCACTTAGTACAGTTCCTTTAACACAACAAGTACTCAATAAAAAAAGCTGTGCATAAACCAATGGGGTCTGGGAAAAATGTATTTGGATATGCAATAAAAATACTTAATATGTCCAATATCCACCATCAGGTTATGATTCCAAACGAAGTAACATGGTGGTGGTTTTTGCAAACTGATAACCTGTAAGTCAAAACCAGCCAAACTGTTTTGTTTGGATGGCTCGGGTGGGGATGGAGGGTTGTTTACAATTTTAATTTGAATGTCTTCTGTCTGGGCAAATATACTTTGAATTGCCACAGGCCCTACCACTTCCTATTATCTTACACTAATCTGACTTACACATTTATGCTATCTATAGGTCTAAAAATGGGAGTTCTGAAAGGTGACAGATAATTGCTCCCAATCATTTCTGCTTTTTGAGTCTTGGCTACTGTTATGGCCTTGAGTCTCCCCAAAAGTTATATGTTAAAGGTGTAACCCCTAGTACTTCAGAAAGTAACCCTATTTGGAGATAAGGTGTTTGAAGAGGTAATTAAGCTAAAATGAGGTCTTTAACACGGGCCTAAATCCAGTAGGGTTGGTGTGCTTACAAGGAAAGAAAATTTGGACACAGGTGTGCACACACATGGAGAAAACAGCACATGAAGACAAAGAGATGAGACAGTGATCTGAGTCAAGGACAGAGACCTCAGAAAGAAACCAACCCTGCTGATACCTTGATCTTGAACTTCTAGCCTCCAGAATTGTGAGAAAATAACTTTCTGTTGTTTAAGCCACCTAGTCTGTGGCATTTTGTTATGTTTGCTCTAGCAAACTAATATGGATCTCAACTATATTTAGTATTAATCTTGGCAGTTTTACATCAAAACTTATTTGTTCAAGTCTGTCTGCCAGGTACATGGTGAACACAATTCTGAGTAGTTTAGGGTTTAGATGATGCAAGTTATATGTAAGATATATTCATAAACATAAATAAGAAACATTATAAAGAATACAAAAAAATGCCAAATAAAGACTATTATAGGCATTCAGGAGGGAGAGAGGTGACTATGGACTAGGTCACAAAAGATTCACAATTTGACCTGGGTCTTAAAAGCGTAAGTAGGATTCAGCCAAGCTGAGGAGAGAGGACATCAAGGAGATAACAGTGAACAATGCCAAATACATGTCTACTACCGGAGGAAATTTATTTTTCTCCTTTTAAGTACCTCTATGTTCAAGTTTCTTTTCTGTGCTTTCTAACCTCTAAGATCACTATATATTTTTAAATGAATGGTGTAAGTCCTTACAAAATTTAGGCATTTTTTTTTCTTGTCAGATAAATAACAGTTCAACTGACTTTGTTCAGTACAACACTGACATCCAAAGGATACTCGGGTTCATCTGAAGGCCTCTTGGGCTTCTGCTGAGTTGGTTTGATTTTCAAATGGTCTATGTAGGCAGTAAGCTGCTCATGGAACATTCTCTTTTGAAACCCTGGGCATTTTTTGATCTCTTACCCATTTATCAAATCTCATCACATTAAATGGCTCCACAATGCAGGTGGCCTGTGTTTTCCTAAGTGCCTCCTCTTCTTAAGAATGTATTACTCAGTTCATTAATGTTTCATACTTAAGTATTCTGTGTATTTAATTTTTTATTTAATGAAATTTCTAACCTTCAGGCTGACGAATTATTCAGAATGTTTCATCCAAGCTGTTGGAAAAGTGCTCATTAGCAGGGAGTTTTGAAGATGGAATTTTAAGAAAGGGGTTGGCAGGATCCCAAACACATATAGATCTAAGCTTTCATAAATGCTTCCCTACCTTAGCTATGGAGGAAGAAATTGTTGATAAGCAGATAAGTTTTGCTTTAGTTTTTACATTTTAGTGACAATAACAATGATTTCTGTGGTCTGATAAAAGATGTTCGTTTAAAGAGTTATCTGCAGAAAGCTGTGTGGTCACTAATGTTTACTTTCATTGACAAATGAGATCGTCTTGTGTGGGACTATCATCATCAAATGAGACACAACTGAAACTAAAGCAGCCATGCTTACCATTCGGTTTAAAATTTTTAAAATTAAAATAATGCTCCTAACGAAAGGAGTCTCAGCTGAATTAGTTTGAGTGTTGGCATGGACTGGGCTCAAATCACCTGCTCATCTTTAACACCTGCCTTCAGATTTATGGGCGATTAAGAACTTAAGTCTGAGAACCTATGAGACTGTCACAGAAAATAAAATTTCAGTTCTTCGTCCATTAACTGGTTCAGATGAAATTTGGGGTCAGAAACAACCAGAACGTTAAATTTCATTGTAAACTTAAATCGCATTCAATGGTTAAAGACTACAAAATGTATGTAGTGCAGTTAAAAAACCTCACACAGCAAGAGGTTATTGAATGTTTAAAGATCCAAAATTTCAACTTTTTGTGGTTAAGTACAGTTATGTTGGGTAACAAAGTTGACAGCAGGTTTCTGTTACCCCCCTGTTGGAGGAGGAGGAGGCGCTACCACACGCTTACCTTAGGGAAATAACGTGCACTTTATAACCGTTCAGGTAAATCGTTGGGTGAGAAAGAAGAATAAAGGACACAGCCGGTGGAGGGACCCCAGCACACAGTCCCGTGGGTGCTCCGGAGGAAACGGCCGCAGCCCCAAATCTCCTAGTCTCTCTAGCAGGGAGTTTTCCCGCGGAGTCTCGCCTGGCGGCCGGAAGCCACCTCAAGCCGCCCACCCGGAAGCCGTCGTCTTGGCAACTGGGTATCGTCCCACCCCCTTTTCTTAGCAACGCCTATCGCCTTAGACGTCTGAGGTCAGCCGAGCCTCGATTGGTTCCTCTGTCTTTCACTCTGGGAGACGTTTGAGACCCAGCGTCTCTAGATCTCGTATTTGAATTTGTGGCGCTTGGTGTCCGCGAGTTGCCGAATGAAGCTGAGCGTCTCAGTGGAACCAGGGATCTCAGGGGTGAGCGACCGCGAGGGGAGAGCGACGAAAAGGGCGGCCGGAGCTGGAGGGGCGCGGAGTTAAACAAAAAAGGGCGGCCGGAGCTGCAGGGGCGCCGAGTTAAACACGTCATTTCCAGATGGGGGGCTTCAGGCGAGCTGCTTAGCTCCCCTGAGGCAGGCCCTCCGTCTGTTCGCCTTTTCGTAGCCTCTGAGTTTTTCCCTCACGTCGTTTTCCGGCAGTCCCAGAGACGCCACGCCTGCCCCCGTTCTGTTGCCCCTGATGGAAGGCTCCTCTTAACGCTACCTTCCCTCTTTCACAAAATGTCTCTCAGCTTCCTTATTTCGACGTGCTTACACCTCCCCCAAGTATAATTCACTCCCCACTGATGTCTTTGGTAGTTTCATCCTCGTCTTCATCACTAATACTATGAGACACGGGGTGCGTGCACTTGACGATGTAGAAAAATGGTTTTCGCGCAACCTGGTGAGCGTCCCACACCTCACAAATTGAATCCAAAAAATTCCTTATTCATAAAAGATGCTGCTGTCCTACTCTTCCCGACCGGGAATATCATGACGTGGAAAGCAGCAAGTGACAGCGTTTTATAAAGCGCTACAAAAGTAAGCTATTGATGCGTTCACATCGGAAACATAATTGTTTTGTTTTCGGTCGGACCCTCTGGATCCATAGGTTTCGTATTGGGTTTATGGATACTGTTCAGACTTTGAAATGAATAATGCCAAAAGTTACGTTGGAGGACAAACTGAGGATTGATCCCAAGCACAAAAGTAACCACTGATTAAAACCTTCTCTTCATTAACCTTTAGCTTCTTTGTCTATTGTGATACTTCTCCCACCCCGGTGGATTTAATTTCCATTGAGATTTATGAACATTTTAGGAGTTTACAGTCTAAATAGACAGCTTTCCCCACCTCTCCTGTATATGACCATGAAAATCCTCTATTAACTTTCCAGTTTGATAATGCAGTATGAGCTTCTATATGCTTAGCCTCTAGAACAGAGATTCTTTTGGGGGTGGGGGGTCTTAGTCCTGTTTAAGACCCAGAGGAAAACCTTGGAGCTTTTCTCCAGAATATGACACATACACACAAAATTTTGTATTAGTTTTAGAGAGTTGTATTTTGTTTTAGTAGAAAAGAGATCTGACTTTGTTGCTCAGACTGATCTCCAGTGTCAGCCTCCCAAAGGGTTGGGATTACAAGCGTGAGCCGCCGAGCCCAACCCTGTTTTAGGGAGTTTTAGATTCTGTTTTGAAATGTGGATATTAGTGGGACCCCAGTCCAATTCTACACGTTTATTTATATATATACACACACGTATGTCTATATATATAATTATATATATTTACATAATATATATCTATGTATATAATTTTTTTAAGTAGAAATAAGCAGCGAAACAGTGTTTTAACTTCTACCGAATGGCTGTCATTTCTTAGTTTTAAGACTTGTAGTTCGGAGGGAGGTGGAATGAGAAGGCTGAAAATTTTACATGAGCTCTGATTTAAGGATATTAGAAAAGTCATTTCTAAGTGTGGCGGTCCACGCCTGTAATCCCAACCAACACTTTGGGAGGCTGAGGTGGAAAGACTGCTTCAGCCCAGGAGTTCGAGACCAACCCAGGAGTTCAAGACGATAGTCGGACCCCATCTCTACAAAAAAATTTTAAAATTAGCCAGCCGTGGTGGTGTTCGCCTTGCTCCCAGCTACTCAGGAGGCTGAGGTGGGAGGATCACTTGGGCCGGGGAATTCCAGGCTGCAGTGGCCAATGATCGTGCCTATCTCCAAAACAAACAAACAAAAAACAGAGAGATAAAGGTAGTAAGGTAGTATATGAGCACAGGGGCATACCAAAAAATAAGTTCACAAGGTATTGCATCCAGAGTCTTTTTGAATTAACAAGAAATAGGAAAATTCTTGATCAACATGAAGAGTGAAAATAGTTTGTGTGCCTTAATTTTTTGGATGTTTTATATTAAAATAATTTTATGGTGAATTCTACCAGCATATACCTGAATATAATCTCATAATCTTCTTCCTAACCATCTCAGGCATTATCTTTCACATGAGAACATTAGCTTACCTGAAATTTGCTTTTATATATGATGTGAGGAATGGCTTTAACTAAATTTTTTTTCACTGTTCGGTTGCCATTTTGGGGAGATTGGTCTTCAGTTTTGCTTTATTTTGATTGTCTGGTTTTAGAATTAGGGTAATGGTGTCTGACATCTTTAAGTGATCTGGGATGTGTTGTATTCTTTACTTCTTGAAAAAGTTTGTATAAGATTGGCATTGCATTGTTAAGTGTTTGATAGAATACATCCATCTATGTAGATCCATATTTTCATAATTTTCCTTCAGTTTGAATAACTTCATTTATTTAATACTGCATGTAGGTGAAGGATTCTGTCAGTGTTTGTTTCTTAGAAAATGTTTTTATTTAACTTTCATTTTTGAAAGATTTATTTTTAAACTGGATATATAATTGTAGGTTGACTTTTTTTAGCACTTTAATATTCTATTGTCCTCTGGCTGTTGTTTTTAGATATTTGGTGTCATTCTTATCTTTGTTCTCCTGTATATAATGTCTCCCCCAACCCCATCCCACCTCACCCTCACTTTTGAAAAAACAAAGTCGGGCATATTTAGTCATAATTTGCATATGGTAAAGTTGACTCTTTTAAGGAATACTGTTCTATGAGTTTGGACAAATGTGAAGAGTTGTGAACTATCACAATCATTTTTAGTATATCTGTAAGTCTGTAAAGTCTCATGCACTTATTATCGATTTTCTATCCTCACCATTGGTCCCTAGCAACCCTTGATCTGATATCTACTGCTATAGGTTTGTGTTTGGAGGCATCATGTTAGTGGAATCACATAGTATGAGCTGGTAGTGTCTGGCTTCTTTCACTTGATATAATACTTTCAAGATTCATCTATGTTCTTGCATGTATCACTAATTTTTTCTTTTAATGTGTGAGTAGTATTCCATTATATGTATTACCAGTTTGTTTATCCATTCAGCAGTTAATGGGCTTTGAGTTGTTTCCAGGTTTTGGCTGTTAGTAATAAAGCTGCTATAAACATTTGGCTACAGGTGTTTGTGTGGCCAAAGATTTTAATTTCTTGCTTGCTTGCTTGCTCTTTGCTTTTTTTTTTCCTCTCTATTTTTGTTTTGTTTTGTTTTGTTTTGTTTTTGAGGTAGGATATGGCTCACCATAACCTCGAATTCCTGGGCCTCAGCCTTTTCAAGTAGCTGGGACTACAGGAGCATGTCACCAGGCCTAGCTAATTTGTAATGTTTGGTAGAAAAAAGGTCTTGCTATGTTGTCCAGGCTGGACTTAACCTCCTGGTCTTAACCTCCTGCCTCAAGCAATCCTTCCACCTCAGCCTCCCAAAATGTTGGGATTATAGGTGTGAGGCACCATGCTCAGCCTTAATTTCATAAAATACTTTAAAACCTTTTTCAAAAGTGGCTGTCCCATTTTGCATTCCCATCAGCTGCATATGGCAGTTCCAGTTATTCAACAGTCATATCAGCCCTTGGGGTTTATAGTAGTTAGTAGTTTAAATTTTTTAAACTATTGCTCTGGGTCTGTACTGATGTCTCATTGTAATTTTAAGTTATATTTCTCTGATGCTTAATGAAATAGAGTAGTCAGTCATTCATCCACTTGTTATCTGAACGTCTTTTGTGAAGCATCTATAAAAATGTTTTGCCCTTTTTTTTTTTTTTTTTTTTTTGAGATGCAGTCTCACTCTGTTGCCCAGGCTGGAGTGCAGTGGTGCGATCTCAGCTCACTGCAGCCTCCTCCTCCTGGGTTCAAGCAGTTCTCCCACCTAAGTCTCACGAGTAGCTAGGATTACAGGCGCACGCCACCATGCCCAGCTAATTTTTGTATTTTTAGTAGAGACATGGTTTCACCACATTGGCCAGGCTGGTCTCGAACTCCTGACCTTGGGGATCCACCTGCTTTGGCCTCTCAAAGTGCTGGGATTACAGGCGTTTGAGTTACCATGCCTGACCTGTTTTGCCTATTTTATTTGGTAGTTTTATTGAGGTACAATTTACGTACAACAAATTTCATATTTTTAAAGTGTATACTTTGATAAGTTTTGACATGTACCCATGAAACCATCACCACAATCAAATTAATGTACATCTACAACATGGCTGAACCTTGGAAACATGTTAAGTGAAAGAAGCCAGTCACAAAAGGTCATATATTGTATGATTTTATTTATAAAAAATTTCCAAAATAGGCAAATCCATAGAGATAGAAAGTAGATTAATGGTTGATAGGGGCCAGGGCAGGGGAGAATGGAAAATTACTGCTAATGAGTATAGAGTTTCTTTTTGAGATGATGCAAATAGTCTGGAATTAGATAGTTGTGGTGGTTGCACAGCTTTATGAATACTCTCAAAACTATGAATCGTACACTTTAAAGGGTGAATTTTATGATATATAAGTTATATCTCAATAAAGCTGTTGTGAAAAAGAGAAAAATAACTCTAGTTGTGATCTAAGGGGCTGTTCAAAAAGCAATGTTTGTAATAGTAGAAACATGGAAACTAAATGTCCATCAGTAGAAGAATGATAAAAATGGTTGTATATTCTTAAAATGAAAGTGATGCTATTAAAATAATGAAGCCAAACAGTATGTATCAATATGATATATCTCACAATCATAGTTAGAGGGGAAAAACATTGCAGAAGAATCTGTAACAGATATAATACAGAATTAGCATTTAGAAATATGTAGAATAGTATATAGTTTAGTAAAGGTATCAAAAATGCATGGGGATCATAAACATCAGCTTCCAGGTGGTAATTAGCTGTGGTGATAATTTATGGTACATGTACCTGGTGTCGGTGGGGGAAAGAGAGGGGGAATGTTATTAAGGAAGTGTTCATAGAATGTTTCAACTATACTGGTAGTGTTTTATTAAACTGCGTGATAGATATACAGAAGTTATTTTTATTTTTAGAATATTTCAAATAATTTTATAAGAATATTTGCAGGACACAGCAAAATGATAGTAGATGATTTATCCCATGGAAGGGATAAACCATCAAGATAAAGATTTTTCACTTACAAGAGTAGCAACATCAAATGTAGAACTGAGGCTGAGCGTGGTGTCTCATGCCTGTAATCCCAGCACTTCCTAAGGCCAAAGCAGAGGATCCTTTGAGCCCAGGAGTTTGAGACCAGTCTGGGCAACATTAGGAGACCATGTCTACAAACAATTTAAAAAATCAGCCAGGTGCAGTGGCGGATGCCTGTGGTCCCAGCTACTCTGGAGGCTGAGATGGGAGGATGGTTTGAGCCTAGGAGGTTGATGCTGCAATGAGCTATGATTGCGCCACTGCACTCCAGCCTGGGCGACAGAGTAAGACTCTTTATCTGTTCTGCCATAGTAACAGAAGAAAAGAAAAAAAACAAGTAGAACCAAGGGCAGACAAGAACCAACTGAAGAAAGGATGTTAGGGGAGGCCTGATTTGCATACATGAAGTCATAATCATGTAACTTCTTTTAAAGTAGTTGTGGTTTCCTTTGGGTATATTACACCAAGCAAAAATGTAAAGTATGATGACCTGGAAGCAATTTCACTAATGCATATTTTGCAAAGTGTTATTACTCTCAGAAGTCAAATCAATGCCTTCTAGGAGATTTTTGAACGATATAAAATAGTCTCAGAGGGAGGAAACAGTAAGGATGTGGAGTGTGAGGAAAAACCTTAAGGAGATCATTCTTACATGGCATGGGAGCTCTGTTTTAAGGTAATCACCTAGTCAGGAAATCCCCCAAGAAACAGATTACACAGCTGAAACAAGGAGGTACTTGAATGATTTCTAGTTCATAAAAAATGTTATTGATATCAGACCCCATTCTAGTATCAAGGAATTATGAAGCTTTGATCCATGTCCTCAAGGAGGACAGAAATTTATTCTAACTATACCATCAAGCCTGTTTCCCGGGAAGAGAAACTTCTGTACAGAGGGCTTTTTAGGAGCTGTGAGTTCGGGAGTCTAGGATCATTTAAAAAGCATTACCCAGAGATCTATGAGGGACAAAGGAAGCTCAAGGGATTTCCAAAAACCCAGACCTACAGAACATGGACAGGGATTATAAGAACTTTTAATAGCTTCTTAAATTTAAAGACATTCTCTCTGGTGGGTTGAATTGTGTCCCTCAAAAAGGTATATTCAAGTCCTAACCCCTAGTATTTGTGAATGTGACCCTAATTCAGTGACTGGTTTCTTTATAAGAGAAAGGAGGCCAGTCACAGTGGCTCACACCTGTAATCCCAGCACTTTGGGAAGTTGAGGCAGGAGGATTGCTTGAGCTGAAGAGTTTGAGATTAACCTGGGCAACATAGCGGGACATCATCATCTCTACTAAAAATAAATAACAACAACAAAAAAATAACCAGGTGTCCCAGCTACTCTGGAGGCTGAAGTGGGAGGGTAGCTTGAGCCCAGGAGTTTGAGGCTGCAATGAGTTGTGATTGTGCCACTGCACTCCAGCCTGGGCAAAAGAGTTACACTCTGTCAAAAAACAAAACAAAACAAAACAAAACAAACAACAACAACACCAAAAAAAAAAAAAAAAACCAGAAAAGAGAAGGGAGAGGGAAATTTGGATACAGAGACCTAGACATACACACACACAGGGAAAGAGGTCATGTGATGACAGAGGCAGAAGTTGTAGTTGTGCAGCTGCAAGCCAAGGAACAAAGAATCACCTGCAATTCTGCACCAGAAGCTAGGGAGAGGGTAGGAAGGATTCTTCCCCAGACACATCAGAGGGAGCCCCAGACACATCAGAGGGAGCACAGCTGTGCTGAAATCTATCTGCACCTTAATTTCAGATTTCTAGTCTCCAGAACCCTGAGAGTTAAGTTTCTGTTTCAAACCACCTATTTTGTTTCAATTTGTTACCACAACCCCAGGAAACATACCTTCTTCACTAGGCACTACCTAGTTCCCTGTAGCAATTAGTAATAAAACACTTAAAATGAAAATGACTGCTAGGCTTGCTTGGTGGGGCATAAAGAACAAAATACAACATTGGGGGATGTGTGTCCCTATTCTGTAGTCAGTACTCAAGAAATAGAAGTACCAAGAGTAGTTGGTGACAGCTTTGGGGAAGAAAGGAATAAGACTTGTTTTTATTTATTTATTTTTTTAAGGTATACAACATGATTTTTAAAAATCATTTGTTATTGAAGTAAAATACACATATATAATTTACCATCTTTACCATTTTTAAGTGTACAGCCCAGGGGTAATATATATGTTTATATTTTCTTTTTCCTCTTCATTTGCCCCTCCCTCCTTCCCTTCCTGGCCTCTGGTAACCAGCAATGTATTCACTATTTTCATGAGATTCACTTTTTAAGCTCCCACATATGAGTGAGAACATGAGATACTTGTCTTTTGGTGTTTTGCTTATTTCACTTAACATAATGGCCTCCAGTTTCATCTATGTTGCTGCAAATGACAGGATTTCATTCCTTTTGATGGCTGAATAATATTCCATTGTGTATATATATCACATTTTCTTTATCCATTCATCCATTGATGGACAGTTAGGTTGATTCCATACCTTGTCTATTGTGAATAGTGCTGCAGTAAACATGGAACTGCATATCTCTCTGATATATTGATTTCCTTTCTTTTGGATGTATACCCAGTAACGGAATTGCTAAATCATATGGTAATTCTATTTTAAGTTTTTTGGCAACCTCCATACTGTTTTCCATAGCAGCTATGCTAATTTACTTTCCTACCAACAGTGTGTGAGGGTTCCCCTTTCTCTACATCCTTGCCAGCATCCGTTATTGTCTGCCTACCTGTTTCTCTGGTAGAGTAGAGCCAGCATATGGCAGACATACCCTATAGGAGTTTCCTTTGTTACTATGTGTGATCCTCAAGGTACGACTTACCCATTCCTCAGAGTGGCTCATGCCAAGCATTTGACCTTACTCTCAAAAACAGTTACCATTGCTAAGACATACTCTCAAAAGTAATGATCATTGCTGGGAAAAGATAATAAATAGGAATAATAGCAACAGCTAACACTTATTGGAACTTACTGTTACCTCATTTGATTCTTTTGCCACACTCTGTGCTAGGTACTATTATCTCCCTTTTAGAGATGAGGAATTGAGGTTGCTAGAAACTTGACTTATCTATCCCCCAACCCCCCTACCTCAAAATTTAACACCTCAAAGAAAAAAAAATCACCCTGTCTCAAGAGAATAAGGAAAACAAGAATTCAGGCATCAAATAGTACTGATTAACAAGCATATGAGATTCCGAATTTAGACCTGTTGGATAATGGAAGAGTCAGTGTAGATATTTTAATTACATGTTCTGAAGTTGAACTTATGCAACAAGTATCTTGTAGCTGCTATAGAAATAAAAATGTGATTTCTCAGTTATTCTATGAAGATAATAACTCATTTACTACATTTTATTAGTTTTGTTCTCACTTAAAAAATGGATTAGAGGCTGGACGCAGTGGCTCATGCCTGTCATCCTAGCACTTAGGGAGGCCGAGGCGGGTGGATCACTTGAGGTCAGGAGTTAGAGACCAGCCTGGCCAACATGGTGAAACTCCGTCTCTACCAAAAACAAAAAAAATTAGCCAGGCATGGTGGGGCATGCCTGTAGTCGCAGCTACTCAGAAGGCTGAGGCAAGAGAATTGCTTGAACTGAGGCAGGGTTGCAGTGAGCCCAGATCGTGCCAATGCACTCTAACCTGGGTGACAAAAAGAGACTCCGTCTCAAAAAAAAAAAAAAAAAAAAAAAAAGATGGATTGGAAATAGTTTTTTTAACTTAAAAAGTATATCCTCAAATGTTTTAAACCCACAGTTTTATTTTTTCAGGAAATAAAGATAAGTTTTCTTGTTCCTGCAATATGGAGAAAAAGACAACCAAAAATGCTATTCCTTACAAACACCTATATATAGCATATGAGGCATTAAAAAAATAAGGGAAATCCCTAGGGTCTAGAAACAATCAGGGAGCTGTAGGCTCATAAAACTGCTGATAGGAAAGAGTTATAGGTCTCACTGTTCAAGAGGCTTGGGTTTTAAAGTCATATAGCCTCAAGAGATAAGGTCTTGGGGTCCTTAAGAGTCCAGTGGTTAGAAATGAGATGCCTGCAGTTAGACCTCTTAACATCATCACGGATATATTTGTGTTTAATCCCAGCACTTTGGGAGGCCGAGGCGGGTGGATCACCTGAGGTCAGGAGTTCAAGACCAGCCTGGCCAACGTGGTGAAACCCCATCTCTACTAAAAATACAAAATTAGCTGTTTGTGGTGGCGTGCACCTGTAATCCCAGCAACTTGGGAGGCAGAGGCATGAGAAACTGCTTGAACCCGGGAGGTGGAGGTTGTAGTGAGCCAAGATCGTGCCACTGCATTCCAGTCTGGGCGACAGAGCAAGACTCCCTCTCAAAAAAAAAAAAAAAATGTAGGCAGGGTGCAGTGGCTCATGCCTGTAATCCTAGCACTTCAGGAGGCTGAGGTGGGTGGTTTGCCTGAGCTTAGGAGTTCAAGACCAGCCTGGGCAACACAGTGAAACACTATCTCTACTAAAATACAAAAAATTAGCTGAGCGTGGTGGCGTGCATCTGTAATCCTAGCTACTCAGGCGGCTAAGGCAGGAGAATTGCTTGAACCTCGGAGGCAGAGGTTGCAGTGAGCCAAGATCGTGTCATTGCACTCCATCCTGAGCCAGAGAGCAAGACTCTGTCTCAAAAAAAAAAAAAAAAAGTACACACCTTATAATATTTTATGTTCATTTATTCACACTTGTTTTTTGCTACTGTGCATTTTAATTCTCTATTTTTGGTGCCTTTAGACATTAATATTATTATTTTATACAGCCAATAATTGCTTAGATTTACCGTTTTTGTGGCTCTTCATTCCTTTCTGTGTCTTCTAGCTTCCCTTGGTGGGATTATTTCCCTTCTGCCTGAATAATGCACTTTAATATTTATTTTAATGTGGATTTGTTGATGACAAATTCTTTTTTATGCCTGAAGAAAAGTCTTTATTTCACTGTCATTGATGAAGGGTATTTTTGCTGTTTATGGATTGGCATATCCCTTTGAGGATGTAATTCCATTGTCATTTGGCTTCTATCATTTCTGTTGAGAAGTTAGCTATCAGACTTATTTTTGTCTGATAAAATAATAAAGAGAACTTGCCTCCTTGGCTTCTTTGAAAGTTTTCCCTTTGTCTTTGATTTTCAGTAGTTTTAATGATAGGCCTATACATATATTTTTTTCCAATATATATATATTGTTTATCCTTTAGTGAGTTGAATCCATGGTTTTTTATCTTTTACCAGCTTTGTTAAAATTCTTGGTCAGTATCTTTTTAGATACAGCTTGTTTTCCCCTTCTCACTCTTTATCCCAGTAAGTTCTCTTGTCCTATCTTCAGTCATTTTCTATCCCTTATCCCTCAACCCTAGGCAATCATTAATGTGCTTTTTGATTTTATAGATTAATTTGGACCTTTCTCTAATGTAATGTAAATGAAACTAAACAGTGTGTACTATTTTGCATCCAGCTTCTTTTTCATAGTATTGTTTTTGATATTTACTAATATTTTTCTGTGTATCAGTATTATGATATTTCTTTATACCTAGGTCTATCTATAGATTACAGTTTGTTTATCTATTCATTTATTGTTTGACATTTGAGTTATTTCCAGTTTGGAGCAATTATGAATAAAACTGCTGTGAACACTTGTTTACAGTCTTTGGGAAAATACTTAGGAGATGGAATTGCTGAATCATACAATCATTTTATGTTCAACTTTGTAAGAAACTGCCAAACTGTTTTCCAACGTAGTTGTAGTATTTTATATCATTTTCAGGAATGTATGAAAGTTGCAATTTCTCCACATCGTTGGAACTGTCAATCGTTTTAATTTTAGCCACTGTAAAGGGCGTTCGTTGCTATCTCACTGTGATTTTAATTTGCACTTTACTGATGGCTAATGATGTTGAATATCTTTTTATAAGCTTATTGTGTATTCAGGTATCTTCTTTCATGATATGTCTGTTTTCATATTTTTCCAATTTTTAGATGGGTTTGTCTTTTTATTGAGGTATAAAAGTTCTTTTTGTGTTCTGTATAAAAGTTCTTTGCCAATTATGTATGTTCAGATTATCTTCTC
This sequence comes from Homo sapiens, assembly GCF_000001405.40. NCBI lineage: Eukaryota > Metazoa > Chordata > Mammalia > Primates > Hominidae > Homo > Homo sapiens. Next base: position 72,653,677 of record NC_000016.10, on the reverse strand, counting down.
CCAATCTGAAGCTTACCTTTTCATTTTCTTAATGATATCTTTTCAAGAGCAAAAGTTTTAATTTTGATAATGTGCTGTTTATTTTTATGTGTTGTCTCCTATCTAAGAAACTTTGCCTACCACAAGGTCACAAAGATTTTCTTCCTCTGTTTTGTAGATTTAGCTTTTTTTTTTTTCATTGAGATGGAGTCTCACTCTGTCACCCAGGCTGGAGTGCAGTGGCGCGATCTCGGCTCACCGCAACCTCCACCTCCCAGGTTCAATAAATTCTCCTGCCTCAGCCTCCCGAGTAGCTGGGATTACAGGTGCCCACCACCATGCCCGGTTAATTTTTATATTTTTAGTAGAGACGAGGTTTCACCATGTTGGCCAGGCTGGTCTCGAACTCCTGACCTCAGGTGATCCACCTGCCTCGGCCCCCCAAAGTGCTGGGATTACAGGTGTGTGCCACCGCACCCAGCCAGATTCAGATTTTATGTTAGTTTATGATCCATTTTGTGTTGAGTTTCATGTGTGGGAAGATTAATTTTTTCCATGTGGATATCTAGGTCTCCCGGCACTATTTTTACCTTTCCTAATGAGATTATTATTGCTTCTGATAACAAGAGAGTATCACCTATTTGAACAACTCTTCTGTGCTAACAACTGTAATCTGTCAACAAAATATAAACTTAACTACTTGAATACAATGGAGAACAACCAAAAGCAAGCAGAAACTGGAAGAATATCCTCTTGGAAATGGGTGAATTTCCCATTCTTATGGTAACTTTTTTTTTTTTTACCCCAGTAGACACTACATTAGACAGCTGTAACTTAAATAGAATATTAACAGACTTACTAACCTGAACATACAGAGGGCAGGATTTGGGCTAACCCCCACAGCTAGAAAGTGAGTAGGAAAATGACAGATTCACAGAGAGGGATTCTGTTTATAGTCTCTCCCTTCTCTTCACCTGACCCCTGAAATAGATTTCCATTAGACAGTTTTCAAGCAATTCACCTAAAGCTAAAATATGTGAACAGAGCTTTCAACTGAAATCCATCATAGGAAAGACAACTGGGTTTTCTACTTCAGCCAAATTAACTCCTTGTTAAAACAAAAATGTCAACATTCTTCACAGGAACACAACATAATTCAGAATCTCCACAGCACATCAACATGTCCATAATACTGTCAAAAATAATGAGACACCTAAAGAAACAGTAAAATGTGATCTATACACAAGAGAAAAGGCAATCAATGGAAGCTGACCCTAAGAGATATTGATTTAGTAGGCAAGAATTTTAAAGCAAATGTCATAAATATGTTCAACAATGTAAAGGGGAAATATTCTTGTAATAAATTAAAAATGAGGAATCTCACCAGAGAAGTAGAAACTGTTAAAAGAATTCTAGAATTGAAAAATATGGTACTCAAATAAAAATAGGGTACCTCAAATAGAAAATAAAAAAATAGATGGGCTTAAAAACAGATTGGAATAACAGAAGAGTTAGTGAACTTGGAGACAGACTAATAGAAATTATACAATCTGAAGACAAGAGAGATAAAGAATGAAAAATGAAGAGACTCATTTACATGTGGGACAGTAGCAAGATGTCTAATATACATCTAGTTGGAGTCCCAGAAATAGAGGTAGAGAAAGGGAGCAAAAATAAATAAATAAATAAATTGAAGACATATGAATGAAAACTTACTAAATTGCTGGGCGCGTTGGCTCATGCCAGTAATCTCAGCACTTTGGGAGGCCAAGGCGGGCTGATCACCTGAGGTTGGGAGTTAGAGATCACCCTGACCAACATGGAGAAACCCCTTCTCTACTAAAAATACAAAATTAGCCAGGCATGGTGGTGCGTGCCTGTAATCCCAGCTACTCAGGAGGCTGAGGCAGGAGAATCGCTTGAACCCGGGAAGCGGAGGTCGTGGTGAGCCGAGATCGCACCATTGCACTCCATCCTGGGCAACAAGAGCGAAACTCCATCTCAAAAAAAAAAAAAAAAGTACCAAATTAGGTGAAAGGCATAAATTTACAGATTAAGAAACTAAAAATACAAAATTAGCCAGGTGTGGTGGTGCACTCCTGTAGTCCCAGCTACTTGAGAGGCTGAGGCAGGAGAATGGCCTGAACCCAGGAGGCGGAGCTTGTAGTGAGCCCAGATGGCGCCACTTCACTCCAGCCTGGGCAACAGAGTAAGACTCTGTCTCAAAATAAATAAATAAATAAATAAATAATAAAAAAATCCCAATATACCTGAATTCTCTATTCAGCAAAAATATCTTTTGAAAATGAAGGTCAAGTAAAAAGAGTTTTTAGATAAATAAAAGCTAAGAATTTTCTGCCTGCAGGTCTTCAATATAAACAATGCTAAAGGAGGTTCTGAATTATTTTGACACCTTTGTTGAAAATCAATCTTATGTATGTTGTTTTATTTCTGGACTGATTAATCTGTTCTGCTGATTTATATGTCCTTTATGCTTATAATATACTGTTTTGCAATTAGGTATAATAAGTCTAAGTCTTAATATCTGGTAGTGTCACACCTCTAGCTTTTGCTACCTTTAAAAGACATCTTGGCCAGGTGTGGTGGCTCACACCTATAATCCTAAAACTTGAGGAGGCTGAGGAGGGTGGATCTCTTGAGCCCAGGAGTTTGAGACCAGCCTGGGCAACATGGCAAAACCCTGTCTCTACAAAAAATACAAAAATTAGCAGGGCACAGTGGCTTGTACCTGTGTTCCCAGCTACTTGGGAGGCTGAGGCAGGAGGACCGCTTGAGCCCTGGAGGTTGAGGCTGCAATGAGCTATGATTATGCCACTGCACTCCAACCTGGGCAACAGAGTGAGATCCTGTATAAAAAAAAAAAAAATCTGCAGTTGTTGGCCTTTTTAAATATTAGAGTCAGCTGGTCATTTTTTACAAAAGGCTTGCTGGAAACCTCTTTGAGATTTTACTGAATCTGTATTAGACCAATAAATTGTTGCTTTTCCCAGTAAGAAATATGATTCTTCCAATCTATGAACATGGTATCTCTTTTCATTTGTCTCTTTTTTTTTTTTTTTTTTTTTTTTGAGGTGGAGTCTCGCTCTGTTGCCCAGGCTGGAGTGCAGTGGCACGATCTTGGCTCACTGAAACCACCACCTCCCAGGTTCATGCCATTCTCCTGCCTCAGCTTCCTGAGTAGCTGGGACTACAGGTGCCCGCCACCACGCCCGGCTAATTTTTTGTATTTTTAGTAGAGATGGGGTTTTACCATGTTAGCCAGGATGGTTTCGATCTCCTGACCTTGTGACCCACCTGCCTCAGCCTCCTAAAGTGCTGGGATTACAGGCGTGAGCCACCTCGCCCAGCCCTATTTGTATCATTTTTAAATTCTCTCAGAAATGTTTTATAGTTTTCCATTTACAGGTCTTGTACATATTTTGTTAAATTTATTTGTAAATTCAAAATATATATAAGTAGTTTATATTTCTTGATAACACTGTAAATTTTATTCTTTTTCTTTTGCTAATTTTTAAAATTTTTGTATATTAATCTAAAATTTTATGACTTTCCTGAATGCACTATTAACTTTTTATTTTTAGAATTTTCTGTGTTAACAATAACTTCTGTGATGTTTTACTTCTCTCTTTCAGATATGTATGCCTTTAATTTATTTTTTGTTTTGTGGCACTGTCTCGAACTGCCAGTGTAATGTTTCATAGAGATGAGAGGCTACATCTTTGCCTTATTTCTGATTTTGGGGAAAAAAAAATGTTTAGTCTTATTTTAGACGGTTTTGGGATGAGAGAGAGAACAAAAATAAAGTCAGATACATGCGCAAATGTGTTCATATCAAAAAAATTATGCTCATAGCTATTACAGCCCTCACTTACTTAACTTATCATGTGGTTGTAGCCAGTATTTATAACTACTTTCTACTGCCAGTCTCAGTTTCCCTTTGCCCTCAGCAAGTACCTGTGTGCACTGTGGTTTCTTTTTTGGTGGGATGACTTAGACCTTCCTACAGGATTTGGTCTGGTAGTAGTCCTGTCTATATTGAGCTGTTTGTAGGGGGAGGGGTATGTTAACTTAGGACATAGCAGTGCTCATAGGTTCTTCCTGGATCCACTGTATTCCTGGCGTACCTTTCCTTATTCCCATCCTGTTTAAGTAGCTCAGTTTCTCCTGGTAGTCAAGAAGAGTCATCCAACTTAGTAGAATAACCCTTTCTTTGCCTGTTGATTCAGTGGCAAGAGAGAGCATTCCACAGGTGAGAGCCATATGAGCACCAGTTGGAAGCTGCATGGCATTTATTATCTAGTTTCATTGCATCACTTCTGTCACTGTAACTCAACAGTCACAAAGCTGCCCAGTTTTAAGATGAGGGGCCATAGACTTCATCTCTCAATAAGAGGAGTGTTTTGGGACCATATGTTTTTTCCAATAAACTTTTAATTTTAGAAGTTTCAGATTAAAAAAAAAAACTGCCAAGAGTTCGACAGTTCTCATATACCCACAGCAGTTTCACCTACTATTAACATCTTATGTAAGTATGGTATATTTGTTACAATTAATGAACCTTCATTGGTTCATTATTATTAACTAAGGTCCGTATTTTATTCAGATTTCCTTAGTTTTTACTTCATGTCCTTTTTCTATTCCAAGATTGCATCTGGTATCCCATATTACTTCCAGTACTCGTGTCTCCTTAGCTTCCTTCTTCTTGGCTGTAACACTTTCTCAAACTTTGTTTTTGATGACCTTGAAAGTTTTGAGGAATAATGATCAAGTATTTTATACAATGTCCGTCAATTGGGATTTACCTGGGTATTTTTGTTTTGTTTTTTTGTGATTAGACTGGGCGGTCACCTGGCTGAGGTAGTGTTTGTCAGGTTTTTCTGCTGTAAAGTTACTCCCTTTTCCCTCCTTTGTATATTGGACTCTTTGGAAGAAAGTCACTATGCACAGTGCACACTTAGGGAGAAGGGAGTTATGCTCTACTTTTTTAAGAGCAGAGTATCTACATAAATTATTTGGAATTTTTCCGCATGAGAGATTTGTCTATTCTCTCCCATTTATTTGCTTACTCAATCACTTATTTATGTTAGTATGGACTCATGTATATTCATTTAATACTTTGGGTTATAATCCATTACTACTTAATTTTGTTGCACAGATTTTTCCAGCTTTGGCTCTTGAAAGCTTTCATTTGTCTCTTGTGTTTCTTTGACATAATTTCTTTTTTGTGGGCTTTTTAAAAAAAAAAAAACTTTCTGGGGTCATATTTGTTATGCTTTTTTAAAGGTGGATACACATTTTGGATTGTTATATCTCCTTCCTGTACCTATTAACGATAGGCAGGAAATATATGAACAAAGAATAAAACTTACATGAAAAGTAGCAGGTACTTTACTTTTTTGCTTCAGTAAAGGAGTATGGGGAATAAGGTTGGACTTTTCAGATCATTAATTCCAGGTCTTCAAGTTTGAAATGTATTTTTTAAAGTAGTGGAGCATTATCGATGTTTTTAATGGGGCACACAAATGGACAAGCCAACTTTTTGGAGATCAGAGGAACAAAAGGGAGAAAGAAAAATAAAATATTGAGATTTCTAAGCTTGGTGATTGGGAGAATGGTGAAAATGTAGAGCAAAGGCATGTTTGAGGGGTGAATTGATGGAGATAGCTTAGGACATAGCAATTTGAGAGACCCCCCCCACCACCACAATCAGGTAAAGTTGTCTAGCCATCAGGAATAAAGACTATAAGTGGCAAGAGTTCTTGTCTTGAGAAATGTATTAGGGCATTGCCCATATAAAAGAGATATTTGAAGTTATGAATGTGGTAAGAGCTCAGAAAGAAGAGAAAGGAGACAAAAGTAAAGGTGTCTTTGGCAATAGCAGGACAAAAGGTAATATGACAGGTAAGTAACTGAAATAAGCAGTCTTCACTTTATTGGCTATTGTTGTGTTGTATATTTCTGGTATTGTTGAAATTAAGCATTTTATCAGTGAAGATGTTCATAGTAGCATTTATTATAGTGTTAGATAAAGTAGAAGCAACCTAAAATATTCAATAGTAAGAGACATACTTAGGGGCAGCATTGATAGTGGTTATGAACAGTATGAGCTTTGTAGTCAAAAAGGTTAAGCTCTATCACTTAATAGTTGAGTTCCTTTGGTACTTACTTGTTTAGTGCCTCAGTTTCCAACTTTGTAAGGTTGTTTTGAGTTTAAAAGACTTAATATGTTTGTTCCCCTGAATGTTGAAGTAAGAAAATAAAAATTTAAAAGTTTGAGAGTTAATATTTTTAAAGTTATTCAAACTGCCTAGCATATGTTAAGTGCCATAGGAGTGTATATTCAATAAAATGAATTGTGAAGTGAATTGTGAAGTAAATTGTATCAGTTTCATAGAATATCTTACTGTTCTTAAGCAATGCTTGTGAAGACAAAAATGAGTGTTTTGTCAGATCACGAACAAGTACAATACAAAATATCTATGATATCATCTCCATGAATATAAATGAAATATAACAACTACTAAAAGGAAATATAACAAAATATAAACAATGGATATGGGAAGTATAGGTGACCTTTGGTAATTTATATCCTTCTGTAATATATTCATATATTTTTTAAAGTTTTCTCTTTTATTTGTTTTTAAACAGATTTAGAACAGTTTTAGATTGTTCACAGGAAAATTGAGCATAAAGTATAGAGTTCTTCTTCACCCTTTGCTCCCACAACCACACAGTTTCTTCCCCTATCAACATCCTGCATTTGAGTGGTATGTTTGTTATAATTTACATGTATCTATCATTTTAGTATCATACAGAATAGTTGTATTGCCAGCCTTGGCAACATGCCAAAACCTTGTCTCTACAAAAAATGCAAAAATTAGCCAGACGTGGTAGATTAGCAACTGTGGGCCCAGCTGTTCGAGAGGCTATGGTGGAGGGATCTCCTGAGCCTGAGAAGTCAAGGCTGCAGTGAGCTCAGATCTTGCCACTGCACTCTAACCTGGGAGAAAGAGCGAGACTCTAAAACATAAAAAAAAATAAGGAATAGTTTCATTGCCCTAAAAATTTTCTATGCTTTACCTATTTATCCTTCTCTCCCTCTAAGCCCTGGAAATCTCTGATCTTTTCACGATCTTCATAGTTCTGCCCATTCCAGAATGCCATATAGTTAGAATCATACACTATGTAGCCTTTTCAGATTGGCTTCTTCCACTTAGTAATATACATGTAAAGTTCCTTTGTGTCTCTCTTGATTTGGCAGCTTATTTCTTTTTAGTGCTGAATAATATTCTATTGTATTGATTTACCATAGTTTATCCATTTACCTGCCGAAGGGCATTTTGGTTGCTTCTAAGTTTTGACAATTATGAACAAAGCTACTGCGAACATATGTGTGCAGGTTTTCGCGTGAATATAAAGTTAACTCATTTGGATAAATACCAACGAGGAAGATTGCTGGATCAGATGGTGAAAGTATGTGTGGTAGTATCTCATTGTTCTTTTAATTTACAGTTCCTTAATGACATATTTTGGTGAACATCTTCTGATATGCTTATTTGCCGTCAATGTATCTTCTTTGATGAGTTATCTGTTCGGAATGTTCTGCCCATTTTTAAATTGGGTAGTTCATTTTGCTGTTGTTGACTTTTGAGAATTTGGTTTAAGAGTTAGATTCAACTGTTGTCTCAGGTTGTTTTTGATTAATGCTCTAAGGAAAATGCTTTTCACACTGGTAAGCTCTGGATCATTTCAAATAAAGACAGTATATGTGGAGTCTTCCAGGTCCAATAATGACAATACTCTGAGAATAGGGCTTTGAAAGAGTTTCAACTTCTTGGACAGTCATTGTTGATTGTGGCTATTGTTTTTCAAGACTCCTGTGTTGCCGAGGTTGGGCAGATGCGCATAGAGCAAATTTAAATGCCACAAATCTCAGCGTTCTTAACCAAGATTTAGCTGTGGTTTTGTTGTCATTGTTTTTGTAACAGTCATTTTCTGGATTGCTGGAAGTCTTTGGTTAGTTTCTAGTGTTCTGAAAAAGTTGGGGTTTTTTTTCTTTGTTTGTTTGTTTTTTCTTGTAGTCTCATTGATTTTATGGAGGATTTTCAGAGGTTTTTTTTTTGACATGAAGTCTGGCTCTGTCAACCCAGGCTGGAGTGCAGTGATGCCATCTCTGCTCACTGCAACCTCCGCCTCCCTGGTTCAAGCAATTCTGCTGCCTGAGCCTCCCAAGTAGCTGGGATTATAGGCACCCGCCACCACACCTGGCTAATTTTTGTATTTTTAGTAGAGACGGGTTTTCGCCATGTTGGCCAGGCTGGTCTCAAACTCCTCAGCTCAAGTGATCTGCCTGCCTTGGCCTCCTAAAGTACTGGGATTACAGATGTGAGCCACTGTTCCCTGCCAGAGGTCTTTACTTTCAGTTTTTTAGTGATGTCCACTATCTTTTTTTTGTTAACAAAGCCATAGAATTTATAAGCTAATGGTCTGAGATCTGAAAGATATTCCTTTCCTGTGGAACAGAACAACAAGATCTCAATTATTTGATCAAGGAAAGTAATATGCTGTAAGCATAACATGTCAGTTGATAAATTGTATCAATGCCAGAACTGGATGAGCCAAACTTTGCTCTGTAAATAATGACTGATTAAATCTCATTAGCATATAACATAGAATGGTTTATATCCTTTTAAGTTTCAATGAAAAAATATTATTTAAATAATAGTTAATCTAATAATACACTATTTCACCTAAAACTATTTTGCTATCTGGAATGTCTCTTGATAGAATGGCTATGTTTATTTGTTTGTTTTCCCTGAATGTTTTATAAGCAGTGTAATATTTAAGACTAGTGTTAGCTTTTTATTTGAATTTCCTGAATATACAGCAAGGATTTTTGAATCTTTATTACTAGATTTTATTTTTCTCTCCAGTTGTTGCTGTGTATGGAGTATTGTAGGTAGAAAAGAGAGGAAGATTGATTTGTAAATAATAGGTTAATCTGGCTAGACCAGCCATGTATAGGTCAAGCTGCTTGAGGGTGACCTGCTAACATTGTGGAAAGATTTTATTGTACTTTCATTTTATTGAGTTTAATTATACATGCAGAGCAAATGGAAGGTGTAAATGCACTTGGTTTTGTGGTGTTCCATTCAATGTGATGGTCATTTTATATATTAAGTGCCTACGCTGAAAATACTGGGGAGAAAGGTTTTAAATGTCTTTTATCATCTATGAATTTTACATAAAAGTGCAATGTAGCTAATCATATTTGAAATTCTTACCTATTTTGCTCTATCTGATCTGGTTCAGTTATATTTGCAGTCTAAAAATTAGGATGCCAGTTTACTGTTGCCTGAGGATATATTATGGCATTTAAAATATGTTTCTTTTTAAAAAAAATTAAGCATATTTATATATTTATTATTTATTATTTTTTCTGAGACAAGCTCTTGCTTCATCACCCAGGCTGGAGTGCAATGACCTGCACTTCAATCTCGGCTCATTGAAGCTTCGACCTCCCAGGCTCAAGCAGTTCTCCTGCCTCAGCCTTCCAGTAGCTAGGAGTACAGGTGCACGCCACCACACCTGGCTATTTTTTGTAGAGACAGGGTTTCACCATGTTGCTAAGGCTAGCCTCAAACTCCTGGCCTCAAGTGATTGCACACCTCTGCCTCCCAAAGTACTGGGATTACAGGCGTGAGCCACTGCGCCCAGTTTAAAATGCATTTCATAGTTATAGTTAAATCTCATAGACTTAGGTGATCTTCTCATTTTTCTTGTGATCTGAAATGAAGGAATGAGCGATGGATTGATATTTGAATAGTTTCCTTCCATCTGGTGTTATTTTAGTAACCACATTAATAGGTGGGACTTCATAAACTGTAGACCATTCAAGTTTTCCAAAGGATGAAATGTTATATGAAGACCTACCTTTTTTTTAACCATCTATCTTTGATACAGATCATGTACTTAGTAAATTTGTAGTTCTACTACAAAAGGTAGGAAAACAGAATGCTTTGTGTCAGTGTTGTTGTGTGTTCATTGCTGGTGGATGCATTTAGAAGGCATTACAAGAAAGCACAGATCAGAAAAGAATTGTCATTTTTGAAAACAGGAATGAAAGGGAATTAAAAGGAACTATGGTGTTGGGAGAGGCACAATTGCTTCTTAATCCTGACTTCACAAAGATAAAATTTATAAAGGCTTTAAGTGACAACGGCCAATTAAAACTCAGTCTTTTAGTAAGGATCAAATCAAGGGCCTGACCTTCACGTCCATTGATAAAACCTTAAAACTGATCCTGTCTCAGAATGAATTTCACCTATGGGTATATTTGAAAGTTCTTTGAATTGAACAGAATATTTCATGGAAAAGAGTCCCTGCCTCAAATCCTTGATGGGCCCAAAATTCCCATAATTAAGAAGAGAAGTGAAAGCAAAAGGGAAAAAAAAGATGTAGCAGACCTAAGAATGTCTAGAAAAGAACTGTGGATGTAGCTGTTGGACTGAGGCTCTGACTAAAATAGAGTAGATGAGAAGCCTGTTTATTAAGTTTGTGAGAGAAATGCATATTTTAGCTAAGTAGATACATCACAGTTTTCCAAAATGGTTGCACCAATTTACACTCTCACAAATAGTGTATCAGGTTTTTAAATTTTAGTCAATCTTGTTTGGGTTGTACCAGTCTTTTAATTAACATTTCCTTGATGTCCAATGAAGTTGAACATGTTTTCTGATCATTTGTATTTTGTGTGTGTGTGTGTATGATGTGTCTGTTCATGACTTGCATTTGTTGTTTTGGTTGTCTGACATGCAATAAACTGTACTAATTGTAGTGACTTTAAGTGTATAGTTCAAAAAAATTTATTTCTTTACATCTGTGGATAGATCCAGATTAAGATAGAGAACATTTCCAGCAGCCCATAAAAGTCCCTGTGTTCATTCCCAGACCACCCTTTGTCTTCCCAGAGGTTACCACAGTTCTCATTGTTATCAATATCAATTAGTTTTGCTTGATTTTGAACTTCGTTTAAAAGTTTGAGGCTGGGCGTGGTGGCTCACGCCTGTAATCCAAACACTTAGAGAGCTTGAGACGGGTGGATTGTTTGAGGTCGGGAGTTCAAAACCTGCCTGTCCAACATGGACAGGCTGTCTCTACTAAAATTACAAAATATTAGCCAGGCATGGTGGCGGGCACCTGTAATCCCAGTTGCTCGGGAGGCTGAGGCAAGAGAATCGCTTGAACCCAGGAGGCGGAGGTTGCAGTCAGCCAAGATGGCAACCCTGCTCTCCAGCCTGGGCAACAAGAGCGAAACTCCATCTCAAAAAAAAAAAAAAAAAAAAAGTTTGCTACTTTGTGTCTAGTTTCTTTTACTTAAAATAATATGCTGTGTCATTTATGTGTTTATAGCAATCTTTTGCTCTTTTTCATTGCTATGCAGTATTCCACTGCATGAACCGTCATCCTAAAATGAGTGATCCAGAGACCAGCCCTCCAAAGCAAAGAGTTTATTCAGGAATAGCAGAGGACTGAAGTCCAGGATAAACCTGCCATAAGCAGACTATAGGTACATCCAAGAGGGTTAGGGGAAAACGGGAAACTTTTAAAGACAAAAAACAAGTCCACATAAGCTAAACAAGACCATTGGCTAGAGGGGCTTGTTGCAGAAGCTGACATCAGTTCAGTGGTGGAGACAGCCACTGCAAGGCAAGTGTCCTTGTGCAAGTAGCTTATCTGGTTGGAGAAATTTCCCATGATAAGGTCTGTTACAAGGGTACATGTAAGACATGCAGGAATTTCTTGTAATAAAACCTGTTACAGGCATTCATATGTGAAGGCTCCTTCTTCCTGGCCTCCTGACTCCATTTAGTTAGTTTGACATAAGTCAAATATGCCATTTTGGTACCTACATCCCTCACTGAATATACCACAATTTCTTCATGTATTCTCTTATTCATAGACGCTGAGATTATTTCCAATTTTTGGCTATCAAGGGTAAAGCAGCTGTGAATATTCATGTGCACTTGAAAAAGATTGTTTTTCTGTTATTGGTGTTTAAATGTATAGATACTGATAAAGCTTGTTTTGTTTATGTCTTCCACATCCTTTTGTATTTTCTGTACACTTGTTTTGTACTAAGTATGAGATTTTGATGTTTTCTGTTTGGTTTCTTTCTTTCTTGCACCTTTATTTCTCTTTGATTCTGTTTTATTAAAGCAGTTGTGTTAGTTGGTGGATAGATATTCATAACTATTGCATCTTTATTGGAAATTGTAGTCTTTATATCATAAAGTGTTCTTTATGTCATGCTTTTAGGTCTCAGTTCTCTCATGTTTAATATCAGTATTACAATACCTACTTATTGTTTTCATTTGCCTTGAATACCTTTTTTATCCCTTGTATTTTTAGCCTTTCTGATTCACTTTGTGTTTCTGTAAAATACAGTGTAGAGTTTTACTTTGAGTCCATTTGAAATTTAACATTTACAATTTAAAAAATAGGTAAGTTAAATCTATTTACATTCATTGATATGGTTTATGTGGTCTCTGTCACATTATTTTATATACATTTATTGGGTGTATTATATTTCCTTTGTTTCTTTCATAATCTATTAATAGTATGTTCCTTTCCCCACTCCTTTTTTATTTTTTGTTTTTGTTTTTGTCTTGTATTTTGGGAGGTTTGTATTTTCATTCTGGTGGTTACTTTTATATTATTATTTATAATGCTCTTAATTTCCTTCATTTGCCTTTTACTTACTTAGGTTTCAGCTGTTTGGATTGTCAGTTTAAATGACATACTTTAATTCCTAACTACTCATTATTGTCTTTTCTATGTTGCTACCAAGAAGTCTGACACTGGTTCGATTTTGCTTCCTTTACAAATAATCTCAGAAGATTTGTGCTTATTTTCCCTACCCTTGGATGGATTTTTTAAAAATCTTTAAAGCCTAGTTGTATATTGCAGTACATCTCAGTTTAAGTATTTGTATCAGTTTTTCCAAGTTCTTTGTAGGCCTTTTTAATGTATACATTTATATCTTGTTTTATTTCTGATTTTTCTTTGTATATTACAACTTTATTTATTTATTTATTTATTTACTTTTCAGACAGGTTTTCAGTCTGTCACCCAGGCTAGAGTGCAGTGGCACAATCATAGCTTACTGAGGCCCTGATCTCCCAGGCTCAAGTGATCCTCTCACCTCAGCCTCCTGAGCAGTTGGGACTACAGGTGCACACCACCATGCCCGGCTAATTATTTCATTTTTTGTAGGGATGGGGTCCCACTTTGTTACCCAGGCTGGTCTCGAATTAGCGGGCTCAAACGATCCTCCTGCCTCAGCCTCCCAAATTGCTGGGATTACAAGCATGAGCCACGGCACTCAGCCTACAACTTTATTTATTTATTTATTTATTTATTTATTTATTTATTTTATTTATTTTTTGAGACAGAGTCTCACCCTGTCACCCAGGCTGGAGTGCAGTGGCGTGATCTTGGCTCACTGCAACCTCCACCTCCCAGGTTCAAGCAATTCTTCTGCGTCAGCCTCCTGAGTAGCTGGGATTACAGGTATGTGCCACCATGGCCAGCTAATTGTTTTTGTATCTTTAGTAGAGACGAGGTTTCACCATGTTGGCCAGGCTGGTCTTGAACTCCTGACCTCATGATCCACCTGCCTTGGCCTCCCAAAGTGCTGGGATTACAGGCATGAGCCACCACACCCAGCCACCTACAACTTTATTTTTAATTAAAAAGTTTTTTTTATACAGATGGAGTCTTGCTATATTGCCCAGGCTGGCCTTGAATGCCTGAGCTCAAGCAATTTTCCTGCCACAGCTTCCCAAACTGTTGGGATTATAGGCATGAGCCACTACGCCCAACCCATATTATAACTTTAAATATTAGTTTTATTCCATTATTTTATTTTCTTATTTGGGTCTTACAATTTTATGTATGTTGGACCCTCTTTCTCTCTCTTTTCCCCTGGTGGTTCTTCTTCTTCTCCTGGTTCTTCTTCTTCTTCTTCTTCTTTTTTTTTTTTGGCAGAGATGGGGTCTCATTATGTTTCCCAGGCTGGTCTTAAACTCCTATTCTCCAGCAATCCTCCTGCCTCAGCCTCCCAAAGTTCTGGGTGTACAGGCATAAACCACCATTCCTGGCCATTTTCCTGATGCTTACTACTCTACTTCATTTTGTTTTGTTCTCTTGGCTGTTTTTATGGCTTTGTTCAATGATACATATTTTATTTTCAGTCAGTCTTTCCTTCTCTTGGGTACTTTATATTTATTTTTAATTTCTAAAATAATTTTTGTCTCTCTCTTTTTTTTTTTTTAATTTTTTTGAGACAGAGTCTCACTTTTTCACCCAGGCTGGAGTACAGTGGCATGATCACGACTCACTGCAGCCTTGACCTTCTGGGCTCAAGTGATCTTCCTGTCTCAGCCTCCTGAGTAGTTAGGACCACAGGCGTGAGCCACTGTGCTTGGCCATTTTTGTCTTTTTTAATTTTAATTTTTTGGGCATGAAACCAATTACATCTCATTTTAAAACTTTCTGACTTTTGCCTTTTTTTTTTTTTTTTTTGAGACAGTCCTGCTCTGTCACCCAGGTTGTAGTACAATGGCATGACGTCAGCTCACCGCAACCTCCGCCTCCCAGGTTCAAGTGATTCTCGTGCCTCAGCCTCTCAAGTAGCTGGGGTTACAAGTGCATGCCACCACAGCCAGCTAATTTTTGTATTTTTAGTAGAGATTGGGTTTCACCATGTTGGTCAGGCTGATCTCGAACTCCTGACCTCAAGTGATCCACCTGCCTCAGCCTCCCAAAGTGCTGCCATTACAGGTGAGAGGCACCACACCTGGCCAGACTTTTGACATTTTTGAACTGAATTGTTGAATGTTTGATTTAAGAGGATTTTTTTAAAAAAATCTGTAAATACTTATTTAACAACATAGAATTCAGGTTAAGATGTATTATAGTTTTCTCTGCCTTATTGTTTTTTTTTTTTTTTTTTTGAGGATGCTATTTATCAGCTGAAGCATTCTTGTTTTCATTTTCTTTATTTTTATTCTTTTATAACATTTTATAGTTGTTGCCTGTTTTCTGATCAGGTTTGAAAATTTTATTTTTCTTAACCAGCAATAATAGTTTATGTAAAAAGAGAAATTACAAGGTTTCTTAGTTCAAAAACATCCTATTCTTTTATTATAGTGAAGTGCAGTTTCTTTAACCTACCTGGTGTGTTTTTTGTGTTTATTGTTTTTGATTTTCTTGGAAGGGGAGGTGGGTTTGGTGTTTCTCTGATTTTATGATTATCTTTTATTCTTTTATTCTTTTTTTTTCTTTTTTTTTTCTTTTTTTGAGACAGGGTCTCTCTGTTACTCAGGCTAAAGTGTGGTAGTGTGAACATGGCTCACTGCAGCCTCAACCTCCTGGGCTCAAGTGATCTTCCCACCTTAGCCTCCCAAGTATCTGAGACCAACAGTGCATGACCCTGTGCTGGGCTTTTTTTTTTTTTTTTTTTTTTTTTTTTTTTTTTTTTTAATTTTTGTAGAGACAGGGTCTTGCCATGTTGCCCAGGATGGCCTCAAACTCCTGGCCTCAGGCAGTCCTGCCTCACCCTCCCATAGTGCTAGGATTACAACTGAGAGCCACTGCCCAGGACCTTTTTTTTTTTCTTTTTTTTTTTTTTAATATCTCTTATCTCTTATTTTCTTCTTTCTCTTTACCATCATATATCTCAGGAATCCCATGTCTAAGTCACAGTCCTCTCCCGGAGAAGTGGTTTTTTCCCCAAGAGTGTTACTTCTCCTTCTTATAATTGGAAGTCCCTTCCTTTAGATTCTATAGTAATCAGTGCTCTGTCCTAACAGGTCTCACACCTAATTTTAGGATTTCTATACTTTCTGGGGTTATTTTATCTGTATTTTGCTTCCCTGCTTCCTTCTATGTTTTCCACATAGTGTCTATCTTGTTTTTTTCTGGCATGGGCTCTAGAGACAGCTCCTGGATTTTAGTGTCCAATTTTCTACTTACATGTTGTGAGACACAGTAGCAAATGTAAGGAACCATGTTTGCTCATTCTGCTTGCCAGAAGAATTTCACAAAGGCTCTGACTCAGTGATGGAGGGCAGCCCTCTGGAAGAATGCCCTGGAGACTGTAAGCAGGATGCCCAGGTTATCACATCTCTTGATGGAATCATTGCATTTTTTTTTTTTAAGATGAGGTCAGTGATCCTAGCCTAGCCCTTGGCTCTTCCTGTATATAAGATAAATTCTGAGGGATTAGTGACTATGCCTCTGTAATCAGTAACAAGATGTACTCTCACACCCAAACTTTGATGGCACTTTGCTCTAACGTAACTTGTGAGCATGTTTAATGTAACTTATGAGCAGATGCAGAACTGCCACCCCCTGATACAGGGGCTGAAATACTGCTTGGGAATCTCTCTGAAAGATTCTCCTGGGTTACAGTCTTCAGTAAGACTGAATAAAACTAAATTTTCTTTTTTAAAAGCCTGATTTTTTTCCTTTAGTTGACAATCCATTTGAAGTTTGTACTATTCTGTGCCTCTTAGTTATGCCATAGACATGGATTATGAGGGTTTTTTCAGTTAATTTTTTTTTCTTTTAGCAATACCCATGTAGCCTCATCTCTTCATTATTTTTAAAGTTTTATGGAGGTTATGTGGAGGCATTTGGATTTAGGTGGTTACCATGTTTTTTAGGGGAAGCTATAGTTCTCTTCTGTTTTCTTGAGCATATTAGTCAAAGATATTTTAAAGTCTGGATCTGATAACTTTAACACCTGTGTTTCCTATAGGTCTGTTTCTTTTATTTTTTCCTTCTTATAGATTTGTCTCCTGGTATGCCTAGTAATTGTCAGTTGAATGTCAGATACTAATTTTTTCCAAAGAGGGTTTGTTTTTGTTTCTGGCAGGTAGGTAGAATAGAGACAGTTTAACAATATAGTCAGAGATTGAGATGATATATAGTTGGGTTTCATTCTACAGATACACTTCTGGTTTATTGCAAGCAGTTCCCAAACTTCAAGTTTTTTTCCCCCTAGTCTGTGATACTGCTAACAGCTCTACTTAGCTTCCCAGCCTCTTGAGAATTGGCAAATGACTTGGGAAAATTCATGCTGAAAGTTGAGGTTACTTCCCTGTACTTCTCTTTTGTTCAAGATTTTGGACCCTTGAGTCTTGGCTGCATTAGTAGCTCTCTCATGCCTGCATATAGATGTTTTCTGTATTTTACCTAGTTTTTCTAGTTATTCTTATTGGAAGGGTCAGTCTGTTGTAAACTAATCTTCCATAACCTCTCCAGTGAGTTTTTATTTTCAATTAGTGTATATTTAATTTGTTCAAATGTCTTTCCAACCTTCTAGATCATTTATTTTTAATTTTCTTTCTGTGGAGGTATTTTCCCAGTGTAAAAAATAATTTTAAATGTATTAGCATGGTTATTTTATAATCTACATTTGATAATCCTAATAAATGAAATCCTTGCAGGTTTATTTTGGCTGGTTCTTTTTCATGGTGCCATGTTTTCTTGTTTACTGTATTTAATAGTTTGTTCTACCAGATGACATTCATGTCTGCTACAGTCTGGCACCCAGGAACACTACCACTTGGGCACCACTCTGTGTTTATTTATTTGGGGGGCGGTACTTATTTTTGTGATGTGAATTTAGATTGTATCTCTGAGAGCCCATTTGCGGTTACGAGTTCTTGTGGTTTTTTGTTTTCCCCTGCTTTGCTTATCATCAAAGCAACTTTTCTTTTAGTCCCCTAGGTCCAGACTTCTCATCACCTTTACGTTGAGGGGATAACTCTTTGATGTCTCAGCTTCCTGGGAGGAGAGTCTCCTGTTAGACTCTTAGGTGGTGGTTATTTTTAAATTTTTATTTTATTTATTTATTTAATTTTTGGGGGAGGAGAGTGTCCTGTTAGACTTTTAGGTGGCGTTTATTTTTTAATTTTTATTTTATTTATTTATTTATTTAATTTTTTGAGATGAAGTCTCACTGTGTCACCCAGGCTGGAGTGCAGTGCTGCCATCTCGGCTCACTGCAGCTTCTGCCTCCCATGTTCAAGCAATTCTCCTGTCTCAGCCTCCCAATTAGCTGGGATTACAGGCACCCACCACCACACTTGGCTAATTTTTGTATTTTTAGTAGAGACGAGGTTTCACCATGTTGGCCAGGCTGGTCTTGAACTCCTGACCTCAGATGATCCGCCCACCTCAGCTTCCGAAAGTGCTAGGATTACAGGCGTGAGCCACCATGCCTGGCCCTATTTTTGTTTTCTGTTCTTCATTTGAAATAAGATCTGTAAGTCTAAAGATCTTGTCAGAATGGCTGACCAAATATCCTCAGGGCAAAGACAGATTCAGCACTCCTTACCATCTCTGAGTTTGCACTTTCACTTCAATTTTGGATTGGTAGTTTCTTCTCAACTCTTGGATCCTGTCAAGATGTTTTTGTATTTTGCCTTGCATTTTTAGTTGTTGTTAGTTATGAAATTGGTACAAATGCTTTGGTTTTCTACATTGCCTGAAACAGAACTTTCTGTTTTATTACATAATTTGGAGAGCCATTCATAACACCTTTCTTTTAAACTTATCATTTTCTTTCTACTACACACGCATACCTACCTTTAAAAGGAGACAAATTCTACTTTTTAAACTTTGCTTTTAGAGAAAAGGTTTTGAAATGCATCTAGTGTTTTCCCTAAAGTTGAGTTTTACTTTTGATTCAGAATTCTCTACTATTTGTAACATTTTTCAGTTCTACGAACCCTGAAATCATTTTCAGAAGGCAGAGATTTAGGCTACAATCAATTTATTTGGGATATTTCTGTAATTAGAATAATTTATTTGTATTTAAGTCGCATTTCTTTTAGTAGTGAACAATAAGTAAAGGTGTAACAAGAAAAGCAGGGGTACTCACCTTCTATTTTTTATTGCACTGCTTAGTTTCCCATTTCCTGAGTGATTAGAATTTGGTAAATTGGTGGAATTTTTTTGTCAGTTTGTATATTCATTGGATTACTTCTTCTAAATAATTTCAGAATTTACTTTATATCTTTTAAGGTGTGAGTACCTCAAAGACAAGGACTTGTTTTGAGATTACTTTAAAATAGTTTCCTTTTATGAAAGATTACCTAATCAATATTAGGTGACAGAGATGTTTTATGTTAGAATAATATAGAACTTTAATGTTCCTTTAGTATTTAGTTTTGTAAATGAATACGAAAAGTGATCATCTTGTAATATGTTTTTCAATTCACTTTCTTCTTTCCTCAGAAAGTAGAAAAGGTACTAAAACCGTCATTTCTTTCCTAATCTTCATGAATAATTTCTTACTGGCCCTGGGTGAGAGGCTGTTTTCAAGGCCATCTTATGGTATCCACAAAGGTAGAGTTTAGACCTTGCAGTTTAAGCCTCTGTGAAAGTGCTTCTAAATTACCGAAGTGAAGAGAGCTTACACTTAATCTTTGGATAATTTCAGTTGTGGACTTTAGAATGAATCAGCTAGGGGGAAAAATGTTCCTTATTAGAAGCATAAAACCTACTGACTCTGTCTTGGCCAGTGTTCGCTTTTTTCCAGTAAGCTGTCTGCTATACAGAGGTGTATAACCCTAATGGCTTGTTGTATGCCATTAAAAGGTATTGTACACTCATAAAAGAATGACATTTTGATCAATGCTGTTAAAAGAATTACTGTCTTGACACAGAAAAGCTTTCCTGCTGCAAGTTTAAAAATATGCCTTTAAAAGCTTTTTATTGAATACCTTTGCATCCCTCAGAAATGTGCCATTTTGGCATGAGGTTATTCTGCAGTATTCCATATTGTAAATTAAATGCAAAACCCCCTATTTACCTTTAGAAATAGCAGAGGTATTTCCCTACCAAATAGAGCTTAAAGACTTGGTAGCATCTTAAACCACTGTTGGTGATCTGAAAATAGAATTTTTTAAAAAGAGAAAGCTGAAAACTAAATTATTATTTTTTATTTTGTGAGTTATTGATTTTTTCGTGCTGTTTTGTTTAAACTTTGTGGTTTAATTTCCCTCTGGATTTAAGAATTATGCCTTTCCACCCAGTTCAGAGATACATTTTTTCTAGTCATCTGGGAATTGGTTGTCTTAAATGGTGACATGCTGGATGTGGTACTGTTTCTTTTTCTTTTATTATATTTTTGATTAGGAGTTGATGAAAACCACGTCATAATAGACACATTCTTTCATGTTTCTTCTATACGCAGCTGGTCTTTTACAAATTTTCTTATCTATCATTGCTGTTGTTTTAGCTTTTTTCTTTTTTTTTTTACATATTTATTTATTTATTTATTTATTATTAGTATTATTATTATTTTTTAATTATACTTTAAGTTTTAGGGTACATGTGCACAATATGCAGGTTAGTTACATATGTATACATGTGCCATGCTGGTGCGCTGCACCCACTAACTCGTCATCTAGCATTAGGTATATCTCCCAATGCTATCCCTCCACCCTCCTCCCTCCCCACGACAGTCCCCAGAGTGTGATATTCCCCTTCCTGTGTCCATGTGATCTCATTGTTCAATTCCCACCTATGAGTGAGAATATGCGGTGTTTGGTTTTTTGTTCTTGCAATAGTTTACTGAGAATGATGGTTTCCAATTTCATCCATGTCCCTACAAAGGACATGAACTCATCATTTTTTATGGCTGCATAGTATTCCATGGTGTATATGTGCCACATTTTCTTAATCCAGTCTATCATTGTTGGACATTTGGGTTGGTTCCAAGTCTTTGCTATTGTGAATAATGCCGCAATAAACATATGTGTGCATGTGTCTTTATAGCAGCATGATTTATAGTCATTTGGGTATATACCCAGTAATGGGATGGCTGGGTCAAATGGTATTTCTAGTTCTAGATCCCTGAGGAATCGCCACACTGACTTCCACAATGGTTGAACTAGTTTACAGTCCCACCAACAGTGTAAAAGTGTTCCTATTTCTCCACATCCTCTCCAGCACCTGTTGTTTCCTGACTTTTTAATGATTGCCATTCTAACTGGTGTGAGATGGTATCTCATAGTGGTTTTGATTTACATTTCTCTGATGGCCAGTGATGATGAGCATTTTTTCATGTGTTTTTTGGCTGCATAAATGTCTTCTTTTGAGAAGTGTCTGTTCATGTCCCTCGCCCACTTTTTGATGGGGTTGTTTGTTTTTCTCTTGTAAATTTGTTTGAGTTCATTGTAGATTCTGGATATTAGCCCTTTGTCAGATGAGTAGGTTGTGAAAATTTTCTCCCATGTTGTAGGTCACCTGTTCACTCTGATGGTAGTTTCTTTTGCTGTGCAGAAGCTCTTTAGTTTAATTAGATCCCATTTGTCAATTTTGGCTTTGGTTGCCATTGCTTTTGGTGTTTTGGACGTGAAGTCCTTGCCCACGCCTATGTCCTGAATGGTAATGCCCAGGTTTTCTTCTAGGGTTTTTATGGTTTTAGGTCTAACATTTAAGTCTTTAATCCACCTTGAATTAATTTTTGTATAAGGTGTAAGGAAGGGATCCAGTTTCAGCTTTCTACATATGGCTAGCCAGTTTTCCCAGCACCATTTATTAAATAGGGAATCCTTTCCCCATTGCTTGTTTTTTTCAGGTTTGTCAAAGATCAGATAGTTGTAGGTATGCAGCGTTATTTCTGAGGGCTCTGTTCTGTTCCATTGATCTATATCTCTGTTTTGGTACCAGTACCATGCTGTTTTGGTTACTGTAGCCTTGTAGTATAGTTTGAAGTCAGGTAGTGTGATGCCTCCAGCTTTGTTCTTTTGGCTTAGGATTGACTTGGCGATGTGGGCTCTTTTTTGGTTCCATATGAACTTTAAAGTAGTTTTTTCCAATTCTGTGAAGAAAGTCATTGGTAGCTTGATGGGGATGGCATTGAATCTGTAAATTACCTTGGGCAGTATGGCCATTTTCACGATATTGATTCTTCCTACCCATGAGCATGGAATGTTCTTCCATTTGTTTGTATCCTCTTTTATTTCCTTGAGCAGTGGTTTGTAGTTCTCCTTGAAGAGGTCCTTCACATCCCTTGTAAGTTGGATTCCTAGGTATTTTATTCTCTTTGAAGCAATTGTGAATGGGAGTTCACTCATGATTTGGCTCTCTGTTTGTCTGTTGTTGGTGTATAGGAATGCTTGTGATTTTTGTACATTGATTTTGTATCCTGAGACTTTACTGAAGTTGCTTATCAGCTTAAGGAGATTTTGGGCTGAGACCATGGGGTTTTCTAGATAAACAATCATGTCATCTGCAAACAGGGACAATTTGACTTCCTCTTTTCCTAATTGAATACCCTTTATTTCCTTCTCCTGCCTGATTGCCCTGGCCAGAACTTCCAACACTATGTTGAATAGGAGCGGTGAGAGAGGGCATCCCTGTCTTGTGCCAGTTTTCAAAGGGAATGCTTCCAGTTTTTGCCCATTCAGTATGATATTGGCTGTGGGTTTGTCATAGATAGCTCTTATTATTTTGAAATACGTCCCATCAATACCTAATTTATTGAGAGTTTTTAGCATGAAGGGTTGTTGAATTTTGTCAAAGGCTTTTTCTGCATCTATTGAGATAATCATGTGGTTTTTGTCTTTGGCTCTGTTTATATGCTGGATTACATTTATTGATTTGCGTATATTGAACCAGCCTTGCATCCCAGTGATGAAGCCCACTTGATCATGGTGGATAAGCTTTTTGATGTGCTGTTGGATTCGGTTTGCCAGTATTTTATTGAGGATTTTGGCATCAATGTTCATCAAGGATATTGGTCTAAAATTCTCTTTTTTGGTTGTGTCTCTGCCCGGCTTTGGTATCAGAATGATGCTGGCCTCATAAAATGAGTTAGGGAGGATTCCCTCTTTTTCTATTGATTGGAATAGTTTCAGAAGGAATGGTACCAGTTCCTCCTTGTACCTCTGGTAGAATTCGGCTGTGAATCCATCTGGTCCTGGACTCTTTTTGGTTGGTAAACTATTGATTATTGCCACAATTTCAGCTCCTGTTATTGGTCTATTCAGAGATTCAACTTCTTCCTGGTTTAGTCTTGGGAGGGTGTATGTGTCGAGGAATGTATCCATTTTTTCTAGATTTTCTAGTTTATTTGCGTAGAGGTGTTTGTAGTATTCTCTGATGGTAGTTTGTATTTCTGTGGGATCGGTGGTGATATCCCCTTTATCATTTTTTATTGTGTCTATTTGATTCTTCTCTCTTTTTTTCTTTATTAGTCTTGCTAGCGGTCTATCAATTTTGTTGATCCTTTCAAAAAACCAGCTCCTGGATTCATTGATTTTTTGAAGGGTTTTTTGTGTCTCTATTTCCTTCAGTTCTGCTCTGATTTTAGTTATTTCTTGCCTTCTGCTAGCTTTTGAATGTGTTTGCTCTTACTTTTCTAGTTCTTTTAATTGTGATGTTAGGGTGTCAATTTTGGATCTTTCCTGCTTTCTCTTGTGGGCATTTAGTGCTATAAATTTCCCTCTACACACTGCTTTGAATGTGTCCCAGGGATTCTGGTATGTTGTGTCTTTGTTCTCGTTGGTTTCAAAGAACATCTTTATTTCTGCCTTCATTTCGTTATGTACCCAGTAGTCATTCAGGAGCAGGTTGTTCAGTTTCCATGTAGTTGAGCGGCTTTGAGTGAGATTCTTAATCCTGAGTTCTAGTTTGATTGCACTGTGGTCTGAGAGATAGTTTGTTATAATTTCTGTTCTTTTACATTTGCTGAGGAGAGCTTTACTTCCAACTATGTGGTCAATTTTGGAATAGGTGTGGTGTGGTGCTGAAAAAAATGTATATTCTGTTGATTTGGGGTGGAGAGTTCTGTAGATGTCTATTAGGTCCACTTGGTGCAGAGCTGAGTTCAATTCCTGGGTATCCTTGTTGACTTTCTGTCTCGTTGATCTGTCTAATGTTGACAGTGGGGTGTTAAGGTCTCCCATTATTAATGTGTGGGAGTCTAAGTCTCTTTGTAGGTCACTCAGTACTTGCTTTATGAATCTGGGTGCTCCTGTATTGTGTGCATATATATTTAGGATAGTTAGCTCCTCTTGTTGAATTGATCCCTTTACCATTATGTAATGGCCTTCTTTGTCTCTTTTGATCTTTGTTGGTTTAAAGTCTGTTTTATCAGAGACTAGGATTGCAACCCCTGCCTTTTTTTGTTTTCCATTTGCTTGGTAGATCTTCCTCCATCCTTTTATTTTGAGCCTATGTGTGTCTCTACACGTGAGATGGGTTTCCTGAATACAGCACACTGATGGGTCTTGACTCTTTATCCAACTTGCCAGTCTGTGTCTTTTAATTGCAGAATTTAGTCCATTTACATTTAAAGTTAATATTGTTATGTGTGAATTTGATCCTGTCATTATGATGTTAGCTGGTGATTTTGCTCGTTAGTTGATGCAGTTTCTTCCTAGTCTTGATGGTCTTTACATTTTGGCATGATTTTGCAGCGGCTGGTACCGGTTGTTCCTTTCCATGTTTAGCGCTTCCTTCAGGAGCTCTTTTAGGGCAGGCCTGGTGGTGACAAAATCTCTCAGCATTTGCTTGTCTGTAAAGTATTTTATTTCTCCTTCACTTATGAAGCTTAGTTTGGCTGGATATGAAATTCTGGGTTGAAAATTCTTTTCTTTAAGAATGTTGAATATTGGCCCCCACTCTCTCTGGCTTGTAGGGTTTCTGCCGAGAGATCCGCTGTTAGTCTGATGGGCTTCCCTTTGAGGGTAACCCGACCTTTCTCTCTGGCTGCCCTTAACATTTTTTCCTTCATTTCAACTTTGGTGAATCTGACAATTATGTGTCTTGGAGTTGCTCTTCTCGAGGAGTATCTTTGTGGCATTCTCTGTATTTCCTGAATGTGAGCATTGGCCTCCCTTGCTAGATTGGGGAAGTTCTCCTGGATAATATCCTGCAGAGTGTTTTCCAACTTGGTTCCATTCTCCGCATCACTTTCAGGTACACCCATCAGAGGTAGATTTGGTCTTTTCACATAGTCCCATATTTCTTGGAGGCTTTGCTCATTTCTTTTTATTCTTTTTTCTCTAAACTTCCCTTCTTGCTTCATTTCATTCATTTCATCTTCCATCGCTGATACCCTTTCTTCCAGTTGATCGCATTGGCTCCTGAGGCTTCTGCATTCTTCACGTAGTTCTTGAGCCTTGGTTTTCAGCTCCATCAGCTCCTTTAAGCACTTCTCTGTATTGGTTATTCTAGTTATACATTCTTCTAAATTCTTTTCAAAGTTTTCAACTTCTTTGCCTTTGGTTTGAATGTCCTCCCGTAGCTCAGAGTAATTTGATCGTCTGAAGCCTTCCTCTCTCAGCTCGTCAAAATCATTCTCCATCCAGCTTTGTTCCGTTGCTGGTGAGGAACTGCGTTCCTTTGGAGGAGGAGAGGCGCTCTGCGTTTTAGAGTTTCCAGTTTTTCTGTTCTGTTTTTTCCCCATCTTTGTGGCTTTATCTACTTTTGGTCTTTGATGATGGTGATGTACAGATGGGTTTTCGGTGTGGATGTCCTTTCTGTTTGTTAGTTTTCCTTCTAACAGACAGGACCCTCAGCTGCAGGTCTGTTGGAATACCCTGCCGTGTGAGGTGTCAGTGTGCCCTGCTGGGGGGTGCCTCCCAGTTAGGCTGCTCGGGGGTCAGGGGTCAGGGACCCACTTGAGGAGGCAGTCTGCCCGTTCTCAGATCTCCAGCTGCGTGCTGGGAGAACCACTGCTCTCTTCAAAGCTGTCAGACAGGGACATTTAAGTCTGCAGAGGTTACTGCTGTCTTTTTGTTTGTCTGTGCCCTGCCCCCAGAGGTGGAGCCTACAGAGGCAGGCAGGCCTCCTTGAGCTGTGGTGGGCTCCACCCAGTTTGAGCTTCCCAGCTGCTTTGTTTACCTAAGCAAGCCTGGGCAATGGCGGGCGCCCCTCCCCCAGCCTCGCTGCCGACTTGCAGTTTGATCTCAGACTGCTGTGCTAGCAATCAGCGAGATTCTGTGGGCGTAGGACCCTCCAAGCCAGGTGTGGGATATAGTCTCGTGGTGCACCGTTTTTTAAGCCGGTCTGAAAAGCGCAATATTCGGGTGGGAGTGACCCGCTTTTCCAGGTACGTCCGTCACCCCTTTCTTTGACTCGGAAAGGGAACTCCCTGACCCCTTGCGCTTCCCAGGTGAGGCAATGCCTCGCCCTGCTTCGGCTTGCGCACGGTGCGCGCACCCACTGGCCTGCGCCCACTGTCTGGCACTCCCTAGTGAGATGAACCCGGTACCTCAGATGGAAATGCAGCAATCACCCGTCTTCTGCGTCGCTCACGCTGGGAGCTGTAGACCGGAGCTGTTCCTATTCGGCCATCTTGGCTCCTCCCCCTGTTTTAGCTTTTTTCATACTTTGTAAGCCTTCTACTGTTACCTAACTTCTGACTTTTTATCTTTTGTGAAACTGAGCATTTTAAAATTCAATATCTTGAAAACCATTTCTTACATGTGTCACTACAAAGTGATTATTTACTAGATAGATAATATTGTACTTTTTGAATCTGATTTTAATCCCACTCTAATGAACTTTTCACACATTTCAGGGTATGGACATATTTTAGGATAGATTAGCATTGATTTTATTTAGCATGTTGGCTTTATCAGTCTGGTCTACTTTTACTTATGAAGCAGGTATTTTTTGTGTTGCTGGTGATGGTGGTTGTGTTTTTATTATCATTAAGTGTCAGATGATTTATATATGTTGATAACACTAAAACATGTTACAGTTATGTGCCATGTTCTCTGCTAAAATACTTCCTATGGCTCAGAGAAATCATAAAACTTGATCAAACAATGAGTAAGTTGTGGAGTTGGGATTCAAACAGATAGTCTGACTCTCAACAGTTGTGCTCTTCTAACTCTTTTTTTAATCTTATGTAATTGTTCTAGGTAGTATTATCCCCTTTTTAACAAATAAGGGACCTGAAGCTCAGAGTTCATACTTTGCCCATTGATACACAGTAAAGGAATGGCAGAGCTGGCATTTGAAACAAGCCTGTTTGACTTCAAAGGGTATCTTCTACTATGTTGTACTCATTTTTCCTTCAGCCTTCTCGTTACACGCCCTTCTCTTAATTATTTTTTGTTGTATTCAAACATGGCTTTTATTAGGAATATTAGAATAAGAATTTGCCTCATGATTTTTGTTTAATGATTTGAAGAGTAGCATACTGAAAAGATAATTGGACTAGGTGTCAGGAGAGTTGGATACTTTTACTGTCTCTGATTCTGGCCATATGACATTGGACAAATCACCTCTGAGAGGTCTTATTTATAAAATGAGGGTTTTGGACTAGGTGATTTTAAAGGTTTCTGCAAACTCTAAAATCCAATTTGACTATATTTTGATTTAATGTTTACACCTATTATTTTAGTATGGATAAAATTTTATCACCTGTAATTCAGGCCATTAAATGCTATTTTTTATTAATGTTAGGGGACAAGAAGCTCTCTACTTGCACTATTACATCTAACGTTGAAATTCAATAATGGGAAGAAATTCCACATCAAGAAGTAATTTTATTACAAGGATGCTCTTTCCCTCCCTCTCCCCGTACCCCTCCCCCGGCTCTTCCCCTTCTTCCCTCCTTCCCTTTCCTTCCTTCCTTCCTTCCTTCCTTCCTTCCTTCCTTTCTTCTTTCTGAGAGTCTCACCCTGTCACTCAGGCTAGGGTGCAGTGGCAAGATCATGGCTTACCAGTTTGATCCAACTACCTCAGCCTCTCAAGTAGCTAGGACTACAGGTGTGCACCACCATGCCTGGTTCATTTTACAGTTTTTTGTAGAGAGGTGGTCTTGCTGTGTTGCTCATACTGGTCTTTAACTCCTGGCCTCAAGCGATCCTCCCGCCTCAGCTTCCCAGCCTGCCTGCTAGGATTACAGACATGAGCCACCGTGCCCAGCCAACACTCTGTCTTTTAAACTACTCAAAAGTCTCATAGTTTTTACAGTCAGAATAACTCTGGAAGTCTAAAAATTATAAAAGGAGAAAACCATTTTTAAAAGAAAACATTTCCACCAAAGAATACAGGAATAGGCAACTGCCACCTTCAAAGTACTTGTAAGTTTTTATCTGTACAGCAATACTATTAGCAATAGTAATAATATTTATTGGGAATTAATTTTGTGCTACTGTATTGTACTAAGCATTTTATGTACATTGTGTCATTCAATACTCATGAAAACACTGAGGTAGGTACTATTATCCCCATTTTACATACTGGTAAATAGAAAATTAATGAGGCTAAGTAATTTATCTCAAGGTTACATTCTTGATAAGTGGTAAGCTGAGAATACCTCAGAGATTTTCCTCATATTTACAAATAGAATAATTGTCACAGGTTCCTCTGATAACACTTAGTGAGGTGAATATGATTTAAACATGAGACTTTAGGAAGGAGTGCATCTGATGACTTGTCCAAAATGGCAGTTTGTAAGTTCTCAGATTTGATCACTGCCAGTTACATATATTAATGATATGGTCATAAATAATAGCTTTTGGAAAATTTTACAACACCACATGTTTTCTGAAGAGTGAGTAAATGCATTTTAAGTTTTAGAGAAGCATTCCTTTTTTATTTTATTT
This sequence comes from Homo sapiens, assembly GCF_000001405.40. Classification (NCBI taxonomy): domain Eukaryota; kingdom Metazoa; phylum Chordata; class Mammalia; order Primates; family Hominidae; genus Homo; species Homo sapiens. The sequence continues at coordinate 72,625,022 of NC_000016.10, read as the reverse complement.
TATTTTTTTGAGACTGAGTCTGGCTCTGTCGCCCGGGCTGGAGTGCAGTGGTGCCATCTTGGCTCACTGCAAGCTCCGCCTCCTGGGTTCACGCTATTCTCCTGTCTCAGCCTCCCGAGTAGCTGGGACTGCAGGCGCCTGCCACCATGCCCAGCTAATTTTTTGTATGTTTAGTGGCGATGGCGTTTCACCATGTTAGCCAGGATGGTCTCGATCTTCTGACCTCGTGATCCGCCTGCCTCAGCCTCCCAAAGTGCAGGGATTACAGGCGTGAGCCACTGCGCCCGGCCTAGAAAAACATTCTTTAGAGTTGGGGATGTGAATGGGTAAGGGAGAGAGTGTGTGTGTGTGTGTTTGTGTGTGTGTGCACATACACATGTTCATGCATCTGTTGGTAGCTGTAGATTAGGGTGACTGTCTCAGTTTGCCCAGGCTTGAATTTCTGGATCATGGAACTTTCAGTGCTAAAACTAGGAAAGTTCTGAGTAAACCAGCACAAGTATGTATGCATATATACACTGATACATGTATATATGTGGGCGTGTGTATGTATGTATAATAGTGGGCTATGGGAAGTCAGATCTTGCAGAGAGTAAAACTGCTCTGAATTCATTGCCTAGACTGATGCTTGTCTGTTTTATTAACAGACAGCTTTAGTCTCCTGTGTTTTCCCCATTTCAGATAACCTTTTCTTGTCATCTAAGAAATTAATTTCTTTGTTGGAATCATTGCAAGTAAACTTGATAGCAGGAATGCTGTTATTGAGGCAGCTTACACAGTGATTTGCTAAGTATAGCCTCCTCCTAAAAGGTGAAGCAGAAGTCATTTTATTGATTACTACTAGGAACCTGTTGAACTACCTGATTTTTACCCCTTCTTCTGAAGCCCACTATTTCTATTTCTCTTTATACCTTAGCATTTAGTTGGAAGCATTTTCTAACATGTATTTTCACATCATGTTTTTATTTATTTTTTTTATTTTTTTGCTATTTGCTTCTTTCTACCATAGAATTGGAACTGTTTAAAAACTATTTTTAGGCTAAGCCACATGAAATTATCAAGATTTGACTGTTTTTGACCCATAGAAATGGAATTTTATATGATTCAACTAATAGTTAATTCAACTTTCGGTTATTTAGAAATATTAGTCTACTAATTTAAATTTATGTGTGGAGTATTCCATTGAAACCCTGGTTAATGTTAGAGGAGAACTAAGGTGAACTTTGGGCTAATAACTCCATGCTGCCTATTTGCTAAAAAATATTTTTTAAAAGGTATAGCTTGTGGGAACACTGAGCATTGCACAGTCATTAATATTAGTCACTTAAAATTTATCTTAGTCAAATGTTAAGACTAAATTTAATCATTTTTCTTAGAATTTTGACCTACTATGTTAATTTTAAGCTAGAGTAGGTTATATATATGTTCATTTTTGATTCATGTTTGTGAATGCTCCTTTCATGGAATCAGAAGTAAAATTGTTGCCGTATTGCTAATAAAAACAAATACCAACCAACAAGATAACTTCGTGTCTTTTGGATGTTCAGTTGGAGTCAGGGTTTGCCTTTTTGGATAATTTAGGCTCCTAGAACCTAAAGTAGTTAAATGAGTGACTACAAGGAGTGACTATGATTTTTTTTTTTTAAAGAAATGTAGCCGCTGTATACGGTGGCTCAGGCCTGTAATCCCAGCACTTTGGGAGGCTGAGGCAGACAGATCACCTGAGGTCGGGAGTTCGAGACCAGCCTGACCAACATGGAGAAACCCATCTCTACTAAAAATACAAAATTAGCCGGGCGTGGTGATGCATGCCTATAATCCCAGCTTTCCAGGAGGCTGAGGCGGGAGAATCATTTGAACCCAGGAGGCAGGGATTGCGGTGAGCTGAGATCGCACCATTGCACTCCAGCCTGGGCAACAAGAGCAAAACTCCATCTCAAAAAAAAAAAAAAAAGAAAAAGAAAAAGAAATGTAGCCAGCTACTATTTGTTTCAGCCTTATATGCTATCATAATTTTGAGATTCTTGTGGTATGTAAAAAATTGCACATGTGAATATGTGATAATAAAAATACTTTTTTTTTTTCTCTTGCGCCATTAATTCCATGTAGTACAACACTTGGCCTATAAAAATGAAAGGATTTCTTTATGGCCCCTAGTTGTGTATGCAGTAGACTAAGCAGATGCTGAGAATTTTGACTTAATACAACGACTCAACCTTATAGAAATAGTAACCTATCATGGAATTTTGGGTAGTTGCTGGGCGTGGTGACTCACGCCTGTAATCCCAGCACTTTGGGTGGCTGAGGCAGGCGGATCACTTGAGGAGTTTTAGACCGGCCTGGCCAACATGTGAAACCCCATCTCTATTAAAAATAAAAAATTGGCTGCGTGTGGTGGCACACGCCTGTAATCCCAGCTACTTGGGAAGCTAAGGCAGGAAAATCGCTTGAACCCGGGAGGCGGAAGTTGCAGTGAGCCGAGATAGCGCCACTGCACTCCAGCCTGGGCGACAGAGCGAGATTCTGCACCGCCCCCACCGCCCCCCGCCCAAAAAAAAAAAGAATTTTGGGTAACTAACTGTAGCTTTAAGACTTTTGTATCTCTTAAACTCTAAAAGTGACCTTGGAGAAAGATGTATATTTTAACAGTGCATTGAAAAATTGGAGTTGATTCTTTTTTCTATCATGATCTTTCTTATATACTTTTGGCAAGTGTATATGTCTCTTGTTCTGCCTCTGTCATCAGTATCAAACATTTTGACTGTTCTTTATTATTGAAGTATTATACTCAGTCTTATGTATTTTTCACAAACTACTTTGTGACTATGATATGCATGAGTTGTGGTTTGGTAGATCTTTTCAGGAACAAATCATTATCAGGGCTATTTAAAAACTACTTTCTTGGCTGGGCCTGGTGGCTCACACTTGTAATCGCAGCACTTTGGGAGTCCAAGGCAGGAGGATTGATTGAGCCCAGGAATTCAAGACCAGCCATATCCTGTTTCTGCAAAGAATATTCAAAAAAATTAGCCAGGCATGGTAGCACACACCTGTAGTCCTTGCTCTTCAGGCAGGAGGATTGCTTGAGTCCAGGGATTTGAGGCTGCAGTGAGCTACGATTTTACAATTGCATTCCAGCTGGGTGACAGAATAAGACCTTGTCTCTAAACACACACACACACGCACATACACAAACCCAAAAAACCTCTCCTAAGTCATTGGAATATTATTAGAAACTCCATTACGAAATAATAGACCTAAATGTAGTGAAACATGTTCCATTGCTCTAGTATGTCTAACTGGAATCTATCCTTAAACAGTTTAGCTTGGAAAGCTGAAAAACAAGTGTGAAACTTGATCAAATGGGAATCTGAAGTATAGCTTTTCTTGGAGACTAAGTTCTTGGGGCAGTTGACTAGAGGACATGATGTTTCTTGATCACAAAGCTTTTTTGATGACAAAGATTCACATATTGTAAGTGTACAGTTTGATGAATTTTTATAACCTAAAGATACCTATGTAACTAGCACCTTGATCAAGAAACAAAACATAACTGCTACTCTTTCTCTTAGTCCTTGCATCTAAACTAAACATCGGGCTCTATCCACCTAGCTAAATTTTAGTTGAGTATTATGTAATTTAGATTTAAAAACTATGTGAAGAGCAAGACTACTTAGTATTTATGCAAAATATCCAGGTAGTTATATTATTTTCATCTTTGGCATACTAACTATGGCATACTACTATTCAATTTAATTCTACAGAATTTTAAATGTCTAGTATTTCATTAATTGGCTTTGTGATTGCTGAAAAAAGACCTAGACTGTTTTCTGAGTGCTATCCTGATTTTTCTGATTAACTACATTGCTTGTACAGTGACTGACATTCAAAGCTGATTTGACTGGCTCCTTAAGTTTCTCTGTTTTGAGCTTCTGGGATTACAAAACTCAATCATATGCAGATAGTTTGCCATTCATACTGACAGTTCTGCCAGGTCAGATGGTGCAATTATCGTGCATGCTGCCAAGATCATTGTTATTGCTAGGTGTTTGGTTTTCTTCTTTTCACCCCTTCTTCTTGAAATCCAGGTGGAAGCTGTGCTCTCTGAAGGTGTAAAGCTAGAACGTCAATCTGACACTTCCACTTGGCTTTAGCTTCTCTGTTGAGTTTCCATCCATGTGTGCTGAGCTGTTCAAGTCACAGCCCCAAACTCAGTGTTTTTCAGTAATGTTTTGTCAGAGAAAGGTCTGTCCTTTTTGGTGAGATTGAAATGAGTGATATGCTTTCGACACTATTGGCAAGTGGCTTTCACGGTCCATGGCAGATCTAATGAGTTACACCTGCTTGCTTGGAAAATTCAGCGTTCAGTGGTCTGAAAGGATCCCTGGAATATGGGCTTTAGTGCCTGCATGCATTAAAACAACAACGACAACAGTAACAACACAAACTTATAAATACACTATAAATTGCTTTGTAAGCTATTTTGTAACCTAACATTCAAAGGTTTTTAGTTTCAACTGCAATAATTGGTTTTTGCAGAAACCTGGTAAAATGAATATTATGAACTATTTGACAAAACTAGTTTTGCATCAGACAATGAATTTATGATATGTTTGTTCTACAAAGTCAGTTGTATATTCATATTTAAGAGTAACTAAATTATATAAAACTGCTTTCTACAGTGTCGATTATGTACACTAATCTTTTCTGGGGCCGTCACCCTTCTTTCTGCCTATACAACTAGGCATACCATGAAATGGGAATAAATTGTTATGCATGAAAGTATATAACAGAGTATGCTAGATTTGTGGTTCAGTAGACCATCTAGTGTATAAGCACAGTTTTACCCAAGGATCAGGGTTGCAACTTCACTTATTTCTGTTATTCCAATATGGAGAGTGATCTCTTATATTTATAATTCTCATGTAGAAAAGTAACTAGACTATTTTGTCTGAATTCGTGTGAGGTAAGTGTTCCATCTCAAAGTCGAAGGAAACCCTGTTTATGGTATCTTATTAATCTAATTAAACTGCTTTACTATATCAGTTTTAAGAAAGTTTTCTCTTGAAATGGCTTGATTATTCAGGGAGACATTTGGGGGTTATATAGGTGATTATTTTTATATCAACTATAAGAATGGCTCAAGCAAAACATTTCCTGACATTTGTAAGCAAAACTGCCTACCTTTGAAAGCCGGTTTTTGCTTTCCTATGAAAAAGGGGGGCTGTCATTGCCCTTGGGAAAGAAGATGTAGGTACAAAGAAGTACAAACAGAAGTCATTCAATAGCATTGCACAGATTAGTGAATTCACTATTGAGCATTCTAATAGTTATTGCTATAAAATAGAGCAAATGGAGCTTGTCTACTAACATGTGAAGTTTCCTCATTGCAAGTAGATACCAGTTCTTTGACTTTAATGTGAGAATCTAGATTCAAGAAGGCATGAATCTGATACAGCTCTTGTGGTGCGTGGATTGATTTAGGACATATAGAGAATCTGCAAACAATGCAGAACAAGGGTAAAAAAAATTAGGCTCTAAAACAGGATCAGGATGGGAATGTTTTCCTTATTTATACTTTTTCTCTAGTAAGGACCTTGGAAGTTAACATCAGAATGACATTCTATATTTATAATTGGAATATGTTTGTTGTATATTAGTTGATGAGTAAAGTAAGAAACAAAAGGGGTGGAAAACTGTGACTTTTCCAAGAACAGAATGTGTAAAAAGTTAAGGTAGATAGAAAAACAAGGAGGACAGTAGTAGACATTAAGGGATCTTCACTAAGATCATAAATTGCATAAACCCCCTTGTTTTTCTCAGGTACCTCTTCTCATTGTCATCTTTGTGACCCAATTTCTTCTTTTTTTTTTTATTTTGAGATGGAGTCTCGCTCTGTCGCCCAAACTGGAGTGCAGTGGCGCGATCTCAGCTCACTGCAACCTCCGCCTCCCAGGTTCAAGTTATTCTCCTGCCTCAGCCTCCGAGTATCTGGGATTACAGGCGCGTGCCACCACGCCCAGCTAATTTTTTGTATTTTTATTAGAGATGGGGTTTCACCGTGTTAGCCAGGATGATCTCGATCTACTGACCTCATGATCCACCTGCCTCTGCCTGCCAAAGTGCTGGGATTACAGGTGTGAACCACTGTGCCTGGCCGTGACGCAATTTCTTTTACAAATTTTCATTGAGATGTAATTCACATACCATACAATTCACCCATTAAAAACATATAATGCAGTGATTTTTTTTGTCTGTTCACAGAGTTGTGCAATCATCACCACAGTCAATTTTTTTAAAAATGTATTACCCCAAAAAGAAACCCTAAACTCATTAGCAGTCACTCTTTATTCTCCCTAAAAAGCTCCAGCTCTAGGCGACCACTAATCCATGTGATCCAAGTTTTAAAAGTTGTTGATTTGAAATTCCCTGCTGTCTTCCAAGGACATTCTACTTCAAACCATTTGATTGATTACACAGGCACAATCAGAAAACTGACTACTCTCTTTGTTGAGAGCAGTCTTGTAAATCAAAGGGAGTGACACATAGCTGCATTCTTAGATATATATAATTATATATAGCTTCTTAAACATGCTCTTCAAAAGGTTGTTTTTTATCATAGATACAGACTTGTTAAATATGCCCCCTCCCTCATCCCTGACTCCGATCCTTAACTTAAAGATTCTGAGGGCCGGGCGCGGTGGCTCACGCCTGTAATCCCAGCACTTTGGGAGGCCGAGGCGGGCGGATCACGAGGTCAGGAGATCGAGACCATCCCGGCTAAAACGGTGAAACCCCGTCTCTACTAAAAATACAAAAAATTAGCCGGGCGTAGTGGCGGGCGCCTGTAGTCCCAGCTACTTGGGAGGCTGAGGCAGGAGAATGGCATGAACCCGGGAGGCGGAGCTTGCAGTGAGCCGAGATCCCGCCACTGCACTCCAGCCCGGGCGACAGAGCGAGACTCCGTCTCAAAAAAAAAAAAAAAAAAAAAAAAGATTCTGAATATTGATTGTCTGAGTCTTATAGTTTTTGGACTAAAAGATTCTGACTCATTCTGACAGCACTCACAAGACACTAATGTATAACTCAGAAAACAAATTATTCAATATAATATAAAATGTATTTGCCCAGGGGATTAAACACTATATCCTCTAAACAGCACATTCCCTTCTTTTAAGTAAGCCATAGGGTAAGCCAAAATATTATCAGTAAATTGTCCTGTACATGTGGAACCAGAACAGGGGGCTAGTTATGTGGTTCAAACAGTGAAAGGTTCTACTCTCTTACAATCAGACCGTGATAGGCAGAATAATGACCCCTCTAACAACCTTCGTGTCCTAATCCCCATAATCTGATTATATAGCAAGAAGAATTTTGTAGATGTGATTTAGTCAGGGATCTTTAGATGGGGAGATTATGATGGGTTATCTGGGTAGGCCTAATCTAATCACATGGGTCCTTACAATTAGAGAACCTTTTTGTGATGAAAACGAGATGAAACTATGGAAGAACCAGAGAAGCATCAGCCTGAGAAGGACTCAACTGATTATTGCTGGCTTTGAAGACAGGAAGGAGCCATGAGCCAGGGAATGCTGGTGACCTCTGGAAGCTGGAAAAGGGAAGGAAGTAGATTGTCCTCTAGCCCCTTCAGAAAGGAATGCAGCACTGTGACACCTTGATCTCAGTTCAGTAAGACTGACTCCTTTCAGACTTCTGAGACAAAACACTGTAAGATAATAAATGTATATTGTTTTAAGTCACTAAATTTGTGTAAATTTGTTACAGCAGCAGTAGAAAACAGATGAATACACCTAGATTTCTTCCTGCGTGAATCCAGTTGGTGAGTCTCAGGCAAGCACAGCCTCTTAGAACAGTGCGTGAGTGAGCCTTTCCTATGTTTGCTTCGGTGGCTGTCTTTTCTCTATGTCTCAGGTGCCTTTCCCAAAGCCCTTTCTTAAGTAACTTATCTGTTAAAACACATTTAATAAAAACACAGACTTAAGAGTTGGATGGATCTAGGTTTGAATTCTGGCTCTGCCATTTTACTAGCTGGATATCTTTAGACAGGTGACTTAATATTCTAAGCCTTGTTTTTTTTCATGGGCAAAATGGGACTGATACCTACATTTCAAGGTTTCTTTGAGGATAAAGTGAGATTATATATGTAAAGTAGCACAATGCCTTATGTATAATGAGCACCTAATAAATGATAATTGTTGTTATCCCTTAAAGGCTAAAAGTGGAGTTTGCCAATGGCATGCATTCTAACTCTTGATCAGATATAAATATATTAAGAAATATTGGTGCAGCTATTGTGTTTAGGGGAATATTCTACAGAATTCTCTTCATAACCCTCTGGCTGCTGACATTGAGCCTTCTTACCCAAAGGCTTATTTTTTGAAGCTTTAATGAGTAGGTTAAAACTACGTTTGGTTTATGGTGCAATATGTAACACCTTTTAATACTCCCTTTCTTCTAAGAGCTAATGTGCAAGAGAATACATTAAGGAAAACCTGTAATTCTGTTTCTACAATTAAAAAATTCCTAATAACTGGAATTTTTCTTCAATTTTTAAAATCCTTAATGCCCAGCAAACAGCAGACACATAATAGGCAACAATGAATGTTTATGGAACTGAACTAAACTAAGTTCTAAGCAGTTATTCTTTCACAACCTGTTTTGAATTCATCTCTTTTGTTACTCTTAGTTTTCTTGCCTAGCTTATTGCAGCAGCTTTTGAACTGCTGTTCTTTCTGTACCTTGTCTTTTCCTTCTTTGATATGGTTTAGCTGTGTCCCCACCCAGATCTCATTTTGAATTCCCATGGGTTGTGGGAGGGACCCAGTGGGAGGTGGTTGAATCATGGGGACTGGCCTTTCTTGTGCTGTTCTCGTGATGGCAAATGAGTCTCACAAGATCTGATAGTTTTAAAAAATAGTTTCCCCGAACAATCTCTCTTCTCTTGTCTGCCACCATGTGAGACATGCCTTTTACCTTCCGCCATGGTTGTAAGGCCTTCCCAGTCATGTGGAAATGTAAGTCCATTAAACCTTTCTTTTGTAAATTGCTCATTCTCGGGTATGTCTTCATTGGCAGTGTGCAAATGGACTAATAAACTCTTTGATTGATCTTCCACAGTGCCACCCACATAGGCAAAGACTACTGTACATTATATCCTCTCCTATTTACTCCTCTTTGTATCTGTTCCATTGCATATTGCATAATAGCCTTATTGTTTAACCCATTGCTTCCCAACTTTTTATGGCATGATACACTTAGACAATGATGATATTTGTGTGGCACACTGGGGTAGCAGGACAACAACCTTATGGCTAGAGGTTTGGACCTCAAGGGCTGACGAGATCACTATCTCAGTACACCTGTCACCCAATTTAGGCACACTAATATGCCTTGGTATGCCCATTGGGAAGGTCTGTTTAGCATTTAAAACTAATTGTGATGGGAATTCATTCTGTCTTTTACATAGATATTTAATGAGCACCTATTGTGTGCCTTATAAGTTCTAGGGGGAGGGAATTAAGAGGACTAAGGAATTAAGAGGTTCTATAGGAACCCTCACTTCCAGGCAGACAGATGTATAATGGCCTCCAAATAGGCCTTCTGTACTCCTCTCCTACCTTTGCTCCTGTCTTTGTTCTGAATAACCTGCACTTCCTTCATCATCATCTGCTACAGTTAAAATACGGTAGTTTTATATGTTGTATTCTTTTTCATTTCATTATACCACTAACATTTAGTTTATTGCCCTCTATAAAGCATTGTTTCTTGTTCTTATTTCATTACTTTCTATCTTGAATTTATCATTTTTTCCCTTATGTACCTGTTGTTCCTATCATGTTTATTACTACTTACCAAAGTATTTACCCTGCTTCTTCTCCTAACAACTTTATCACATAAATTCTGAGAAATATTTAATACTTATACAATAAATATAAAATAGTATTCATTGTGCAGATATATTATCAGGTAATAACAAATGTCTTTTGAACTCATACTTGGACCAGGTATTATTTAAATAGCTTTACATATGTTTTGTGTATATAATCTTCATAATAGCCCTGTGAGTCTAAAGTATTATTATATTTCCATCTCACAAACTGAGGCATAGATAAGTAACTTGCCAAAAGTTACATAGCTATTAAGTATCAGTGCCATGATTGAAATGTAATCAGTTAGTACAAGCAATCTTGATATATCAGCTCATGCTGATAACCATTCTGTTACACTGTGCTGTGACAAAATAATTTATATATGGGTGAGCAGACCAGGAGGTATTAATACTTAATACTATACATTCCCTCTAAGCTGAGATAGGCTATTTTATAGGAGTGAAAGAAGTTGTAGTCCTAAGAAACATACGATCTAGAGGGCATGATAATACACAATCAACAAATGGTCAGTATTATAAAAAACAAAAGATAGTGAGAATATTATTTGTGGATCATCTACTATATGAGCCAAGAAGTGAACTGGGTATTTCACATGCATTATCTCATCGAAGCCTTGCAATAACACTCTTGAGTAGTTACTTTTATTTCTATTTTATACATGAGCAAAAATTATCTCAAATAGATTAAGTAACTTGCCCAAGAGTTACTAAGCTAGGAAATGGCAGAGCCAAAGTTAGAACTTTGTCATGTCTCTCCTGTTTTCTATTCATTGTGCTGTACTGCCTCTCTGACAATAGGATGTCCTTACAAAAGGGCAGGGCAAGTAAAGCAAGCTATTGCTAGAATGTAGTTAGAGCTGTGCTTAATTTGGGAAAATAGTTTTGTGACAATGTTAATTTGCCCTTCAAATTAGTGTTTGAGGAGGGAGCATAGCCAGTATTCTGAAATAAACCCGGTAAAAGCAATGTTCATTGTTGCTAAACATTACCTGGTGATCATGGCCTTCTCTTTGTGCTTCAACTGTATCTTCTACAACATATATGTGGTTAATAGGCATCTATTTATAGCCAAAGATGTTTTATGATGTTAGGCATAGTGTTTGGACTCTGGAAGTACTACATAAATAACTATTTTTTAGTTCCTAGTCTGAACACTGACATTTGACCTCACCATGTTTTATCTTTATAGCATCACACTTTTGCTTTGCTTTCTCTCTCTTCTTCTTCTGACACTGACAAAGAGATTTGTTCATAGAGAACTGACTCTGAAGGTGACAACTCTTGGTTGTATCTCAGTGGCTTAGGCTCCACATGCAGTTTCTTCTCTGTCTTTAATTAAACTTATTTTTTTCAGTGTTGTAGCTGGGAGCACTGTGTTGACACAACTCACTCTTGTAAAGAACAGATAAAAATGTCAGTGTTCTAATGTTCTCATCTGTGGGAAAAAGAAAATATTTGGGGTATTTTATTTATAACTTTTAAAAGACTCCTTGGTGGAGAAAGATTACTTGCAAGATGGAAAACCATTTGACAGTTAAAGGGACAGAACTCTCTAATATTAATCTAACAAAAAACAGAGAAAAATATGAAAGCTTACTAAGACTATTTCCTATGGATTTAGAACACATCCTTCTCTCCATTCCTTCTTAATTTTCACTTCATTATGTCTTTTAATTCCCTAGTGTTTTGCTTAATCCTTCCAGATGCTGTGCATGCAGAGTATTGACAGTTTCCGCAAAGGCAGTTAGTCAGTTATTACAGTAAACACATATATCATGCAGAAGAGGACTACTAGTCAAGGGAAATGGAGTTGGTATATTGAGCCTTTAATCTTCAAATCATAAGTCTGAATGTATCTATTTTTACAATGAGTCATTAACATATGTTAGCTGTTTGTTGGTAAATAGGCCAACAAATTCAACATGCCACAGTTTGAGACCCTTTTTTGACTATAAGGCGTTCACAGGGTATAAACCACATAATTTAGCACTGCGTGCCATGCAAATTTTAGAACTCATAGTAAAGAGATGAGCTTGCTGCAGATTGATAAGGCAGAGACTTAATAATAGACACTAAGACTTTAAGGGCATTTACAATGTATTTGGAGTGTTTGTACATGTCTATATTCATTGATTGTCTAATCCTCACAACCCTATGAGTAGATAAGATTATCTCCATTTTACAGATGAGAAAACTGAGGCCTATAAATGTAAAGGAGTTTGTCCAAGGCAACCCAAAAAGTGGAGAAGTAGGACTTGAATCCAGGGAACCTGGTTCTGTAACCTATTCTATTAGACAGTTTCTGAAAGTTTGTTAACTTTTGGTGCTGTATAGTTGGGAGCTTTTACTCTCTGGTGGTATTGTTAACCAACATGTTAATATTGGGTAGATGAAGAAGATAAACATTAAAATAACAAGGAAATTTCTTTATGTTCATATATTAATAGTAGGTGGTGACCAGGCAAAATGCCTAGGCTTCTTTGAGTATATCTTAATTAGTAAAGGAATTATGAATTGTTCTCACTTGCCCATATAAAGGCAAAAGGCAGCTTTCTAGAAAGGCACACATTAGTATTTCAAGTGCCCACTCCAAACTCCTGGTTTTGGAAGTTAGCTGCCCTCTAGCAGAGCGTCTGCCTTTCAGACCTTATTTAGAGATTTGCCTGGTTTGAGTTGTCCCTTGGGTTAACAGCTGTGGAATCTGAGTTTCTTTGGCATTGCTCCCTTTTGTGTAAATTACAGATGTTCTCTAATGCCCTTTTGGACTGCTTTTGGAAAAAGAGGAAAGAGAAAAACCTTTTTTCTCTTTAAAGGGATCTATCTTAGATTCTGAGTAGGAGGAAATACATTTACCGAGTTTTTCCCCTTTATGTTTCTCTTCAATCTTTAAATGTACTTTTTGCAGCCCTGGTGCTGTGGCATCAATTTGTTGGCAAGCGTTATTCAAACATGAGCAGAATTTGTGTCCTCTTTAGATTGAAGCACTAAAGCCAACAATAACAATTTTCATGTGGGAACCCGTGCTTGATATCCAAGTCAGGCTATAGTTGGTGGTCTATAATTTACTCTAGAATGAAAATATGCATTTGAGGGGAGAGAGGGTCTTTTCCTAGGTTTTTGTTTATTTGGCTTCAGTTTTAGGCTTTTTGTGACTTTTTAAAAACCTGTTTTTAAATAGAAGTTGTTCTAGAGGTGTTTTTTTGCCTTTTGATTTGGGAGGTTTAAGGTTGAGTACTGGAAATGAGACATATAGTAAAGTTCTTTAAAATACTAACATTTATGTTATGATATAACTTATAAACAAGCAAACAAATCTCAAGAATGTAACTCAATGAATTTTGGCATATATGTAATTCAGTTCTTTCTTCTTCACTTCCGTTTTGATTAACTTTTACTCTTTTTTTTTTTTTTTTTTTTTGGAGACAGGGTCTCTCTCTGTCGCCCAGACTGGAGTGCAGTGGCGTGATCTCAGCTCATTGCAAGCTTCGCCTCCTGGGTTCATGCCATCCTTCTGCCTCAGCCTCCTGAGTAGCTGGGACTACAGGTGCTTGCCACCACGCCTGGCTAATTTTTTGTATTTTTAGTAGAGACCACGTTAGCCAGGATGGTCTTGATCTCCTGACCTTGTGATCCGCCCACCTTGGCCTCCCAAAGTGCTGGGATTACAGGCATTAGCCACCGTGCCCGGCCCCAACTTTTACTCTTTTAACCCCTGTTGCTGGAGAGAAATATTACATTATGGTGATGACTGCTACTTAGTTTATACTTTTGGATTTCAACCTCATTTGGACCCCAATACTGTGTGGCAGTTATTTCAAACCTTTTTCACTAGCTCCAGGACTTCTTTCTTTCATTCATTCTTTTTATTTTTATTTATTTTTTTTTTTTTTGAGACAAGGTCTCACTTTTCACCCAGGCTGGAGTGCAGTGGCTTGATCATGGCTCACTGCTGCCTCAACCTTCCTGGCTCAGGTGATTTTCCTACCCTCAGCTTCCCAAGTAGCTGGGACTACAGGTGTATGCCACAATGCCTGGCTAATTTTTCTTTCTTTCTTTCTTTCTTTTCTTTTTTTTTTTTTTTTTTTTGAGACAGAGTTTTGCTCTTGTTGTCTAAGCTGGAGTGCAATGGCGTGATCTCAGCTCACCACAAATTCTGCCTCCCGGGTTCAAGCGATTCTCCTGCCTTAGCTGCCCGAGTAGATGGGATTACAGGCCTGCACCACCACACCCATACCCGACTACTTTTGTATTTTTAGTAGAGATGGGTTTCTCCATGTTGGTCAGGCTGGTCTTGAACTCCCAACCTCAGGTGACCCACCCACCTTGGCCTTCCAAAGTGCTGGGATTACGGGTGTGAGCCACTGTGCCCAGCCTTTTTTTTTTTTTTTTTTTTTTAGAGATAGTGTTTCGCCATATTGCCTAGGCTGATATTGAACTCCTGGATTCAAACAGTCCACCTGCCTCAGCCTCCCAAAATGCTGGGATTGCATGGGATTACAGATATGTGCCACCACACCCAGCCTCCAGTGCTTCTTACTATTTTCCTGTTAGCTTTTACAAGATGGCTTACCTCTTACTTCACCAAGAAAGTAGGGGCAATCTGGAGGGAACTCCCTTTGCTCCTGCTAGGCACCCTTATCGCTCCTCAATATTTAGAAATGTTACCCATAACTATCCTTCTTTTCCTGTCTCCTGTTAAAGCTTCGCTTTCATCCCCTTCTGTCTTCTCAGTGACTGACATTATCTGTTGATCACTTTTCCCCATTAGCCTCTGTATTGATTTATTCTTCTCAGGATATATGCGTGATTGAGACTTCTCAGTTAAAAAATAAAAACAAAATAATACAAAATTTGCCTTTGACTCTGAGCCACCATTACTATCCCCAGCATTCTTCTTCACCTCAAAGTCAAGCTTCCTAACTCTCACTATTTTCACTTCCTCATCTCTCACTGGCTCTTGCTCAGCTATAGGTCGAATTCCCCCCACCCCCAACCTTTCTCCACTGAAACTGCTTTTGCAAAAATCACGTGACTTTTCCCAAATCCAGTATATACTTTTTTGTCCTTCCTAACTTCCTCCTTGATATTATTCCTGTGATTTTTCTTTCTTCCTTTGCAATCCTCAGAATTGTTTTGTGAGTTCCAATTACTTTGCCTATCTCTTATATGTAGGAATTTTCCAGAATTTTGTCTTTCTCTGGCTTTACTTCTATCTTATGCTTCTTGTAAGCAATCTGGTCCACATACACAAGGTTTTAGTTACTGCCTGTTCCTCCTATATCACGATGCTTACTAACTCTATTCTGAAACTCCCTTTTGATCTCCAACTTCATAGAACCAGCTTTCATCTGACAATTTTGTGTTTAGATGTGTTGTAGGCATATAGGAAAAACTGACATCATTATCTTTCCTCAGCATGTCCCTTTTCCAAAACTAATCTGTTTCCCTTGTATTCTCTGTCCTGGTTGGTGACACCTTCTTTGCCAGGCACTAAACTCTGGAGGGGGTACAGAGCTACAAAGACATTATGAAATAAAGTCCTTACCCTCAATCGTAGAGACTAATGGGGGAGACAGACACATGAACAGACAATTACACTACATTAGAATGTAGTAAATACAATGATAAAGGTATGCACTGTGTGTATTTGTAACACAAAAAAGGACATTAAACTCAAATTGTGGATTGAAGAAAAGTTTAGGAGAAGGTGATGCCCAAGTGGAGTCCTCAGAAATAGGATCCATGATTCCTCCCTTTCCCCTTCTTTTTTCCTCCACTATTTGCTGCATCCCATTAATTCTTGACTCTTAATATCTTCCAAGTTTGTCCTGTCTTTTCCATCACATCTGTTACTGCTTTAGTTCAGGCATCCTGGGATTACTTAAGCAATTTCCTAATGCCTTTCCTTTCTCCATTCTCATGATTTTACCCCTAATCTATTATCCACATTGATATTACAGTAATCTTTATTTTATACAAAATTGTCTGATCGTGTCCTTCACAGGTTAAATCTCTAGCAGCTTTCAATTGTTTTAGAAATATTACTCTTCAGTTACATTTCTAACTGAAGCAACCATTTCTGACTGGTCCCTTTGGGTGCTGGCCCTGCCTCTTGCCTCATCTCGTTGTTAGTGTTGTTGTTTTAAGGGCTTTATTGAGATAAAATTCCTATGCCATACACCATTCATTTAAAGGGCACAACTCATGGCTGGCGCAGTGGCCCACACCTATAATCCCAGCACTTTGGGAGGCTGTGGTGGGTGGATCACTTGAGCCCAGGAGTTTAAGACCAGCCTGGGCAACATGGCAAAATCTTATCTCTACAAAAAATACAAAAATTAGCCAGGTGTGGTGATGTGCGCCTATAGTTCCAGCTACTTAGGAGGCTGAGATAGGAGGATCGCTTGAGCCAAGGTGGTCGAGGCTACAGTGAGCCAAGATTGTGCTACTGCACTCTAGCCTGGGTAACAGAGCAAGACTCTGTCTCAAAAAATTTTTTAAAGTGCACAATTCAATGGTTTTTTAATATATTCACAGAATTGTCTAGCCATCACCAGAATCTACTTTAGAATACTTTCATCATCACAGAAAGAAGCCTCACCAACCATATCCATTAGCAGTCACTCCCCATGTCACCCCACCTCACCACTAGGCAACTAATAATCTACTTTTTATTTCTATAGATTTGCCTATTCTGGGCATTTCATATGAATAGAATCATACAACATGTAGTCTTCACTTAGCATAAAGTTTTCAAGATTCATCCATGTTGTAGCACGTGTTAGTACTTCCTTTTAATTGCTGCATAATATTTCATTCTATGGATATATTACATTTTATTTATCCATTCAGTGCATTTGAATGGTTTCTACCTTTTGGCTATTATGAATAATGCTACTGTGAAATTCATCTGAAAGTTTTTGTGTACATGTATGGTTTTTTTTTTCTCTTGGGTATAGACATAGGAGTAGAATTGCCAGGTTATGTGGTAACTCTATGTTTAACTTCTTGAAGAACTGCCAGACTTTTTTCCAAAGCAGGTGTACCATTTGACTTCCTCACCAGCAATTTATAATGGTTCCACTTACCCCACATCCTTGACAACACTTCTTTTTCTTTAACCTTTTTTTAATATAGGCCATACTAATGACCGTGAAGTAGTATATCGTGATGATTTTGATTTGATTTTCCCTGATGACTAAGCATATGGAGCTTTTTTTCTTTTTTTTTTTTTTTTGAGACGGAGTCTCTGTTGCCCAGGCTGGAGTGCAGTGGTGCAATCTCAGCTCACTGCAACCTCCACCTCTCCAGTTCAAGCAATTCTCCTGCCTCAGTCTCCGGAGTAGCTGGAATTACAGGCACCCGCCAGCCCCATCCGGCTAATTTTTGTATTTTTAGTAGAGACGAGGTTTTGCCGTGTTGGCCAGGCTGGTCTCGAATTCCTGACCGCAGGTGATCCGCAACCCCCCCCACCCCGCCCCCCGCCCCTACAAAGTGCTGGGATTGCAGGCGTGAGCCACCGTGCCCGGCCTGAGCATTTTTTTTTTAATGTGCGTGTTGGGCATTTGTATATCCTCTTCGAAGAAAAGAGTTTCGCTCTGTCACCCAGGCTGGAGTGTAGTGGCACACTCTCGGCTCACTATAACCTTCCTCTCCCGGGTCCAAGTGATTCTCCTGCCTCAGCCTCCCGAGTAGCTGGGATTACAGACACCCACCACCACGCCTGGCTAATTTTTGTAGTTTTCTAGTAGAGAAGGGGTTTCACCATGTTGACCAGGCTTGTCTCGAACTCCTGGTCTCAAGTAATCCACCGGCGTCAGCCTCCCAAAGTGCTGGGATTACAGGTGTGAGCCACTGTGCCTGGCCAAAAATTCAGTTTTTGAAAAAAAAGCTGTCAAGTTACAGCAGTTCTTTATATATTCTATATACAGGTTTCTTATCAGGTATATAATTTGCAAATATTTTTTCTCCATCTGTGAGGGTGTCTTTTCTTTTTCTTGATAGTATCCTTTGAGGAATGAAGGTTTTTAATTTTGATGAATCCCATAATAGTATTCATTTCTTTTGTACTATGTGCTTTTGGTCTCACAGCTAAGAAACCATTGCCCAACTGATGGTTACAAATTTTACACCTATGTTTTCTACTAAGAGTTTTATAGTTTTAGTTCCTTATATTTAGGTCTACAATCTATTTGGAGTTAACTTTTGTGTGCGGTGTGAGGAAGAAATCTAACTTCATTCTTCCGTAGGTAGATAACCCAGCTGCTCCAGGGCTACTTGTTGAAGATGATTTTCCCCCCATTGAATTATCTTGGCACTTTTGTTTTTATATATATATATATATATATAAATTGACCATAAATGTAAAGGATTATTTACAGTCTCTCAATTTTATTCACTTGATCTATATGTCTGTCCTTACACTAGTACCACTTTATTACTATATCCTTGTAAGTTTTGAAATTGGAAGGTGTGAATCCTTCGATTTTGTTGTTTCTCAGGATAGTTTTGGCTTTTCTGGGTTGCTTTCATTTCCCGTATGAATTTTAGGAAAAGTTTCTAAATTTCTAGGAAAATGGTAGCTGGGATTTTTTTTTTTTTTTTTTTTTTTTTTGAGACGAGTCTTGCTCTGTTGCCCAGGCTGGAGTGCAGTGGCACGATCTCGGCTCACTGCAAGCTCCGCCTCCTGGGTTCACGCCATTCTCCTGCCTCAGCCTCCTGAGTAGCTGGGACTACAGGCGCCCGCCACCACGCCTGGCTGATTTTCTGTATTTTTAGTAGATATGGGGTTTCACCATGTTAGCCAGGATGGTCTCGTTCTCCTGACCTCGTGATCCACCCACCTCAGCCCCCCAAAGTGCTGGGATTACAGGTGTGAGCCATCGCGCCTGGCAGAATAGCTGGGATTTTTATACAGATTGAGTTAAATTCATAGATAAATTTGAAGAGCATTTTCATCTTAAGTGATCTAATCCACAAACATGAGATGCCTTTTCATTTATTTAGTTTTTCTTTGTTTTTTTTTTCCAACAATATTTTGTAGTTTTCTAGTATTTTTCTTTTTGGTTTTGAGACAAGGTCTTACTCTGTCACTTAGGCTGGAGTTCAGTGACATGATCATGGTTCATTGCAACCTTGAACTCCCAGGCTCCAGCGATTCTCCCGCCTTGTCCTTCCAAATAGCTGGAAATACAGGCCCATGCCACCACATCCAGCTAATTAAAAAAAAAAAAATTTAATTGTAGAGATAGGATCCCAGTATGTTGCCCAGGCTGGTCTTAAACTCCTGGACTGAAGCGATCCTGCCACCTTGGCCTCCCAAAGTGCTCATATTACAGGCCTGAGCCACCGTGCCTGGCCTGTAGTTTTCATTGTATAAGTTTTACAATCTTTTGTTAAATTTATTTCAAAGTATTTTATTCTTTTTGATGGTATTGTAAATGGAATTACAATACAATTTCATTTTTGGACTCTTCAAGTTTATAGAAATACAATTGATTTTTGTATATTGATCTTGTATAATGCAACCTTTCTGAACTGGCTTATTAGATCTAATAGGTTTTCAGTGTATTCTTTAGGCTTTTTTGATATCCAACAGGATCATATCATCTCCATGGAGGGATAGTTTTATATTTTTCTCTCCAACCTAGATGTATATTACTTCATTTTCTTGCATAATTTCCCTGGCTAGAGCTTCCGGTACAATGTTAAATGCAAATGGTGAGAGTGGTCTTCCTTGCCTTTTTTACTTTTCTTAGGGGGAATTCATTCAGTCTTTCATCAATATGTAAAATGTTAGCTGAGTGTTTTTCTGAGTCTTTTTTTCAGATTAAATTCTCTACTACTAGTTTGTCAAATGTATTTTATCATGAAAGGGTCCTGGATTTTGAGAAATGCTTTTTCTATTTCTATTTAGATGATCATGTGGAGTTTGCCCTTTATTCTATTGAGATGGTGTATTACATGAATTGATTTTCAGATGTTGAGCCATTCCTATATTCCTGGGATATCTCTCACTTGGTCATCACGTATAGTCCTTTTTGTGTGCTTCTGGATTAGACTTTCTAGTATTGATTTTTGCATCTATATTAGTAAGAGGTATTAGGGTGTAGTTTCTTTTTTGTGATGTCTTTGTCTGATGTTGTTATCATGGTAATATTGGCCTCTTAGAATGAGTTGGGAAATGTTCTCTGCTCATGAATTTTGGAAGAGTTTGTGAAGACTTAGTATTACTTTTTTTTTTTCAAATGTGTGGTAGAATTTCCTAGTTAAGTCATCTGAACCTGGGCTTGTAGGAAGTTTTTAAGTTACTAATTAAGTTTCTTGTTATGCATAGCTATTTGATGTTCTATTTTTTTCTTGAGCCAGTTTCTGGAAGGAATAATTTGTGTCTTTCTAGGGATTTTTCCATTTCATTCAAATTATCTAGTTAGTTGGTATATAATTATTCATAGTATTTCCTTCTAATCCTTTCTATTTCTGTATGGTCAATAGTGATGCGTCATCTTTCATTCCTGATTTTAGTAACTTAAGTCTCGTGTCATTTTTGTTTTTTGTTGTTGTCCTGGTGGTGGGTTCTGTTTTTGTTTTGTGGGTTTTTTTTTTTTTTTTTTTTTTTTGCGATGAGCTCTCACTCTGTCTCCTAGGCTGGAGTGTAGTGGCACAATCATGGCTCACTGCAACCTCTATCTCCCAGGCTCAAGGGATCCTGCCATGTCAACCTCCCAAGTAGCTGGGACCACAGACATACGCCACCACATCTGGCTAATTTCTTGTGTTTTTTCTTAATAGAGACAGGATTTCGCCATGTTGCCCAGTCTGGTCTCGAACTTAGGAGCTCAGGCGATCCACCTGCCTCAGCCTCCCAAAGTGCTGGGATTACAGGCATGAGTCACCACACCTGGTCTCTTGTTTTGTTTTTTTCCTGGTCAGTCTAGCTGAAGTTTTGCCAATCTTGTTGCTCCTCTTAAAAAAGCAACTTTTGGTTTTGTTAATTTTGTCTGATTTTTTTCTATTTCTATTAATTTGATAAATTTTTAGTCTTTTTTATTTCACTTTTTTATGCTTTCTTTAGGTTTAGTTTCTTCTTTTTTTTTCTCGAGTCTTAATGCAGAAGTTTGACTTACTGATTTGAGATCCTTTTTCTTATTTAATATAGGCTTCATAGCTATATGCTTAGTATGTTTTAGCTATATCCCATAAATTTTGCTCTTTTTTCAGTTATCTTAAAGTATTTTCTAATTTCTTTTGTTATTTTATTTTTAATTAATTGCCTAAGAATATGTTGTTATTTTGCATATATTTGCAGATTTCCCAAATTAGCTTCTGTTACATGTTTCTAATTTCAATTTACTCTGTATGACTTCAGTCGTTTTAAATTTATTGAGACTTATTTTATGGCCTGATATATGTCCTATTCAGGAAAATGTCTTATGTGCACTTGAGAAGAATGTGTATGCTGTTGTTGGCTAGAGTGTTGTATAGACGTCTATGTCTGTTAGTTCATTTTTTTTTTTTTTTTTTTTTTTTGGTGATTGGATCTGGCTCTGTCGCCCAGGCTGGAGTGCAGTGGTAAGATCTCGGCTCACTGCAAGCTCCACCTCCCGGGTTCAGGCCATTTTCCTGCCCCAGCCTCTCGAGTAACTGGGACTACAGGCGCCTGCCACCATGCCCAGCTAATTTTTTTGTATTTTTAATAGAGACAGGGTTTCACCGTGTTAGCCAGAATGGTCTCAATCTCCTGACCTTGTGATCCGCCCGCCTCAGCCTCCCAAAGTGCTGGGATTACAGGTGTGAGCCACCGTGCCTGGCCAGTTCCTGTTAATTGATAGTGTTGTTCAAGTGTTCTATTTCCTTGTTGATCTTCTTCCTGGCTGTTTTCTCCATTACTGAAAGTGGGATACGGAAGTCTCCAACTATTATTTTTAAACTATCTATTTTTCCCTTCCATTTTGTCAGTTTTTTCTTCACATATTTTGTGGCTCTGTTGTTAAGAGCATATATGTTTAAAATTGTTAAAGCTTTTTAGTGGATTTACTTTCTTACTATTATAAAATGTTCTCCTTCATCTCTAGGAATTTTTTTTTGTTTTAAAGTCTGTTTTGCCTGGTATTAATATAGCCACTCCAGCTTTCTTATGGTTGCTGTGTGAATGATATATCTTTTTTCATTGTTTTACTTTCAGTCTATTTAAAATATGTCTCCTATAGACAGCATATAATTGAATCTTTAAAAAAATCTAGTTTGACAATCTGTGCATTGTCATGGTTTATAATACAATTGTGTTATAAATTGTTGGTTGCACTTCATTGCCTAAGCAAACCTTCTAAGTACAGTGATATTCATGGAAGCTTCATATTGAGTACTTACTGAATTTCTTTTCCTTTTCTCTATTCCTCATTTTGAATGCTGCCATTGTTACAGAACAAAGCCAGTATGCCTCATATTAGGTAGGTTGACTGATCAACACAAAAGTAAGTTATCTAATTAGCTTTGAAACCAGAGAGTTTAGTGTTAGTGGTTGTTGGATCATAATCTTTTGAGTCAGTAAAGTCTAGCCGTATATATTAGAATTTAAAAGAACGTTTTTTCTGTAGTAGAAATCTCTTTCTTCTACTCCCAGCAATGTTAAAGTTATAGTTTTAGATTTAGGGTTGACAAGAATAACTTTGCTTTGCATAGCTAATTAACCAGATTGAGTAACAGAGCAAAAAAAAAAAGTTTATTTTCACACTGTGGTAATAATAGTTACCATTTTTGGAGTTCCACATTATTTCTATTGTTGTATATGTCTTAATAAGGGAATGGCTTCCTCTCACTAACTTCAAGTCACACCAAGAAACCTGCTTCTTCCTGAAGAGGGTTTAACTTATTTCTAAGCTAAATAATTTTTTAGCACAGGATGTTTAGATACTTACTTTTCTTCAGACTACAATCTAGAATTTGTTGGTAGAAAGACAAAGTGCACAGTGTCTGCTTTTGTAGATCCAGTGTTTTTCAATCTAAACTGCTCATTGAGGCATGCTAGTTCTCATATCTGTTTTCTTCCCTATACTCTGAATATCATTATTATGGACACATAGCTATGAGGTAACCTCAATGTTATACCCTGCTTATATCCTGCTTGTTTAAGTTTATACCCTGCTTGTTTAAAATTGGGAATTTTGGCAAGGAGAAGATACTGGAAAAGACGAGTAAAATGTAATTAAAAGAATTTTGTAGCCCAGACTTCTTTGTAGTGACATTTATAAATAAAACTAGAAAAGGGGTTTTGAGTAATATTTCTAGGTTTCTACTTAGTTTTTGGTTGGAAATATTCAGTGTTCCATCCGTTTCCTTGCTTTCCTTAAATAAATGGGACAAAGAGTTCAAACTGTGACCCTTGAGAGTGTTTGTAACTTAGTTATATATTACTCTCAAATGTACTTACTTGGTGTAGGTTCACAAGAATTTTAAAGCAAAATTAAAAGAGCATCAAACGGCCGGGCGCGTTGGCTCACGCCTGTAATCCCAGCACTTTGGGAGGCCGAGGCGGGTGGATCATGAGGTCAGGAGATCGAGACCATCCTGGCTAACAAGGTGAAACCCCGTCTCTACTAAAAATACAAAAAATTAGCCGGGCGCGGTGGCGGGCTCCTGTAGTCCCAGCTACTCGGGAGGCTGAGGCAGGAGAATGGCGTGAACCCGGGAAGCGGAGCTTGCAGTGAGCCGAGATTGCGCCACTGCAGTCCGCAGTCTGGCCTGGGCGACAGAGCGAGACTCCGTCTCAAAAAAAAAAAAAAAAAAAGAGCATCAAACATTAAATTGTTTCTTAAACAGTTTCTGCCCTTTTTATTTATGTTGAAAAACTGTTTAGCTTAAGGGAGAAAATAAAATCTCATGGCAATTATTTCGTTCTATCTGTCCTGTCTTGGTAATCATTTTATCTTTTTCACATAGAATATGGCAACTTCCACATTATCTCATTTTAACAATTTTTGTTGGTTGAACCTAATCATCTTTAATGGTTTTATGTCAATTATATTTTCAAAATGAGAATGCCTCATAAAAGTTTTCATTCCACATTCCAAATTACTAACACATTTCATTTGATACTAGAAGGCATCACTCACTGTCCATTCATTAGCTGATGTTTGTTCCTTATCTGCCATCTTTTTGAAATCATATGTTGGTGTCCACCGTGAAAGGAACTGGAAGCCACCTTACCAATAATATCCTCGCTCTTTTGCCTGGGCTGGAGTGCAATGGTATGATCAGGGCTTACTGCAGCCTCTCCCTCCTGGACTCAAGGGATCTTCCTACCTCAGCTTCCCAAGTAGCTGGGACTGTAGGAACATGTTCAGCTACTTTTTATTTTCCTTTTTGTAGAGACCATGTCTCCTTATGTTGCCCAGGCTGGTCTTGGATTCGTGACCTCAAGGGATCCTCCCACCTTGGCTTCCCAAAGTGCTGGGATTATAGGTGTGAGCCACTATACCTGGCCTAAAAAACATTTTTTTGAAATTTTTACTTATTTAGAGACATGGTCTCACTCTTTTGCCTTGGGTAGAGTGTGGTGGTGTGATCATAGCCCACTGCGGCCTCAGACTTGGACTCAAGTGATCCTCCCACTTCAGCCTCCAAAGTAGCTAGGAATACAGACATGTGCCACCACACTTGGCTAATTTTTAAGTTTCTCTCATCTTGTGGAGATGAGATTTTGCTGCGTTGTCCAGGCTGGTCTTGAACGCCTGGCCTCAAGTGATCGTCTTACCTCAGCCTCCCAAAGCGCTGGCATTATAGGCATTAGCCACCACACCTGGCCATCTATATATTTATCTTGGAGGTATAATTTACAAATAGTTAAAAGCATAAATTTTAAGTATACATACAATGAGTTTTGACAAATGTATACCCAAATGTAAATACTATCCCCACTTTTAGTATAGAATATTTCCATCACATCGGGAAGATGCCTTTTGCCACTTGTCAGTCAGCAAGGAAGTAAGTGCTTTAGTTACAAACCTGATCTGAATGCCTACTTTCTTGTATCACTGCTGGTAATAACTGCCCCATGCTGGGTCCCCAAGAATGTGGACTCCGAAAGGGAGTTTAGCTTGCAGAGTATTAAAGAATGCCCTTAGGATCAACACCTATGGAAGGCAAGGGAGGAAAGCAAGGGTGGGCAAAGGGAGAAATCAAGCTGCATGAAGGCCAAATGCCGGCCTGGACTCACCCTACAGGGAACTCTGGGGCTTGATTGGCTTCATAGAATTGTCTGGAGTTGGGGCAAGGGGTCAAGCCTTTATATTCCCATATTTATCAGTCATTGGATGTAGGGTACCCAGAAATGGGACCTGAGGCCATTGTAGAAGGGCCTATCATATGATAGGTATAAACTGACCACTCTCTCAACATCTGGGAAACAAATCCTTCATCTAAGGGGAATCTGGAAAGTTCTTCACATTGTCGCCCACATCATGGTTAAGGAAATTCAAGTTGCTTAGAAGCACAGGTATTTAAGTCTGAAAAGAGGAAACAAGAATTGGAATAAATAGTCATTGATAGGTAAATACTAGAAAATTTATAATTACATGTATTTATTTTAAACTTGCTCTAATAATATTCAATATATTTTAGGATTTATTCATTGAAAAATATTTGAGAGCTTATATAAATAGAGCCATTTATCTTGTATTGTGGCCACTTAGTTGCTGGATCTTATTCTGTATGGGAAATCCTCTATATGAGGCCAAGCTCAACTAGGACTATAGAGGCTGAAAATGGAAGCCACTTGTTTTCCTAACCTCCTTGAGAGGGATGAAAGCCCATAGCCGCAACTCTGCCAAGCCCATAAAGTTTTGGATCAGACCTGGTGATATGAAAGACTTAAAAAAAGGTTTTTTTCAAAAAAGGGTTCTCATTTTATTTTTACTTTTTAAGTTTGAGGTTTAGGGATACATGTTCAGGTTTGTTATATAGGTAAACTAGTGTCATGAGGGTTTGCTATACATATTAGTTCGTCACCCAGGTACTAAGCATAGTACCCAATAGTTGTTTTTCTGATCCTCTCCCTCCTCCCACTATCTAGTGTTGGTCCCTCTCCCTCCTCCCACTCTCCAGTGTCAGTCCCTCTCCCTCCTCCCACTCTCCAGTGTCTGTCCATCTCCCTCCTCCCACTCTCCAGTGTCTGTCCCTCTCCTTCCTCCCACTCAGTGTCTGTCCCTCTCCTTCCTCCCACTCAGTGTCTGTCCCTCTTCCTCCTCCCACTCAGTGTCTCTCCATCTCCCTCCTCCCACTCTCCAGTGTCTGTCCCCCTCCCTCCTCCCACTCAGTGTCTGTCCCTCTCCCTCCTCCCACTCTCCAGTGTCTGTCCCCCTCCCTCCTCCCATTCTCCAGTATCCATCCCTCTCCCTTCTCCCACTCCATTGTCTGTCCCTCTCCCTCCTTCCACTCAGTGTCTGTCCCTATCCCTCCTCCCACTCAGTGTCTGTCCCTCTCCCTCCTCCCACTCTCCAGAGTCTGTCCCTCTCCTTCCTCCCACTGTCCAGTGTCTGTCTCTCTCCCTTTTTCCAGGCCCCAGTGGCTGTTGTTTACATCTTTGTGCCCAGTGGTTCTCATTATTTAGCTCTCACTTATAAGTGAGAACATAGGGTATTTGGTTTTCTGTGCTTGCATTAGTTTGCTGACGATAACGGCCTTTAGTTCCATCAGTGTTCCTGCAAAGGACATGATCTTGTTGTTTTTATGGCAGCATAATATTTCATGGTGTATATGCACCACATTTTCTTTATTCAGTCTACTGTTGGTGGGCATTTAGGTTGACGCCATGTCTTTGCTATTGTGAATAGTGCTGCAGGGAACATATGCTTATATGTGTCTTATAATAGAACAATTTATATTCCTCTGGGTATATCCCCAGTAGTGGGATTGCTGAGTCAAATGGTAGTTCTGTTTTTAGCTCTTTAAGGAACCACCACACTGCTTTCCACAGTGGTTGAACTAATGTCGTACAAGCAGTAGCATTTAGTTTCAGGTAAAGCACACAGGAGTAACGGTTCAGGACAATTAGTCTGCATATGCTATGCATAGGTAGTACATGTAAGATTGGTACATGCCCCTTTACTTGTAGACATAAAGTTTTTATCTGACTAAAAATAAAACAAGGCAAAATCAGGTTTTTATTTTTATTTTTATTTATTGTTTGGTTGCTTGTCTTGCTCTATCACTTAGGCTGGAGTGCAGTGTCGTGATCACAGCTCAATGCAGCGTCCACCTCCTGGGCTCAAGCAGTCCTTCTGCCTGAGCCTCCCAAGCAGCTGGGGCTACAGGCACATACCACCACATCTGGCTAATTTTTGTATTTTTTTGTAGAAATGGGGTTTCGCCATGTTGGCCAGGCTGGTCTCAAACTTTTGGCCTTGGGATCCTCCCACTTCAACCTCCCAAAATACTGGGACTACAGGTGTGAGCCACCACTCCTGTCTAAAATCAGTTTTTGTTTTTCCACTAAATTTTGCCTTTTTAGGTAGAGGCCTATGCTAGTTGTATTCTACAAGGTAAAAAAAAAAAAAAAATTAGTTGGAAGTCCAGTTGCTAGGTATATCTTATAAGGCAAAAATTCTAGTAATTCTTAGTAGCTAATAGACTGAATTCTGGTCTGAGGCTATTGGTAATAAAAGATCAAAGACTCTTTTCTTTCATCTATAAGACATGCTTTTTCTCCAGAGCCTTCACAGATACTATGGATTAACTTCAGGTTTGGCTAATTTGAAGGAAACTCCAGTCCAGCTTTTTATTAACAGATACCATACCAAATAGTTCCTACCAAAGGGTCAATGTAGTTGGATAACTCTGAGGGGAAGGCAAACTATGTTTTAATTATGAAACCATTGATGATTTGGAGTTCTAGGTGAGGGCCAGTTAATCTTGGTAGAATCCATGGAGAACATTTTCCCTGCTCTGCTTATTCTGATTACAATTAAACAGTTTTGTCTTCCTGTGTATAAAATTTTACCAGAAGAAACAAAACCCATACAACATAATATTCAAATGTGAGAAAACTGAAAGCACAGGCCCTGTGCTTCTCAAACTGGCATCTAGATATCATTACCACACTTCATTCTTCTTAACTGAGGATAAACATTCCACTTCCTAAGAGCATCACTTTCCCTTGATACTTACAATGTAAAACTTTATTTTCATCTGGAAACAAAAATGCATATATCTTGTAGTAGAAAAAAATATTCTTACATAAAAATATGCTGTTAATATGCAATGATTTTCTATTGTTTTAAAATAATCTAGTAAATTTTTTAAATTTTTGTTTTAATTTTTATTATTATACTATTAATTGTTATAACCACACAAGCAAGCTCTTTGGAGTCCTGAATACTTTCTAAAAGCATAAAGAGGTACTGAAATCATAAAGTTTGACAACTACTAGAAAAAGACTACTCCCTACCAACTAAACTGGCATTTAAAAAAATTCTTACAACCTTGTTCATGGACAATATCTGTAACTTCTTGTTTCAGTTTGATTTTTACAGCTGGACGCAGTAGCTCATGCCTATCATCCTAGCACTTTGGGAGGCCTAGGTGGGTGGATGTCTTGAGTCTAGGAGCTCAAGACCAGCCTGAGCAACATGGTGAAACCCCCATCTCTACAAAAAATACAAAAATTAGCCGTGCATGGTGGCATGTGCCTGTGGTCCCAGCTACTCAGGAGGCTAAGGCAGGAGGATTGCTCGAGCCCAAGAGGTAGAGGTTGTAGTGAGCCAAGATTGTGCCACTGTGCTCCAGGCTGGGTGACAGAGTGAGATCCTGTCTCCAAAACAGAAGAAAAATCTTACTGATTTTCACTTTTTATTTTCTTTCAGTTCTGCACAGAGTTCAGATAAAACAAAGACCTGGATTGGGAATGGAAAATAAGGAGACAGATGAGCATACTTCCATTATAAGGGGTTAATGGAAAGTATTAGGAAAACTCAGAGAATGTCTTTTGTTTCTATGATTCTGACTTAAAGAAGTAGGATTTTGGCTGGGCACGGTGGCTCACGCCTGTAATCCCAGCACTTTGAGAGGCCGAGGCGGTCAGATCATGAGGTCAGGAGGTCAAGACCATCCTGGCTAACAGTGAAACTCCATCTCTACTAAAAATACAAAAAAAAGAAAAAATTAGTAAGGCATGGTGGCAGGCGCCTGTAGTCCCAGCTACTCAGGAGGCTGAGGCAGGAGAATGGTGTGAACCCGGGAGGCAGAGCTTGCAGTGAGCCGAGATTGCACCACTGCACTCCAGCCTGGGCAACAGAGCAAGACTCCGTCTCAAACAAACAAACAAACAAAAGAAGTAAGATGTTAAGCTTAGTATATGTTGAACATTGTTTTTCTTTGAAAACATTTTCTTTTTTTTTTTCTAGTTGGATTTTCACTCTGTTGCCCAGGCTGGAGTACAGTGGTGTGATCTTGGCTCACTGCAACCTTCGCCTGCCGGGTTCAAATGATTCTCCTGCCTCAGCCTCCTGAGTAACTGGGATTACAGGCATGTGCCACCACGCCTGGCTAATTTTTGTATTTTTAGTAGAGACGAGGTTTCACTATGTTGGCCAGGCTGGTCTTGAACTCCTGACCTCAGGTGATCCATCTGAGTGTTGGGATTACAGCAGGTGTGAGCCACCACTCCCGGCCTTTTTTTGTTTGTTTGCTTGTTTGTTTGAGACAGAGTCTCACTTCGTTACCCAGGTTGGAGTGCAGTGGTACAGTCATGGCTCACTGCAGCCTCAACCTCCTGGGTTCAAGTGATCCTCCTGCCTCAGCCTCCTGAGTGGCTGAGACTACAGGCGTTCACCACCACGCCTGGCTAATTTAGATTTTGTAGAGATGGGAGTCTCACTATGTTGCTCAGGCTGGTCTTGAACTCCTGGTCTCAAGCAATACTCTCACCTCAAGCTACCAAATTGCTGAGATTACAGATGTGAGCCACCATGCCCAGCCTACTTTTTAAAAAAATTTTTTTCCTTTCTTTTTTTAATGCTAATGCATTTCCTGTTTTTAATAGAAGTCATGGGGAAATTATTTTGCTTATAAGTCATAGGGAAATTATTTTGCTTATATTTACTTTGCTTCTAACCCTTCAGGGATGGTATTTTGTATATAAATACATACATACATATATATATTTAAATATATTTATTATTTTTTGGAGGGTAGAGACAGTCCTGCTATGTTGCTCAGGCTGGTCTCAGATTCCTGGCCTCAAGTGATTCCCCTGCCTTGGCTTCCCAAAGTGCTGGGATTACAGGCATGAGCCACTGTGCCTGGCCCTATATATATATTTTAAAGTGAGATAAGTAATCCGATGATATTAAAACTTCTATTCAGACTTTCTGATATGATAAAAGAAGAAAGATTGCTTTTGAGAATGAATACCCATTTCATTTTTTCTGAAAGAACTTAAAAAATATCATTGCTAGTTGCAAGAATAAATATCTCAGTAAACCTCTCATGATTCCATGTGGACACTTGGCATTTATTCCACCATTAATTGGGAAATTGTCTGTGGATACATTTCTTTGCATTTCAAGGTTATGAGTTTTGTTTGTTTTGTTTTGTTTTTAGAGACTGAGTCTTGCTCTGTCACCCAGACTGGAGCACAGTGGCTCAGTTATAGCTCACTGCAGCCTCAAACTTCTGTGTTCAAATGATCTCCTGCTTCAGCCTCCCAAGTAGCTAGAACTACAGGTGCACCCCACCAAACTTGTCTAATTTTTAAAATTTTCTGTAGAGATAGGATCTCACTATGTTGCCCAGGCTGGTCTCAAACTCCAAGCCTCAAATGATCCTCCTGCCTTGGCCTCCCAAAGCGCTGGGATTGTAGGCGGGAGGCACGGCACCTGGCCAAGATGAATATTTTATATTTTAGCTAAGCTGCCATTTTATTCATGAACATTAAGTTTAGGGCATCAGAACATCTGGAAACTGGAGTTAGCTTTTGAATAAAGCCACTCTTCTCTTCCAGAATCAGTAACTTAACATTTTTCCTATTTGTGAAAATGGGAGTCACCACAAAAAAATGCCAGTGTCAATGAGTACTAGTTGGGAGAAGAACAGAGTGGAGGGAAAGTATAAGAGCGTATAAAAGAAAAAGAAAAAGTGAGGAGTAGTGATGGTAGAGTCTTTTAGTAACATGCAGTGAGAATATTTAAAATAATTTAGGGCCAGTATAGGCTTTAGGAGCTAATTAACAAGGCCAGCAAATAAGGCCAGCAGATCTCTACTGTGATTTGTTAGTTAGCTGGTTAGTCCCTTCAGGCAGCATCACCAGAATGCTATTGGGTAGTGTTGAGAAGAGAGTGAGAGAATATTTGTTGATCATACCAGCCATATCAGACGCTGGTTTGAGTGCTTTGCTTAACTTTTTTGAGACAGGGTCTTGCTCTGTTACCCAGACTGGAGTGCAGTGGCACAATCTCGGCTCACTGCAGCCTTGACCTCCTGGGCTCAAGCAATCCCCCCACCTTAGCCTCCCAAGTAGCTGGAACTGCAGGCATGCACCACCACACCCGGCTAATTTTTGTATTTTTTGTAATGACAGGGCTTTGTCGTGTTGCCCAGGCCGGTCTGAAACCTCAGAGCTCAAGCAATCCACCCGCCTCAGCCTCCCAAAGCGCTGAGATTACAGGCATGAGCCACTATGCCTGGCTGGCTTAGTTTAAAAAAAAAAAAAAACTTGTAAATTTTGGAATAAGTTTAGAGTTACAGAAAAGTTGCAAAGATAATATAAAGCGTCCTCATGCACCCCTTACCCCATTTCATTCCCCCCCCCATTATCACTGTACAGTATTATACTATACAGTACTGCTTGGTTGCTTTTAATCCTCACAAACAACACTTGAAAGAAGTTACTCACTTTCTAGAAATGGGGTTTCACTGTGTTTCCCAGATTGGTCACGAACTTCTTTTTCACAAGAAGAAACTTAAGCCACGTTGTGAGGAATAATTTATCTGTTCTTTCAACAAATATTTGAGTTGAATGTGCATATTATGTGGCAGGCATGATTTTAGGGTGGCCATGGGAATACACTGGTAAGTAAGATGGTATGCCTGCTTTCACGGCGTTGTAATATTTATATAATTTATTCTGTGTAATACTTCATTGAACTAATTTCCTTTTTGTTTCTCTAGGTAGTCATTATAGGAAAAATGCTGAAATGTTTTATCTCATGTGTAAAGTAATATTGAATATCCCCTGTCCTCACCATCACCCCTGCCCCCACAAGACGTGCTTCCTCAAAATTTTGAGATCTAGTTAACTCCATATCTCTACACTTAGAGACCTGTACAAAATGCTTTGTAATGTTAACAGTGCCAATTTGCATTTCTGATTATCTGTATGCCCAGTTATATTTATTGCTGTTTATATGTCATCCTCTAAACATCATTTGTAATCTTATAACCTATGCTATATGGGCTCTGTACATAGTACAGGTTATATGAAAATATAGTTTTCAGCATCAAAAGAACTCTGGGTTGGAATTTTCAGTGAAGTAGCCTGTAACTCCTGTTAACAGTAATGGGAGTTCCATGACTACCTCACCATACCCCTTGCTGAAAATGCTACTATTCCTGAGGGAGTCACTGACCTTTGCATCCATTGTAGAGGTATGGGAGGAGCAAGGTGGGAGAAATACCTTAAAAGTAATAGGTTTGCCACACAGAGACAAAAGAATAATCAGAGCACTTAGAAGCTAGAGGAAGCTTATGAAAGAATGGGGAAAAAAGTGAGCTTCTCGTTCCAGGGATCCTTCCTGTTCTCTGTTTTCAGTGTGGGCAAGCAAACCAGGGCCCTATGGACTCTAATACTAAAGAATGAATTATAGACCTGAATAGTAATGTGATAGGGCTAGTGATTTCATCAGTGACCACGGTCCTTGTCATTGCTTTTTAGATGTATGTGTGTATTTGGGTGTGCCAATGTATTAAATAACTTATTTGTTTTAAAACATAAATTGTGTTTTTTCAAAAATACTCATGATGAATTTGGCAGTATGAGAAATGCACTTTATATATATATATTTCTGCAGTCGTAGTAATTGAATAAACAAATAGGTTACATCATTAATTTTTGCAGTCATCCCATGTACTATCACTCTTAGTTTGGTCCTTTTCCATCAATCTTTTAGACCTTTACTCAAATTATTATATTAAAAAAATAGAATTTTTTTAAATGCTAAGTAATGATGGTATTTATAAAAAGTTGCTTACTTTATTCCACATTTGGTTTTAAGTTTTTTTGTTTCGTTTTGTTTCTAAGAGTCAGTCTCTCTATGTCGCCCAGCCTGGTGTCCTCCCACCTAAGCCTCTCAAGTAGCTGGAACTACAGGCCTGCACCACCGCACCTGACTGAAAACACTGATTTTTTTTCACTTTTCTCTCCAAACTTGTTTTTCCATTTTTCTTCCAGCCTCTTATAGTTCATTTTCATATATTAGTTTTTATTACTTTGTAAAGGCAGTCGATTTCTTTTTGTTCTAATTTATATTTTTTCAGAAATTAGATTTTAATCTTGATATTTTTTAGTTTTGTTTAATGCCTACCTATTATAAATTAGAGATTTCTATGCCTTACTTGTCAATGGGAAATGTTATACCACTATTAAGATTAAAAAGCATAGTAATGAATATTTTTACAGATGTATTTGTTGTTCCTCCAGACCAATATCTAAGCTTCAATGCAAAGCTCAGTTTGATTTTAGAAATATTTCACATGTTCTCATACTTCCTTATCCAAACATTCTGAAGAGTTTCTATGCTTTTCATGTCCTCTGCCTCTCAACTGTACTTTTATGACATTAATGTCCTTAGAGTTGTAGTGTTGGACTAGTTTTCCAGAATCTCATGGTCTTTTTAAAACTTATTTTGATTCCATACTGTTAGCTTTAGATTTTTCCCAAGTTCACTAAATGGGATCCTTCAGGGAGGTGAAATTGTAGTTCATGGGAAAATCATGAGACATCATTCAGTCTGTGCTTAAGTATGCAACATGGTCCGGCATTTCGGTGAGGACAAATGAAATATCTCTTAGCTTCAAGGTAAAAAGTCGACCATTCTCTTGATATTCCAGTAAATACCAAGCTACAAACAACCAGACACCACAAGGAAATGTAGACATTGTACTACACTATGAGAAAAGTTCAAAGATGGGCTATTGTCTTTAATTTACATGAAGATTTATGTGACAGAAATGTATCTGGAGGAGATGGACATCCTCCAAAGAATGTGTCTTCTACCTAAGAATACTGTTTGCCATTGACAGTAAATAGCAACTTTGACCTAGTTGTGTGTGGCCTAACATGAAACAGAGAGTTAGTAATTATCTGTAAATCTGGATTGTCATCTGGATCATTTGTGGTATCAGTCTATTTTTTATTCTCCTACCACTGGGGCATGACCCTTGTGCAGGTGACAGGATTTGCATTTTTGTTAACTTGTGACTTCTAAGAAATCCCCTTTTTTACAAAGGGAAAATTTAAGGTCTCCCATATTGTCTTATATGCTGAATACTGCTCCTTGAGTTTAGATTGCCAATTTTGGCCTAATGGTTTTATCTTCCAGAGATCTCAAAAGCAAATAATTCTGCTGCCATTTTTCTTAAATGCCTTTCAAATATTTGGTTGGAAACAGAAGACTTCTCTCTTACTCATCTGGGTAAAACTCATTTACTGTTTTTCCTTTTAAACTGTTAGCTCAAGTGACCTTACACACAAGTCCCAGCTGTGCATTAGCATTGCTTGGGGATGTGTTTGTATCTTTTGTCTAAAAATACCCAGCCGGCAGGATTCATGATCCATGAAAGCTAATTGAAACAATTTCTCTTCAAGTTTTGGCAAGCGAAGCATGCATTATAAGCATTAATATCTATAAATTGAATTGTTAATGAATCTGGACACTAATAATGAATGCAATTTTGCAGGCTTAACTAGAAACACTAAAATTATCAGGATCTGCAGCAGAAATTTCAATCATTTTGCCTATTAAATAGCAAAGCTATGCTTTTAATAAGCTAATCATTTTTATTTGACCCCATAGGAATAGCTCAGTTGATTAGAAACAGGTTTCCTAGCGCAAAACAATGTTGTTTTTCTCTTACTGTTTTAACCACCAAAGCACTGAAATTTTAAGATGGATATTTCATCTCATACTCTGTGTCTTTTAATCACATTTGTACTTGTACTCAGTGTTTCCAGAGATATTTACTTATTCCATTTCTCCTCTATTAGGCTGTATCTCTCATTCATATATATGTATATAGAGATGGATAGATACTGAAGTTTTTAGAATAATGTCACAATCATTTTTAAAACGGTCTCAATAGGACGGGTACAGTGGCTCACGCCTGTGATCCCCGTACTTTGGGAAGCCAAGGCCAGCGGATCACCTGAGGTCAGGAGTTCAAGACCAGCCTGGCCAACACGATGAAACACCGTCTCTACTAAAAATACAAAATATTAGCCAGGCGTGGTGGCACATACCTGTAATCCCAGCTACTTGGGAGGTTGAGACATGAGAATTGCTTGAACCCGGGAGGCAGATGTTGCAGTGAGCCGAGATTGCACCACTGCACTCCAGCCTGGGCGACAGAGCGAGACTCTGTCTCAAAAAAATAAAAAAGTAAAAAATAAATGGTCTTATTTCACACGTAACATTTTAAAAATTACATTATCAAGGTAATACAGTTTTGAGCTTTATGGTTGCCTTTCTGCGACTTAGGAAAGGATATATATTTCCATTTGAGTATCATCTCCTAAAACTTCCGCATAACACTAGTTTATAGAGCAGCAAAATCCCAACATTAAACAACAATGGAGTGTTTTCTCCCTAGTGCTTGAGTGACTTCGAGATCCTAAGCCATGTACTTAGAGGCACACTTAGTGCATAGTAGCTGTGCACCAAATAGTTGCCAAGTTGCCTGAGAGAGTTAATGCACCTTTCTGTGTCCTTTCACTTACTACCTGGGAATGACTTAAACACTAGGGAGAGTGAAACAGTAATAACAGGGAATATGTGGCATCTCTGTATATATTATCATGAGGTGCCTGAAATTGGAATTCAAAGTACCTTATCTGATTGTATCTTTCCCAACAAATCTTAAGGATATTGACAATTATCTGGACTTCAATTGTGGAAAAGTAAAATGCTGAAGTCTAGAAGTTGAGTCTGATAGTAAGTAGGGGTTTTTGCTTTGAAGGTTATGGGTTGGAATTTTTATGGAAGGGTAAAGGGAAAGGGTTATTAGGATTCTTTGGTATTGTTTATTTTTCTTCAGTGTTGTTGCATATTTCTTTTGACTACCAGGTTTGAGAATCTATAATTCATTTAAGGGAATGAATTCAGGAATTCATACTCACGCAGAATTCCTTAGGAATGTAGAGTATATTCATTGCATTACCATTTATATAGTCGCTTTCAGGATTTGTCAGCCAGCATAGATGTGATAATTATAGACATGCACATTTGTTTCTGATAGCTATTCACTTTACTGAACTGAAGCTTATACTTTGATTCTCTTATAAATGGCTTCATCAAATGGCAACTGAATGCTCTTAGAGCATTTTGTACTGCATTTCTCAAAATGACTGAATAGGAAAAGCTGCCTCTTCCCCCAAAACCTTCAGAGAACACTCATTTCTTACATATTAAGCTTTCACTACTTTCTGGGATTTTCAATCAAGATTTTAAAGTGTTTTTTAAATTGAATTTAGTCTTTTTTTTGTTTTTACCCTGCTATTAATAAAATTTGTGTTGATGAGTTGACTTTTTAAAAAAATCTATAAATCTGATGAAATTAGTCCTTGTATTACAGTCTTCCCTGGATTTAACTACCTATTTTTATTCCAAGGATATGTAATTTTTTTCCAAGACACAAGGTCTTGCTGTGTTGCCCTGGCTGGAGTACAGTGGTGCAATCATAGCTCAGTGCAACCTCAATCTCCTAGACTCAAGCAATCCTCCTGCCTCAGCCTCCCATGTTGCTGGGATAACGGGTATGAGCCACTATGCCCAGCCCAAGGATATGTAATAATCTAAGTTTTATCATCAAAATATTCACCAGAATTGCCTAAGTCATTTGGCAATCATTTTACATGGCTTTTTGAAGTACAGAAATAATATATACTTCTGAATAAGCAAGAGGTTTTTGTTTTTTATTTGCCATTATCTGATCAATTTCATGAAAGTTAATTCCATAGACGAGTCTTAATTGATAAGATCAATATATTGTAAGTAATTATTGATCCTCAGGATAAACCAAGTAGTCTTCTATTTTTTTTCTTACCCAAACTGATTTTTCTATATCAGTTTAGTTTTGTTTTTTTTTTTTTTTTTTTAGTTTCTATAATATCCTGGTCATGTGATAGTTACTTTAGAAAAATGACACAAAATCTTTATCATAAAATTAGTTAGGAGGTGTGCTGCAATTATCACTATAATATTTGATTTCATCCTATCTGTTTCTTGTTTCTTTTTTTTTTTTTTTTTTTTTTTTTGAGACAGAGTCTCGTTCTGTTGCCTATGCTGGAGTGCAGGGATGTGATCTCGACTCACTGCAACCTCCACCTCCTCGATTCAAGCAACTGTCCTGCATCAGATAGCTGGGATTACAGGCGCACGTTTTTGTATTTTTAGTAGAAACGGGGTTTCACCACGTTGCCCAGGCTGGTCTCCGGCTCCTGACCTTCACTGATCTTAGCCTCCCGAAGTGCTGAGATTACAGGCATGAGCCACCGTATCCAGTCCATCCTGTCTCTATGTCTAAAAAATGTTTTTTAAAATATCTGTAGTGTAATAAATAGAAGGACCAAAATATGTGTTACACTGAATGACATTCAGGGCAGGGTTGAGTTGAAAGGATATTTCTAACACAAACATTTTCCATTTTTTATGAGTGCTTTAGGAAGATAACATCCTATGAAAGAAATTAAAAGCAATAAGCCTGGGCAACATAGCAAAAACCCATTTCTTTTTCTATTTTTTTTTTTTTTTCAGGCAAAGTCTCACTCTGTCACCTAGGCTGGAGTGCAGTGGCACAATCTTGGCTCACTGCAACCTCTGCCTCCTGGGTTTAAGTGATTCTCCTGCCTCAGCCTCCTGAGTAGCTGGGGTTACAGGCACATACCACCACGCCTGGCTAATTTTTGTATTTTTTTTTATCATACTTTAAGTTCTAGGGTACATGTGAACAACGTGTAGATTAGTTACATATGTATACATGTGCCATGTTGGTGTGCTGCACCCATGAACTCATCATTTACATTAGTTATATCTCCTAATGCTATCCCTCCCCCCTCTCCCCACCCCACAACAGGCCTCGGTGTGTGATGTTCCCCTTCCTGTGTCCATGTGTTCTCATTGGTTAATTCCCACCTATGAGTGAGAGCATGCAGTGTTTGGTTTTTTCGCCTTGCGAAAGTTTGCTGAAAATGATGGTTTCCAGCTTCATCCATGTCCCTACAAAGGACATGAACTCATCATTTTTTATGGCTGCATAGTATTCCATAGTGTATATGTGCCACATTTTCTTAATCCAGTCTATCGTTGTTGGACATTTGGGTTGGTTCCAAGTCTTGCTATTGTGAATAGTGCCACAATAAACATATGTGTGCATGTGTCTTTATAGCAGGATGATTTATAATCCTTTGGGTATATACCCAGTAATGGGATGGCTGGGTCAAATGGTACTTCTAGTTCTAGATCCCTGAGGAATCGCCACACTGACTTCCACAATGGTTGAACTAGTTTACAGTCCCACCAACAGTGTAAAAGTGTTCCTATTTCTCCACATCCTCTCAGCACCTGTTGTTTCCTGACTTTTTTCATGATTGCCATTCTAACTGGTGTGAGATGGTATCTCTTTGTGGTTTTGATTTGCATTTCTCTGATAGCCAGTGATGACGAGCATGTTTTCATGTGTCTGTTGGCTGCATAAATGTCTTCTTTTGAGAAGTGTCTGTTCATATCCTTCGCCCACTTTTTGATGGGGTTGTTTGTTTTTTTCTTGTAAATTTGTTTGAGTTCATTGTAGATTCCGGATATTAGCCCTTTGTCAGATGAGTAGATTGCAAAAATTTTCTCCCATTCTGTAGGTTGCCTGTTCACTCTGATGGTAGTTTCTTTTGCTGTGCAGAAGCTCTTTAGTTTAATTAGATCCCATTTGTCAATTTTGGCTTCTGTTGCCATTGCTTTTGGTGTTTTAGACATGAAGTCCTTGCCCATGCCTTTGTCCTGAATAGTATTGCCTAGGTTTTCTTCTAGGGTTTTTATGGTTTTAGGTCTAACATTTAAGTCTTTAATCCACCTTGAATTAATTTTTGTATAAGGTGTAAGGAAGGGATCCAGTTTCAGCTTTCTACATATGGCTAGCCAGTTTTCCCAGCACCATTTATTAAATAGGGAATCCTTTCCCCATTGCTTGTTTTTCTCAGGTTTGTCAAAGATCAGATAGTTGTAGGTATGCAGCGTTATTTCTGAGGGCTCTGTTCTGTTCCATTGATCTATATCTCTGTTTTGGTACCAGTACCATGCTGTTTTGGTTACTGTAGCCTTGTAGTATAGTTTGAAGTCAGGTAGTGTGATGCCTCCAGCTTTGTTCTTTTGGCTTAGGATTGACTTGGCGATGCGGGCTCTTTTTTGGTTCCATATGAACTTTAAAGTAGTTTTTTCCAATTCTGTGAAGAAAGTCATTGGTAGCTTGATGGGGATGGCATTGAATCTGTAAATTACCTTGGGCAGTATGGCCATTTTCACGATATTGATTCTTCCTACCCATGAGCATGGAATGTTCTTCCATTTGTTTGTATCCTCTTTTATTTCCTTGAGCAGTGGTTTGTAGTTCTCCTTGAAGAGGTCC
Organism: Homo sapiens; assembly: GCF_000001405.40. Lineage (NCBI taxonomy): Eukaryota > Metazoa > Chordata > Mammalia > Primates > Hominidae > Homo > Homo sapiens. The sequence continues at coordinate 72,585,232 of NC_000016.10, read as the reverse complement.
TTCACATCCCTTGTAAGTTGGATTCCTAGGTATTTTATTCTCTTTGAAGCAATTGTGAATGGGAGTTCACTCATGATTTGGCTCTCTGTTTGTCTGTTGTTGGTGTATAGGAATGCTTGTGATTTTTGTACATTGATTTTGTATCCTGAGACTTTACTGAAGTTGCTTATCAGCTTAAGGAGATTTTGGGCTGAGACCATGGGGTTTTCTAGATAAACAATCATGTCGTCTGCAAACAGGGACAATTTGACTTCCTCTTTTCCTAATTGAATACCCTTTATTTCCTTCTCCTGCCTGATTGCCCTGGCCAGAACTTCCAACACTATGTTGAATAGGAGCGGTGAGAGAGGGCATCCCTGTCTTGTGCCAGTTTTCAAAGGGAATGCTTCCAGTTTTTGCCCATTCAGTATGATATTGGCTGTGGGTTTGTCATAGATAGCTCTTATTATTTTGAAATACGTCCCATCAATACCTAATTTATTGAGAGTTTTTAGCATGAAGGGTTGTTGAATTTTGTCAAAGGCTTTTTCTGCATCTATTGAGATAATCATGTGGTTTTTGTCTTTGGCTCTGTTTATATGCTGGATTACATTTATTGATTTGCGTATATTGAGCCAGCCTTGCATCCCAGGGATGAAGCCCACTTGATCATGGTGGATAAGCTTTTTGATGTGCTGCTGGATTCGGTTTGCCAGTATTTTATTGAGGATTTTGGCATCAATGTTCATCAAGGATATTGGTCTAAAATTCTCTTTTTTGGTTGTGTCTCTGCCCGGCTTTGGTATCAGAATGATGCTGGCCTCATAAAATGAGTTAGGGAGGATTCCCTCTTTTTCTATTGATTGGAATAGTTTCAGAAGGAATGGTACCAGTTCCTCCTTGTACCTCTGGTAGAATTCGGCTGTGAATCCATCTGGTCCTGGACTCTTTTTGGTTGGTAAACTATTGATTATTGCCACAATTTCAGCTCCTGTTATTGGTCTATTCAGAGATTCAACTTCTTCCTGGTTTAGTCTTGGGAGGGTGTATGTGTCGAGGAATGTATCCATTTTTTCTAGATTTTCTAGTTTATTTGCGTAGAGGTGTTTGTAGTATTCTCTGATGGTAGTTTGTATTTCTGTGGGATCGGTGGTGATATCCCCTTTATCATTTTTTATTGTGTCTATTTGATTCTTCTCTCTTTTTTTCTTTATTAGTCTTGCTAGCGGTCTATCAATTTTGTTGATCCTTTCAAAAAACCAGCTCCTGGATTCATTGATTTTTTGAAGGGTTTTTTGTGTCTCTAATTCCTTCAGTTCTCCTCTGATCTTAGTTATTTCTTGCCTTCTGCTAGCTTTTGAATGTGTTTGCCCTTGCTTCTCTAGTTCTTTTAATTGTGATGTTAGGGTGTCAATTTTAGATCTTTCCTGCTTTCTCTTGTGGGCATTTAGTGCTATAAATTTCCCTCTACACACTGCTTTGAATGTGTCCCAGAGATTCTGGTATGTTGCGTCTTTGTTCTCGTTGGTTTCAAAGAACATGTTTATTTCTGCCTTCATTTCGTTATGTACCCAATAGTCATTCAGGAGCAGGTTGTTCAGTTTCCATGTAGTTGTGCGGTTTTTAGTGAGTTTCTTAATCCTGGGTTCTAGTTTGATTGCACTGTGGTCTGAGAGACAGTTTGTTATAATTTCTGTTCTTTTACATTTGCTGAGGAGTGCTTTACTTCCAACTATGTGGTCAATTTTGGAATAGGTGTGGTGTGGTGCTGAAAAGAATGTATATTCTGTCGACTTGGGGTGGAGAGTTCTGTAGATGTCTGTTAGGTCCGCTTGGTGCAGAGCTGAGTTCAATTCCTGGGTATCCTTGTTAACGTTCTGTCTCGTTGATCTGTCTAATGTTGACAGTGGGGTGTTAAAGTCTCCCATTATTATTGTGTGGGAGTCTAAGTCTCTCTGTAGGTCTCTAAGGACTTGCTTTATGAATCTGGGTGCTTCTGTATTGGGTGCATATATATTTAGGATAGTTAGCTCTTCTTGTTGAATTGATCCCTTTACCATTATGTAATGGCCTTCTTTGTCTCTTTTGATCTTTGTTGGTTTAAAGTCTGTTTTATCAGAGACTAGGATAGCAACCCCTGACTTTTTTTGTTTTCCATTTGCTTGGTAGATGTTCCTCCATCCCTTTATTTTGAGCCTATGTATGTCTCTGCACATGAGATGGGTTTCCTGAATACAGCACACTGATGGATGGGTCTTGACTCTTTATCCAGTTTGCCAGTCTGTGTCTTTTAACTGGAGCATGTAGCCCATTTACATTTAAGGTTAATATTGTTATGTGTGAATTTGATCCTGTCATTATGATGTTAGCTGGTTGTTTTGCTCGTTAGTTGATGCAGTTTCTTCCTAGCCTCGATGGTCTTTACAATTTGGCATGTTTTTGCAGTGGCTGGTACCGGTTGTTCCTTTCCATGTGTAGTGCTTCCTTCAGGAGCTCTTTTAGGGCAGGCCTGGTGGTGACAAAATCTGTCCGCATTTGCTTGTCTGTAAAGGATTTTATTTCTCCTTCATTTATGAAGCTTAGTTTGGCTGGATATGAAATTCTGGGTTGAAAATTCTTTTCTTTAAGAATGTTGAATATTGGTCCCCACTCTCTTCTGGCTTGTAGAGTTTCTGTCGAGAGATCCGCTGTTAGTCTGATGGGCTTCCCTTTGTGGGTAACCCGACCTTTCTCTCTGGCTGCCCTTAACATTTTTTCCTTCATTTCAACTTTGGTGAATCTGACAATTAGGTGTCTTGGAGTTGCTCTTCTTGAGGAGTATCTTTGTGGCATTCTCTGTATTTACTGAATTTGCATGTTGGCCTGCCTTGCTAGATTGGGGAAGTTCTGCTGGATAATATCCTGCAGAGTGTTTTCCAACTTGGTTGCATTCTCCCTGTCACTTTCAGGTACACCAATCAGACGTAGATTTGGTCTTTTCACATAGTCCCATATTTCCTGCAGGCTTTGTTGGTTTCTTTTTATTCTTTTTTCTCTAAACTTCTCTTCATGCTTCATTTCATTCATTTGATCTTCCATTACTGATACCCGTTCTTCCAGTTGATCCAATCAGCTACTGAGGCTTGTGCATTCGTCATATAGTTCTCGTGCCATGGGTTTCAGCTCCATCAGGTCCTTTAAGGACTTCTCTGCATCGGTTATTCTAGTTAGCCATTCGTCTAATTTTTTTCCAAGGTTTTTAACTTCTTTTCCATGGGTTCAGACTTCTTCCTTTAGCTCAGAGTAGTTTGATCGTCTGAAGCCTTCTTCTCTCAACTCGTCAAAGTCATTCTCCATCCAACTTTGTTCCATTGCTGGTGAGGAGCTGCGTTCCTTTGGAGGAGGAGAGGCGCTCTGGTTTTTAGAGTTTCCAGTTTTTCTGCTCTGTTTTTTCCCCATGTTTGTGGTTTTATCTACCTTTGGTCTTTGATGGTGACATACAGATGGGATTTTGGTGTGGATGTCCTTTCTGTTTGTTAGTTTTCCTTCTGACAGTCAGGATCCTCAGCTGCACGTCTGTTGGAGTTTTCTGGAGGTCCACTCCAGACCCTGTTTGCCTGGGTATCAGTAGCAGAGCCTGCAGAACAGCGGATATTGGTGAACAGCAAATGTTGCTGCCTGATCATTCCTCTGGAAGTTTTGTCTCAGAGGAGTACCCGGCCATGTGAGGTGTCAGTCTGCCCCTACTGGGGGCTGCCTCCTAGTTAGGCTAGTCAGGGGTCAGGGACCCACTTGAGGAGGCAGTCTGTCCGTTCTCATATCTCCACCTGCGTGCTGGGAGAACCACTGCTCTCTTCAAAGCTGTCAGACAGGGACATTTAAGTCTGCAGAGGTTTCTGCTGCCTTTTGTTTGGCTGTGTCCTGCCCCCAGAGGTGGAGTGTACAGAAGCAGGCAGGCCTCCTTGAGCTTTGGTGGGCTCCGCCCAGTTTGAGCTTCCCGGCCGCTTTGTTTACCTACTCAAGCCTTGGCAATGACAATGACGGGCACCCCTACACCAGCCTCACTGCCGCCTTGCAGTTTGATCTCAGACTGCTGTGCTACCAATGAGCGAGGCTCCATGGGCATAGGACCCTCCGAGCCAGGCACGGGATATAATCTCTTGGTGTGCCGTTTGCTAAGACCGTTGGAAAAGTGCAGTATTAGGGTGGGAATGACCCGATTTTCCAGGTGCCGTCTGTCACCCCTTTCTTTGACTAGGAAAGGGAATTCCCTGACCCCTTGTGCTTCCCGGGTGAGGTGATGCCTCGCCTTGCTTCTGCTCCCTCTTGGTGCGCTGCACCCACTGTCCTGTACCCACTGTCCGACACTCCCCAGTGAGATTAATCCGGTACCTCAGTTGGAAATGCAGAAATCACCCGTCTTCTGCTCTGATGCTGGGAAATGTAGACTGGAGCTGTTCCTATTCAGCCATCTTGGCTCCACCCTCCCCTAATTTTTGTATTTTTAGTAGAGATGAGATTTACACCATGTTGGTCAGGCTGGTCTCGAACTCCTGACCTGGTGATCCACCCGCCTCAGCCTCCCAAAATGCTGGGATTACAGGCATGAGCCACCGCGCTTGTTGCAAAAACCCATTTCTACAAAAAAAAAAAAAAAATTAGCCTTGCCAGTCCTGGCTATTCTGCATGCTGGGCAGGAAGATCACTTGAGCCTAGGTGTTTAAGGCTACAGTGAGCTATGATTGAGCCACTGTACATCAACCTGGGTGAGGGTGACAGGGTGAAACCTTGTCTCTTAATAAATAAACAAAAAGCAATCAAACATGAATATAAGAACAATTCTTACCGGGTGAAGAGGCTTATGCCTGTTATCCCAGCACTCGGCGAGGCCGAGGCAGGAGGATCGCTTGAGCACAGGAGTTCCAGTCTAGCCCTGACAACGTAGCAAGGCCCTGTCTCTACAAAAAATTAAAATATTGGCTGGGCACAGCCAGGCGCAGTGGCTCACTCCTGTAATCCCAGCACTTTGGGAGGCTGAGGCAGGTGGATCACGAGGTCAGGAGATCTAGACCATCCTGGCTAACGTGGTGAAACCCCTTCTCTACTAAAAATACAAAAAATGAGCCTGGTGTGGTGGCTGGCACCTATAGTCCCAGCTACTCGAGAGGCTAGGGCAGGAGAATGGCCTGAACCCGAAGGTGGAGCTTACAGTGAGCTGAGATCGCACCACTGCACTCCAGCCTGGGCGACAGAGGGAGACTCATCTCAAAAAAAAAAAAAAATATTGGCCAGGCGCAGTGACTCACACTTGTAATCCCAGCAATTTGGATGGCCTAGGCGTGTGGATCACATGAGGTCAGGAATTCAAGACCAGCCTGGCCAACATGGTAAAACCCTGTCTCTACTAAAACTGCAAAAATTAGCCAGGTGTGGTGGTGGCTGCCTGTAATCCCAGCTACTCAGGAGGTTGAGGCAAGAGAATGGCTTGAACCCAGGAGACTGAGGTTGCAGTGAGCTGAGATCCCGCCACTGCACTCCAGGCTGGGCGACAAGAGCGAAACTCCATCTGAAAACAACAACAAATTACCTGGGCGTGATGGCACATGCCTGTAGTCCCAGCTACTTGGAAGTGGCTGAGGTGGGAGGATGGCTTAAGCCTGGAAGGTTGAGCCTGCAGTGAATTGTGATTGTGCCACTGCACTCCAGCCTGGGCAATAAAATGAGACCCTGTCTCAAAAAAACAGAAACCCAAAAGAACAATTCCTTTGCAAACTTAATTCTTGACCATCATCTTAAAATATTCCTTTCAGTTAAAATAACAAGATTTAAGCCTCGTTAGTTTTAGAAGTCTATTCTGTAATTCTCATTATGAAATTGCAACAACAGGAATGATTTTATGCCAACTCCCAAGCTAATACCTAAAAGTCATATGATTAGGCATAGCCAAGACTCAGAATTATTCTCTTTAAATCTTCCCTTTGCTCCTCACAGTATCTTCTTATACTCATGTAAGACAAGAGATCAATGGAAATGTTCACATTGTTGAGAAACCCAGCCATCCAAACACATACTAGGATGGGTAAATTATGGGACTTTGAAATTATGTAATACCATCTATTCTTAGAAGTTAACTTAGAAGTGCCTTGAGGGCATTATGTTTCTTATGTCACCTTTTTCTGTCATTATGACCACCCATTAGCCTCTTTTGCATTATGGTGCAGGATTTTATTGTGGGTTCTAAGACTATATCAATTACAACTTCATCTTAACTGCTGTGGATTAATGTTATATTTTCTTATTAAACAAGTAGTTCAGAAGTAGTTAAGCACTAATTAGCTATTTGAGAGAGTCATCAAGGACCCAGTTTCTCTCTGACAGCTTCCTGTTTTTCTATCTTTAATGGGTAACTTTTGTTCTTCTAGTCAAAAAATGGTTGTTCCGACTGCAGACATTACATCCACATCTCAGGTAATAAGGAGGGAAAAATAACAAAGGCAAAAGGCAGAAATCTTCTTGCTAAGCTATATGTTTACTAGGAAAGAGAAACCCTCCTCAAGGGCTTTCATTTATTTCTCATTAGCTAATACTGTTACCTGGTTACCTTTGTGAGGGAATATGAGATGGTGAAATTAAAAATATATATATATTTTTACATGTTTTTTTAGTAGCCAAGACATTCTTAAGCTTAAAATATCAGAGTGTGAAAGAGTTTATGGTGAAAATCTCACTTTTGTATCCACATCCCTGTCATTCTGTATCTTGCCTTACCTACCCTCCTCACAACAAATTACCACTGGTATTAATCTCTTTTTTAATCCTTCTAGAGATTTAAAAATGTATATGCAAGCACATCAAATATGTATTCTTCCCCCCTACTTTTTTTTTTTTTTTTTTAACATAAATGGTATACACAGTGAGTATCTTTAACCGGGCACAGAGCAGTCTCGACCAAAACAAACCGAGCAAGAGCTTGTTTTCTGTGTTTGTTGTTGTTGTTGTTGTTGCTTTGGAGATGGAGTTTCGCCCTTGTTGCCCAGGCTGAAGTACAATGGCGCAATCTGGGCTCACTGCAACCTCTGCCTCCTAGGTTCAAGCGATTCTCCTGCCTCAGCCTCCTGAGTAGCTGGTATTACAGGCATGCACCACCACGCCCGGCTAATTTTGTATTTTCAGTAGAGACAGGGTTTCACCATGTTGGTCAGACTGGACTCGAACTCCCGACCTTAGGTCATCCGCCCCCTGTAGCCTCCCAAAGTGCTGGGATTACAGGCATGAGCCACCACGCCCAGCCTTTTTTTCCTTTTTAAACAGGGTCTCACTCTGTTGCCCAGGCTTGAGTGAAGTGGCAGGATCTCAGTTCACTGCAACCTCTGCCTCCTGGTCTCAAGCAATCCTCCTGAGTAGCTGATACCACAGGCCGCACCACCACACCAGGCTAGTTTTTTACTTTTTTTGTAGAGACGATGTCTCACTATGTTGCCCAGGCTTTTCTCGAACTTCTGGGCTCAAGCAATCCTCCAACCTTGGCCTCCCAAAGTGCTGAGATTATAGGTGTGAGCCACCACACCTGGTAAGAGATTTTTAATAAGGAGGAAAGGAGGCTGGGTATTGGGAAGACAACTAATAATATCTGTCTGTCATGGACTGTTTTGTTTTTGCTTTTGTTTTGGTTTGACTTTAGTCCAGTAGTATCCAGACAGCAGTGAAACCATTGATTCTACTTAGCAATTGACAAAAGCTTAATGTTCTTTAAAACAGATACCTATGACTTCTGTGTAACACAGTGCCTTGTATGGAGAAGCAGATCAATAAGTGTACAAAATGGAGCCCATGGTGTCGCTTCCCCCTTAACTGCTCATCTTCAACTCAGTTAATGAAACTACTCTTTGATAAGTTATTCAGACAGAAATTAAGAGGCTATTCTTGATTCCAATCACTTCAGCCTCCAGATGCCTCTCCTTCTCTCATACAACACATCTCTTCAATCAGCAAGTCCTTTTGGCTCTACTTTCAAAAGATGTCCTCAACAGCTCACCCGCTCCACCACTACCTCAGTCCTGGGCCTGGTTGTCATACTCACTTGCCCATACTGTTGCAGTAGCTCCTTTACTTATCTCCGTACTTCCCTTCTTGCCCCCTACAGTCAATCTAACAAACAAAATGACCTTAAAAATAAATCATTTCCCTACATAAGACCCTCCAAAGGCTCCCAACTGTAATCAGAATAAAACCCAAAGACCCTACTGTGGCCCATGAGGCCCTTGGTACATCAGATGTTTGTCTACTTCGTCTCTTACTACTATAGGTGCTCTTTCTGTTTTTGAACAGCAAGCTTGTTCCTGCCCTAGTGTCATTACATTTTCAGTTCTCTTTGCCTAGAATGGCATCCCATATGCATATAAGGCCCTGTATTCAGAATTCAGTTTATTTGATACCCCCGCATGGCAACTTTAAGAAAAATCACCTATACAACCCTTCCTGCTTATACTTTATCATTTTCTATTTCATCATTGTTGTTTCCTTATAACACTCATAACTATCTAATGATAATTATTTGTATACTTGTTAATTTCTGTTTTTCCCCACTAAAACATAAGTTCCATGAGTATGAGGACTTTGGCTGTTTTTCTTTAAATTATTCAACAAATGTTTATTGAACACTTGTTATGTGCCAAATGCTAGTCTTGGTGCAGGAGTGATAACAATAAACAAAAGAAGCAAAAATTATTTCGTGGAGCTTTTATTTGTGTGTGGATGCGTGTATGTAGAGGGACAGAAAATAAAGATGTAAAATACATAGTATCTTAAGTGCTGTGAAGACAAATAAGCCAGGAAAGAGGGTGAGGACTGTCTGGATGTTGGTGGTTTTCAGTTTCTATTTGCTGTTTTTACAATAGTGCTGTATAACAAACTGCCTAAAAGTCAATGGCTTACAAACACCAGACATGTATGTTGGTTGATCTCCTAGGGTTCTATATATGTATACCAGGCTAGATAGGACTCCAGGGTATGGCTCAGGTTCAGGTGTTCTCCACATGTCTCCCATTCTTCTGGCACCAGTGGAATACCGAATTATGTTATTTTTGCATGGCCAAAAGCAGGAGTGCAAGAGACCAAGGCTAGCAGTGCAAACCATTTTAAGTCTCTGCTTGAATCATGTCTGCTAACTTCCTAGCAACCAAACAAATTGTATGGTCAAGGCTAAAGTCTAGGGGCTAGGACATACATTTGGCCACCATGACACCAGAAATGTAGATATGTGATAGTACTACACTCTGTAGTATAGAGTGAAGCATAGAGACTGATAATGTAATCCATTGTAAGGTCAGGGGAGTCCTTATTGTCATTTGAGTAAAGTGGGAGGTAAAGGAGAGGTGAAGGAGAGAATCATCTGGATATCTGGCGACAGAGGGACAGAGTGGTCCAGGCAGAGATTACAGCAAACACATCGTTTTTTGGAGATGTTTATGTCATAAAAGGGTCATTAGTTTTGGTTCTGAGTTCCCGGATAGAAACCATTAGTTAAAAAGAAGAGGCTGGGCGCGATGGCTCATTCATACCTGTAATCCCAGCACCTTGGGAGGCTGAGGTGGGCAGATCATCTGAGGTCAGGAGTTAAGAGAACAGCCTGGCCAACATGGTGAAACCCTGTCTCTACTAAAAATACAAAAAATTAGCTAGGCTTGGCCGGGTGCGGTGGCTCACGCCTATATTCCCAGCACTTAGGGAGGCTGAGATGGGCAGATCACCTGAGGTCAAGAGTTCGAGACCAGCCTGACTAACATGGTAAAACCCTGTCTCTACTCAAAATACAAAAAATTAGCCAGGCATGGTGGTGCATGCCTGTAATCCCAGCTACTCGGGATGCTGAGACAGGAGAATCACTTGAACCCGGGAGGTGGAGATTGCAGTGAGCCGAGATCATGCCACTGTACTCCAGCCTGGGTGACAGAGCAAGACTCTGTCTCAAAAAAAAAAAAAAAAAGAAAGAAAGAAAAATTAGACAGGCATAGTGGCGGGTGCCTGTTATCCCAGCTACTTGGGAAGCTAAGACAGGAGAATTGCTTGAACCCTGGAGGCTGAGGTTGCAGTGAGCTGAGATTGCACCATTGCACTCCATCCTGGGTGACAGAACAGTACTCCATCTCAAAAACAAGAAAAGAAGAAGAAAAAAGAGTTTCATACTGCCAGGAATATTTACTCTTTGTCCCAGTTAAAACCTGATGACAATATATTCGAAAGGATTTACTTTTAGAGCACTATGATCAGAAGTTGGCTTAGTTGGAAGTTGTTACTCAGGCTACAGATAATTTTTAAGGTCCTCTCTGTTCTTTCTAAACTGGATCCTGCTTCTCCCATGGGACCATCTAAGTCGACTGAAAACTGTCTTCTCAAACCCCTGCTAAGTATGTGCTCCACCAACTCTACTCTGTCCACTTCCTTCTTGTGGAACTTCACTGTCTTCTTTGGGAAACTTCAAATTTCCCCAAACTGGTTCTTTAAGACCTCTTCTTTCCATTTGCTTCTGCTTCTCTGCTCTCCTTTTGCCAACTTAGTTCTTTCATTCAGTTCCCTTGAATCATTGGTATTGTCCTATTTCAAATCCCTACCTCTTTTAGTGCACAGTTACGTTTAAGTTTTAGTCAAGTTGACCAATGTAGCTATAGTTTAATTTTCCTTTCCACTGCTATATGATGTATTTATTCTACTGTTAATGAAAAATTAGGCTTTTGCTACAAATTGTTTTTTCTTGCTACAAATAATGCTGATAAAATGTTTTTTGTATGTATATCTGATGCACACACACATCTAGTCTATATTCCATCTTTATCTGGGAGTGGACTTGCTGGGCCAGGGACTGTGTGGATCTTTAGCTTTATTAGAAATGCCAATTATTTTCTCCAAAGTGCTTATACTGATTTTTGCTTTCACTAATGATATGCATGAATTCCTCTCATTCTGACAACATCTATATTTGTTGGGATTTAAAAATATTTGTTGGCCTTGTGGTTCTGAAATGGTATCTTTTTATTTCAATTTGCAGTTACCTCATTAATAATAAGATTGAATGTCTTTTTTTTTTTTTTTTTTTTTTTGATGGAGTCTTGCTCTGTCGACTCCTGAGTTCAAACAATTCTCTTGCCTCAGCCTCCTGAGTAGCTGGGATTACAGGCGCATGCCGTCATGTCCCAGTAATTTTTGTATTTTTAGTAGAGACAGTGTTTCACCATGTTGGCTAGGCTGATCTCGAACTCCTGACCTTGTGATCCCCCCACCTGGGCCTCCCAAAGTGCTGGGATTACAGGCGTGAGCCACAGCATCGGCTGTATTGAATGTCTTTTCAAATGTTTATGGCCACTTGTGTTTTCTTTTCTCTGAACAGCTTTTTTGCCAGTTTTTCTATTCATTTTTCATTTGTTATTAAATTATGGTAGTCATTTAAATATTCTGGATGAGAATCTTTTGTTGAGTGTGTGTGTGTGTGTGTGTGTGTGTATAAAACATCTCTTAATTTGTGACTTTAAACGTTTTTTATTGTACTTTGTGATGAGTAAAAGCTCTTGATTTTAATGTAGTCCAATTTATTAATCTTTTTAAATAGTTAATGCTTTCAGTCTTTTGTGTAAGAAATCCTTTCCTGCTGTCGTATTATAAAAATTCTGTTATAAATTGTGTTTTACTGTTTTTACAGAAGAAAAATAGTACAGTATGTCTCTTACATTTAGGAATGTGCTCCACCTGGCAGTGATTTGGTGTGAAAGAGTTCTCTTGGTTCTCAGTTGCTGTACTACTACCACTATGTCTTTATCTTGGCTCAATAAGTGTTGGTGGACTGGGCGCAGTGGCTCACCCCTGTAATCCCAACACTGGGAGGCCAAGGCAGGCGGATCACAAGGTCAGGAGATCGAGACCATCCTGGCCAACATGGTGAAACCCCATCTCTACTAAAATACGAAAAATTAGCCGGGCATGGTGGCACATGCCTGTATTCCCAGCTACTCAGGAGACTGAGGCAGGGGAATTGCTTGAACCCAGGAGCCGGAGGTTGCAGTGAGCCAAGATGGTGCCACTTCACTCCAGCCTGGCGACAGAGCAAGACTCGTCTCAAAAAAAAAAAAAAAAGTGTTGGTGTTTGGAAGAGGAGTTTTGATAGGGCACATACCTTCAATTTGTCCTTCTTCGTGAGTATATTGGCCATTCCCTCCTCTTGGCTTTTTCATGTACATTTTATGGTCACTTGTCATGTTCAAGACAAAGGCTATTGAAATTTTTAAATTTATTGGTTGATTTCAGGTAGAATTGCTCTCCTTAAAACGTAGAGCCTTTAGGCCAGGCGCAGTGGCTCACACCTGTAATCCCAGCACTTTGGGAGGCCGAGGGGCGCTGATCACCAGAGGTTGGGAGCTCAAGATCATCCTGACCAACATGGAAAAACCCCATCTCTACTAAAAATACAAAATCAGCCAGTGTGGTGGCGCATGCCTGTAATGCCAGCTACTCAGGAGGCTGAGGCAGGAGAATCGCTTGAACCTAAGAGGCGAAGGTTGCGGTGAGCCAAGGTTGTGCTATTGAACTCCAGCCTCGGCAACACGAGCGAAACTTGTTCTCAAAAAAAAAAAAAAAGAAAAAGCCTTTTTATCATAAATATGCATTTATATCTTTCCATTTATTTATATCTTTTCTATTGTCTTTTAATAAAGTTTTAGAATTTTTAATCTTTTGTATATTTATTGCTGCATATGCTTTTTTGTTACATAAATGGTATTTTTTGAAATATTTTAAATATACAGATAAAAATAGAGAATAGTATAGTAAACACCTATGTGCCTAGTCCAAGCTTTGTAAAATGTTAGCACTGTGCATTATTCCCTGTTGCTGTTCCTTCTCCTCCAATTACATGTTAGAAATACAATTATTGTTCCCATTGTTTACCTCTCCTATTTCATTGTCCTCTCTCCCTCCTTCCCTAGTAGTGTTTCATGACAGATTTCCTTTTTCTTTTTTTTTTTTTTTTTTTGAGACAGGTTCTCACTTGGTCACATCGACTGGAGTGCAGTAGTGTGATCTCTGCTCACTGCCACCACCACCTCCTGGTCTCAAGCAGTCCTCCCACCTTAGCCTCCTGAGTAGCTGAGACTAGAGGTGTGCACTACCATACCCAGCTAATTTTTGTATATTTTTTTGTAGAGGTAGGGTCTCAACATATTGCCCAGGCTGATCTCGAACTCCTGGGCTCAAGTGATCCTCCTGCCTTGGCCTCCCAAAGTCCTGAGATTACTGGCATGAGCCACCTTGCCTGCCCAGAATTTTCATTCTTACACATGTTTTTATATTTCTACTATAAGTGTATTTATCTGCAAGCAGTATAAGTTACTAACTTGTATGTTTTATAACATGAATCGAATGATGTCCTTTATTAAAGCAGTAGCTTTTTTGTATCAGGAGAAAGTAGTCTTTCGGGAAAATCTTTTTACCTACACTATTGGTGACTTATTTTTCTCCGGGTTTATCACTGAAATATTCCACCTTTGGAATTTGGAACTCATGCTATTTTTTTTTTAATTTTTATTTATTTTTTTTTTAGGCATATAGGAAGCATTTAACAAATGCTTGTGGCTTTATTGATTGAACTTACAAGCTGCAGGCATACTTTTATTTATATGTAAATTTGTCTCTGCAAATTGATTTTTTTTTTAATTATTATACTTTAAGTTTTAGGGTACATGTGCACAATGTGCAGGTTAGTTACATATGTATACATGTGCCATGCTGGTGTGCTGCACCCATTAATTCATCATTTAGTGTTAGTTATATCTCCTAAAGCTATCCCTACCCGCTCCCCCAACCCCACAACAGTCCCCAGAGTGTGATGTTCCCCTTTCTGTGTCCATGTGTTCTCATTGTTCAGTTCCCACCTATAAGTGAGAATATGCAGTGTTTGGTTTTTTGTTCTTGCAGTAGTTTACTGAGAGTGATGATTTCCAATTTCATCCATGTCCCTACAAAGGACATGAACTCATCATTTTTTATGGCTGCATAGTGTTCCATGGTGTATATGTGCCACATTTTCTTAATCCAGTCTATCATTGTTGGACATTTGGGTTGGTTCCAATTCTTTGCTATTGTGAATAGTGCCGCAATAAACATACGTGTGCATGTGTCTTTATAGCAGCATGATTTATAGTCCTTTGGGTATATACCCAGTAATGGGATGGCTGGGTCAAATGGTATTTCTAGTTCTAGATCCCTGAGGAATCGCCACACTGACTTCCACAATGGTTGAACTAGTTTACAGTCCCACCAACAGTGTAAAAGTGTTCCTATTTCTCCACATCCTCTCCAGCACCTGTTGTTTCCTGACTTTTTAATGATCGCCATTCTAACTGGTGTGAGATGGTATCTCATTGTGGTTTTGATTTGCATTTCTCTGATGGCCAGTGATGGTGAGCATTTTTTCATGTGTTTTTTGGCTGCATAAATGTCTTCTTTTGAGAAGTGTCTGTTCATGTCCTTCTCCCACTTTTTGATGGGGTTGTTTGTTTTTTTCTTGTAAATTTGTTTGAGTTCATTGTAGATTCTGGATATTAGCCCTTTGTCAGATGAGTAGGTTGCGAAAATTTTCTCCAATTTTGTAGGTTGCCTGTTCACTCTGATGGTAGTTTCTTTTGCTGTGCAGAAGCTCTTTAGTTTAATTAGATCCCATTACTCATGCTATTTTTATTTTCGAGAAAGAAAATAGATTTTCTTTTTCCCTACAGAGGGGAAGGTATAAAATTTTCAAATGGAGGAGTATACCTGAACCTAATCATGGATGTGATTTTATGTAAGTAATATGTGAGGTAAGTATTTTAACTGTATGTTAATGAGATAAAATTTTGCTACCATTGATATTAGGCATTTTTAGCTTTTGCTTCATTGACCCACAATGCTATTTCTTATGCACCTAGGCAAAATAAGTAAATGATAAACAGCAAACAAATAAAAGGTAATCTAAATTATATATATTTCAAATCCCCCAAACCGAGATCCTTCTATTTTTATATATAACATTTCTGTTTAGCTTTCACACTGAATATAGAGTAGAAAAAAATAGTTACTTTTTTTGTTGGATAGTTGGTGATGACTGGAAGTAAATTCGAAGAATTTTCTTGATGGATTTACAAGTCTGATTTGGCTTTTCCCTGGTTGTGCATTCATTTTCTTCTAAAGTTTAAACATGTTGAAGTGGTTTTTGCCTACGTAAGCTATATATCAGACCATGTCTGTGTTTCAAGAAATGACACGTGGGCCACAGGCATGGTGGCTCATACCTATAATCCCAGCATGTTGCAAGGCTGAGGTGAGAAGATTGCTTGAGCCCAATAGTTTGAGTCTGCAGTGAGCCGTGATTGCGCCACTACACCCCAGCCTACACGACAGTGAAACCCTATCTCTTAACCAGCCGTGGTGGCACACGCCTGTAGTCCTAGGTGGCACATGCCACTGCACTCCAGCCTAGGTGACAGAGCAAGAAAGACCCTCTCTCAAAAAAGAAAAAAGAAAGAAAAAGAAAGAGGTGACACATGTATGCATATTTGCTTTTGTTACCTACTACTGTAATGCTTATTGACATGGTTAAAGGAACCTATTACTACCTTGCCTGAAAAGAGTGTAATAATTTCCCCATGGGTTAAAGAAAACAATGGAGATTTAAATGGAGTACTTCATGGAAAACTTAAGAATTCTAAAGATAAATTCCAAATACTAAGACTTCTGTCACATCACTTTTCAGTATTAGTGGTACTGTTTGAATAATTTAATCAGAAAGGATTATTTATTTTGTGGGTAATTTTAATAAGACCAGGTACATTATACCAAGAAGAATTGAAATAAGAAGTGACTTTTGATAGCCTTTTATAAAATATGCTGCCTGAGGATTGATAATATTTAAATTTTTATTAATTAAAATAGAAAAGATACTTAAACCACATAAAACAAAAGTTATTGTTTCAGAAGAAGGTAACAAAACCAGAGAGGAGAAAATATTCTAATATCATATATCAAATCTGGCTGTTTGGAGAGCTATAAACAACATCACACTCTCCATAGCTCTGAATATAGAGGGTAACTTTAATTTTTAAATTTGGAGAATTTAAACATTTTATCCAAAGGAAAGGTAAATATTTTGATTTTACTTCCTGAAGATTGCTTTTATCTGGGTTCTTGATACTGAAAATAGCATAACAGCAAATTCTGACTGCTGGCTTTTGTGACACCCCTATGTATATGTGGTCATGCAGCAATTACTGCACAATCCCTTTTTTCTCCATCATAGATAGAGAGCAAAGGATACACGGTAGCTTGGGTAGGTAGGATCTGCAGGCTCAAAGAAAGATTCCTGAATGTGGGCCTCTATAGCAGTAAATGGGAAATCCTATGAGCTTGTCCATCTGTACCTCTTTAATCCCCTTAGGTGTATATCTAGCTAAGGACTCTTGCCATGGTTGTTTTAGACACACTGTAAGGTGAATAGAAAAAGGCCACCGAAGCTTTTGTTTCTCAGCTATCTTATCTAGATAAACAATGACCTGCTGCCTCAAAGGAGGCTGCTTATTCAGAAAGCCAAACTGTGTAAATAACTAGTCTAGTCCTTCTGACCCCAGTCCTTCTGGCTTTTGTTTTTCCCATTTCTCCCCTTTTCTTATGATATTTATTACCCTTTTTTAAACTTGAAATATTTTTTAAAATGTAGAATGTTTACACATTATTAAATTCTACAGGGCAAAATGGTACCCACTGAACTATAATACCACCCATATATAGAAGACACATAGGTCTTCTTTCCAGAAGCAGCCACTATTACCCGTTTCTGCTGTGTATTTCTAGATATGTTTTATGCATATGTGAATATATAAAAATAAATGCATGCACATATGCTTTAAAAAACATACACCAGAAAAATAAATAAATAAAAAGCACACACCTACATGTACGGTAGTATTCTTTACAAACTGTTCTGCATCTTGCTGTTGTTTGCTTGATCACAGATCATGCCACATTAGTACCTGTAAAGCTGCCGTTTTTTTAAAAAATGAAGCGTTGCATTCTATTATATAGATGTCTATCTAACAAGTTTCTTCATTTTTGTCATCTAAGTTTTTTTCATTTTCTTAGTTATAAATTCATATCTGATGGATGTTACTGTCAAATAGTGATTTTATACCTGTATAGGTGTATCTAGGAACTGCAGGTTAAAATGTATGTACATTTTATTGGTTTTCTCTGTAATGTCTGTTTTTCTATTTCAATAATTTTCACTCACATATTCTTTCCTCTGCTTTCTTAGATTTAAATTTGTACTTTTTAAAACTTAGATGATTTTAAACTTTTCCCCCTAATGTAAACATTAAGAGCTATAGATTTTCCTTCAAACACTGTTTTAGCTGCACCCTTAATTTTTGATACGTTGTATGTTTATTATTCAGTTCAAAGCATTTTATAATTGTGGTTTCTTATTTGTCCTATATGTTATTAAGAAGCATATTACTGTAATTACAAATACTTGGGGCTTTTCTAAATATCTTTTTGTAATTGATTTCCAATTTGATTCTGTTTTGGTCACAATACAAACACCGTATTAGATCAGCTTTTAAAGTTTATTGAGACTTTAAAAAAATTATTGAGATGCATTAGAAGAATTGGTGAATGTTTTTTCTGCACTTGAATGTATGTTCTGCAGTTTCTCGATTTACTCTTCTAGAACTTAATTAGGTCAAGTTGATTGTTCAAGTTTCTATTCCCTCCCTCCCTCACTTCCTTCCTTCCACCCTTCCATCCATCCATCCATCCTTTTTTTGTTTTTACTTATTCATCTTACATAACTGCAACTTTGTACCCTTTGATCTACATACTCTTATTTATTCTAATTTCCTCTTCCCTGCCCTACCCCTTCCCTTGGTAATCACCAGTTTACTTTTTGTTTCTATGTATTATATGTATTTTTTCCAGATTCTACATATGAATGAGATCATGCAGTATTTTTCTTTCTATGTCTGGCTTATTTCACTTAATATAATGTCCTCTGGGTTCATCCCCATGTTGTCGTAAATGGCAGGATCTCATTTTTTAAGACTGAATAATATTTCATTGTGTATGTATATATGTATACCACAATTTCTTTATCCATTCACTCGTCAGTTGACACTCCAGCTGTTTCCATATCTTGCCTGTTGTGCATAAAGCTGTAGTAAGTGTAGGAGTGCAGATATCTTTATAAGGTGATGATTTCATTTCCTTCGGGTATCCTTCAAATTAAATTAAACTACATCACATATGTCTTTAAGCTCCTGTCATTCTTTGTGTTTTTGTTATCATATATTTTGCTTTGATTTCTACCATAAAACAACTTTACAATGTTTAAAAAAATTAAGATATGAAAAAAATATATTCTGTATTTACCCACACATTTTTCACTTCCAATGCTCTTCATTCCTTGTATACATGCGAGTTTACATCTGGTGTTTTAGTTCAGCTTGAAAAACTTCCTTTAACATTTTCTGTAGTGCAGGTCTAACAGCAAATTCTCTGAACTTTAGTTTGTCTGGGATTTGAAATTCCTTAAAAAAATCTTGATCAAACTACAGATTTTAGGTGACATTATTGATATTTCTACATAAAATAACCAGTTTCCTTGGTTGTTTTTTTTTTAACCCCTTTTTCTCCTGACTTTCCTTGAAGTCAAATGCTTCATTTCCAAAGTACAAGACGACTTTTCAACATTAATTAGTTGAAACCAGTTTGGAAACTGAGGGTTTCAGTAACTCTTTCCAGATGACTTCCTTTCACTGCCTGTCTCCTCTTTTCATTGTGCCAGTTGTTAAGGAATACCAGTTTATGTGACATTTTATGTAGGTGTTCTGTTTACAAAACCTCTAGTTTTATTAGCTATGAAGATTTGGTATGGTAGTCTCAGCTAACTCATTGCACTAGAGGCCTTTTTAAGAAGAAATAACACTAGAGTGTTGTTAAGACACTGCAAGTCTAATAGAAGGGTATTTTTTAACTTCTTGAAACATTGTCTGCAGTGATTAAAAGTTCTGTGTTTTTTTTTTCATGAGCAATTGAGGCCATAAAGAAAAGGAAAGTGAAGGGTTTTAAAGTTATACAATATTCATTTCCCTATTTTATAACTTAAGATCTTTTCTCTCTCAGTATCAAGATAAATAACTTTAGCAGGAGCATATACAGACCAGTCTTATCTCCATTGTCCTTAGAGGACTGCTTTTCAATTACCAGTCTTCTCTGTCTCCACGGAGAGGTCCATCAGCAAAACCTCTCAGATTTATCTCCAAAATAGAGCCCAAACTTGACTACTTCTCCTCACCTTCAATGCTTCCACGTAGTCCTAAGGTATTTTTTCTTTCTTTCTTTCTTTTTTGAGATGGAATCTCGCTCTTGCCACCCAGGCTGGAGTGCAACGGTGTAATATCAGCTCACTGCAATCTCCACCTCCCAGGTTCAAGCAATTCTCCTGCCTCAGCCTCCCAAGTAGCTGGGATTACAGGCACCTGCCACCATGCCTGGCTAATTTTTGTATTTTTAGTAGAGAGGGGTTTTCACCATGCTGGCCAGGCTGGTCTCGAACTCCTGATCTCAGGTGATCCGCCTGCCTCAGCCTCCCAAAGTCCTGGGATTACAAGCGTGAGCCGCTGTGTCCGGCCACTATTTTTTAAAATTTTAATTCAATTCAATTTATTTATTTATTTTAGTGTTAAGGTCTTGCTTTGTCACCCAGACTGGAGTGCAGTGGCGCACTGTAGCTTCGAACTCCTAGGCTTAAGTGAACCTCCTGCTTCAGTCTTCTTAGTAGCTGGGACTATAGGCGTGTACCAGCATACCTGGCTAATTTTTTATTTTTTGTAGAAACAGGATCTCATTATGTTGGCCGGGCTGAGAGTCCTAAGGTCTCTCTTGGTCTCTTATCTAGACTTCCCTAATAGCCTCTCAACCTGTCTCCCTGCTTCCACTTTTACCTCCTAAAAGTCTATTCTTCACATAGCAGCTAGGGTCAGCCTTTTATAATCAAAGTCATATTATGTTAATTCTCTGCTGAAAACCCTCCAGTGTTTTCCCTTTATGTTTAGAATAGCAACCAGTTTTCACCATGGCTTACAGTATCCTACACAGTCTGGTTCTACCTCTCAAATGACCTACCATTTTATCTCTTACTCATTCTGTACCAGACACACTGGCCTCATTGCTTTTCCTTGAACATGTTAAGCATGCTTGTTTGCTGGGGTTTATTCTTTTCTTTTTTTTTTTTTTTTTTT
The DNA here is from genome assembly GCF_000001405.40 of Homo sapiens. Classification (NCBI taxonomy): domain Eukaryota; kingdom Metazoa; phylum Chordata; class Mammalia; order Primates; family Hominidae; genus Homo; species Homo sapiens. Next base: position 72,564,965 of record NC_000016.10, on the reverse strand, counting down.
TTTTGAGACGGAAGCTCACTCTGTCACCCAGGCTGGAGTGCTGTAGCAGAATCTCGTCTCACTGCAAACTCCACCTCCTGGGTTCAGGCCATTCTCCTGCCTCAGCCTCCCGAGTAGCTGGGACTACAGGTGCCCGCCACCGCGCCCAGCTAATTTTTTGTATTTTTAGTAGAGACGGGGTTTCATCGTGTTAGCCAGGATGGTCTCGATCTCCTGACCTCATGATCCGCCCGCCTCGGCCTCCCAAAGTGCTGGGATTACAGGAGTGAGCCACCGTGCCCAGCCTGCTGAGGTTTATTCTTACTGTTTCCTTTGCCTGGAATGTTCTCCCAGATATTCTCAAAGCTCACATCATCTGTTTATTCAAGTCTCTGCTCAAAGTCATATCACAGAGCACTTTTCAATTAGCAGCTCTCCCCCTTTGTCTCCTTGCTAACATAGTCACTCTCTATTTCTTTATCCCTAATAAATGAAGAGAGATATCAGGAATATTATGGAGGCTAAGTGGGGATTTCTAGCAGAAGTCCCTTTCTTACTATGTATGAAGTATATATATATACATTTGTTAGTGCATTTTATGGTTGTCTTGTTGTTGTTTTTTATTTTGAGACAGGGTCTCACTCTGTCTCCCAGGCTGGAGTGCAGTAGCAGGGTCATAGCTTACTGTAACCTTGAACTCCTGGCCCAAATAATCCTTCTGCTTCAGCTTCTTGAGTAGGTAGGACTACAGGCATATACCATCGTGCCTGGCTTATGTGTTTTTTGTTTGTTTGTTTGTTTTTGAGACAGAGTCTCGCTCTGTCACCCATGCTGGAATGCAGTGGTGCAATCTCAGCTCACTGCAACCTCCGCCTCCTGAGTTCAAGTGATTCTCCTGCCTCAGCCTCCTGAGTAGCTGGGATTACAGGCACACGCCACCATGCCTGGCTAATTTTTGTATTTTTAGTAGAGATGGGGTTTCACTATATTGGCCAGGCTGGTCTCGAACTCCTGACCTCGTGATCCGCCTGCCTCAGCCTCCCAAAGTGCTGGGATTTGAGCCACCACGCCTGGCCTTATTTTTTATTTTTTGTAGAGACAGCATCTTGCTATGTTTCCCAGGCATGATGATACATACACGCTTGTAGTTCTAGCTACCTAAGAGGTCTCAAACTCCTGGCCTCAAGCCATCCTCTCACCTCAGTCTTTCAAAGGAGTGGGATTACAAGTATGAGCCACTGTGCCCACCCTACATTTTATGCTTCTTAAGCAATTGGTTCACTACCTAAAGTACATTATGAAGTTTGTAACTGACAAAGTTACTGGAAAACTTAGATTTGTAACCTTCCCCAAAAGTATGTTGTCAAAAGACAATATTATAACAATTTTATTTTAAAGGTCTTTTAAAAATAATTAATTTTTTATGGTTTTTTTGAGAGGGTGTGTTATTTTTTATTTTTTTTTGTGGAGACAGAGTCTCACTGTATTGCCTAGGTGGGTCTCATTGTGTTCCCCAGGCGGGTCTCACCGTGTTGCCCAGGCTGGTCTTGAACTCCTGGCGTCAAGTGATCTTCCTGCATCCAGCCTCCCAAAGGGTTGAGATTACAGGCATGAGCCACTGTGCTCAGCCAATTTTAAAGATCTTAATTGGCTTTTATTATCAATTGCAGAATCAGGCAACACCTCATTCTGTGTTCCAATGAGCTGAGCAGAGGAGGTTGACTTTATAGACAGAAAAGGACTGAGGAAAGCAGAAATAACAAAAAGCAGATTGGGACTGGACACAGTGGCTCATTCCTATAATCCCAGCACTTTGGGGAGGCCAAGGTGGGAGGATAGCTTGAGGCCAGGAGTTCAAGACCAGCCTGGCCAACACAGCAAGACCTCATCTCTAACAAAAACTGAAAAATAATTAGCCAGGCATGGTGGTGCATGCTTGTAGGCCCAGCTACTTGGGAAGCTGAAGTGAGGTGGAAGGATTGCTTAAGCTCAGGAATTAGATGTTGCGATGAGCTATGACCATGCCACTGCACTTAAGCCTGGTTGACAGAGCAGTACCTTATCTGAAAGAAAAAAAAAAAAGTGGATTGGTCGTTTCAAAATTACTTTCTTTGCAAGGGTTAAAGTAGACAGTACTTTTTTATCATGCCGGCTAACACTAGCCTATTGGGGATTTGGCTGTTATCTCTCTCCTGATTTCTTGGAAGGTCAGATAAACAACTTAGTTTTGGCTTAGTGGCATGGAACTTCAACATGAGTGAATCCATTTTGGTTTGATATGTTGAGCCTAGTGAAGGAGCTCTGTCCAAAACAATGGCCACCTATAAGTTTAATTTAACAACACGTTTACCTGCATTAAGAATATATTATTTGGCCAGACTTGGTGGCCCATGCCTGTAATCCCAGCACTTTGGGAGGCAAAGGCAGGCAGGTCACGAGCTCAAGAGATCGAGACCATCCTGGCCCATCTTTACTAAAAATACAAAAATTAGTTGGGCATGGTGGTGCGTGCCTGTAGTCCCAGCTACTTGGGAGGCTGAGGCAGGAGAATCACTTGAACCCAGAAGACAGAGGTTGCAGTGAGCCGAGATCACACTACTGCCTTCCAGCCTGGTGACAGAGCAAGACTCCATCTCAAAAAAAAAAAAAAAAACAAGAATACATTATTTGTTATTTCACTCTGTTTCCACCTTTGTTTTTCCCTCCTTTGTTTCACATTTATGTTCTGTTGTTATTTAACATATTATTTCATTCTGTCTTAAATTCTTTCTGAAACAATTTAGCATATAAATGTGTAAACTTGAAGGTTGTAGCATTACCTACAGAAGTGTAACTGGCAAACAAAACAAGGTCAGTTCTTTTTTCCATAGTCTTTTTTTTTTTTTTTTTTTTTTGGACAGGGTCTCGCTTTGTCACCTAGCAGTGTAGTGGTGTAATCACAGCTCACTGCAGCCTCGACCTCCTGGGCGCAAGGAATCTTCCAGCCTCAGCCACCCAAGTAGCTGAGACTACAAGTACGTGCAACTATGCCTTATTTTTTATTTTTTATTTTTTATATTATTTATTTATTTATTTTAAATTTTTTTATTGTTATTGAGACAGGGTCTCACTATTTTGCCTAGGCTGGTCTTGAACTCCTGAGCTCAAGGGATCCTCCCACCTCAGCCTCCCAAAGTGCTAGGATTACAATTGTGAGCCACTGCGCCTGGACAATAGTCATTATTCAATAGAAAAAAACCATAGTGACATTAGTAAGTTTTAATGTAAAAAGTTATTGAAGATAACTTGACTTTTTAGGGTAGTGAACTTCTGTGTGTTTAACACACTTTTTCTGGAACTTTCATTCCCCATTCATATGTTTAACATACTTCTTTGTCCCATGTGTGTACTTCCGGACTACCTAGCTATTCAAGCTGGATACAGTTCCCCATCCACCTAATCAGAGTTAATTTGTCCAAGGGTGGACATATAATTTATTTGGGCCAATGAGAACCTTCCCTGATAATTTTGCATTTGCGACTGAAAGATTATGGTTAAAGCTATAATATGTGCAGCTCTCTAGCTCTAGGCAGCTATGTTTTTCTTTATGTGGAAAAAGCCATTCTACAGTGAGGAAAGATTAGGCTAGCCCATGGAAACAGATGTGATTTTAGAATAAAACCTGCCCTAGTCCCAACTGTATCTTTGTCCACCTTCTTGTCTTTGTATAATTCTTTTAAATAAGGTACTCCAGTGTTGTTTTAGTAAATTCCTCTTTTTGCTAAGCCAGTTCAAGAGTTTCGGTCACCAGAAGAGTCCTTACTAACAGTTATTTATGGGTAAGGTTGGTAGTAGGAAGTACATGTGGGTAAGGAATCCATATGCTATCCTAAGCTGCCTAAACCTGGGAGGCTGCTCAAATATAGAAAGCTTTTATTTCTTGAACTAAATTATGAAGATATGCAAGTTGATGAGTAGTTAAGAATATGTAACAATTTTTATTAAAGCCATTTTCTCCAACCTTAGAATGTTTCAGGTTTTTCTGTTGTTTAATATTCTCATTTCAATCCGGTGCCTAAGCTTTTATAGGAGGTAATAAAATCAGAGATAATAATGCCAGGCTCTATTTGGTCATTTAGATGAAAGGAAGCCCTTGGAATAGAACAAAGTTGTGTGCAGCGTACATTGTATCATGTGACTAAATGTTAGCTAAGTCTCTAGGGACAAAGCTTTTATCACTGGCAGAGTGTAGCAGCCAGAGCTTTCCTCTTCTCTTGCAATCAGCACTTTGTGTTTAATGTTTAAAAATCTTTGGCAAACACAACAGAAGAAAGGTTGTAGATGTTACCTTTAATTGGACTTTAAAAATTAATACAGCATAACAGTGTTCTGGTTTTTGCCCTTTTGCCATTGACCAGATGAAGAGAAGCCAGAATACTTTCTCAGCTCTATCTTGTTCTTTAAAAAGGCAGTGGTATTAAGAAGAAATTATTTGCTCTTAATGGTACTTTGGCTAGATGCATTTTTGAATTTTGTTTTTTTGTATACATAATCTATGTACAATAATATTTAATGGTTTTATATAGGAGAGAGATTATTCAATTAAACATAACAGGTGATCACTAGACCTCATTTCTACCAGTCTCAATTTCTTCAAACAAAGATTCTAGATGCAGGAAAACTGACCAGTTTTTTTTTTTTTTTTTTTTAAGACAGGGTCTCACTCTTGTCGCCCAGGCTGGAGTGCAGTGGCGCAATCTCAGCTCACTGCAACCTCTGCCTCCTGGGTTCAAGCAATTCTCCTGCCTCAGCCTCCTGCATAGCTGGGATTACAGGCGCCTGCCACCACGCGTGGCTAATTTTTGTATTTTTAGTAGAGACAGGGTTTCACCATGTTGGCCAGGCTGGTCTCGAACTCCTGACCTCAAGTGATCTGCTGGCTTCAGCCTTCCAAAGTGCTAGGATTACAGGCGTGAGCCACCATGCCCGGCCGCATATTTGATTTTTATCTGCTCTTCTAAGCCCTTGCCACCTTCTTATGGAGGTACAAATGAAACACTAAAACAGACAATAACAACTAGTCTTGATAATCTTCAAAGTGAAATGTTAACTTTCCAGTTTTTCAGTTAACTAAAATTAACTAAAAGTTAAAACACATATTTTCTCTATCTTCAGAATTAGGTTGCTGCCACTAGAAGGTAAATGAGCGTCTTGAGAAAAAATGACTTTTGACTTCTCTTTGGGATTAATGTTCCAAGCCACCAGCCTATGCCATATGCTCTTTCATTAAGAAAGTTTCTCCACCACTTGGGTGCTCTCATGATTTCCACCAAGACAGAAGAGGCCACAAAATGAACTTCTCTTTTCCCAATATATCTGCACTAGTATTAGTATTCCTTTGGTGGTACCAGTTCAGTCTGTTCAGAGATCCCCATCTGCTGGTCAAGCCCCCCACACAATAAAAAATAACAGTACAACCACAAAATACAACATTAGAAAGCTTAATTGTAATAATACAAATAAACAATATAGCATAACAAATTACATAGCATTTACATTGTATTAGATATTAAATGTAGAGATAAAGTGTATGAGAGGATGTAAAAAAGTTACATGCAAATAGTAAACTATTTTATATAAGGAACTTGGACATCCATGGATTTTGGTATCCTTGAGGGTCCTGGAACCCAGCAGATCCTGAAGGATGAGTGGATTCTACAGATTCCTTTCTGTTGTTTATAAGCCATCACTCCTCTATTCTTTACTAAAAATAATTTCCAAAGACACAACTATCTTTCAACAATATGACTATTTTTTCATGGGGTCACCTTATACCAATCTCCAAGTTACTCCTTTGTGTTAAATATAAAGCTTCATACTGGATAGTCTTTCCCCCTAATCTCATATCATGGTATTTTTCTATAATAGATGCCATCACTGGGTCTAATGGAGATGGGCTCCTGGTTGGGGCTGCCTTGCCAGAGTTTTTCTTTTCTTTTCTTTTCTTTTTGAGACCGAGTCTCACTCCGTCACCCAGGCTGGAGTGCAGTGCTGGGATCTTGGCTCACTGCAACCTCTGCCTCCCAGGTTCAAGGGGTTCTTGTGCCTCAGCCTCCCGAGTAGCTGGGTTTACAGGCATATACCACATGCCACACACCCGGATAACTTTTGTATTTTTAGTAGAGTCAGGAGTCTTACCATGTTAGCTGGTCTCAAACTCCTGACCTCAAGTGATCTACCTGCCTCAGCGTCCCAAAGTGCTGTAATTATAGGCGTGAGCCACCACACCCTGCAAGCCAGAGTAATTTTTATCAATGCTACTACTGCACCCTTGGGTTTAAGTCTTCCTTGTGTACTTGTACCACGGAGAATGTTTCTTTCATGTCCTTCTCTCAGTAGTAGACTTTTTTTTCTTGTTACTTGATGCTTGCTAGTCTGGTAGTGGGTACCAAGGTAGATATGGTATTGTCCTGGTTTGACTTCAGCCTTAGGTAGGCCCTTGTGTACCTGAGACTTGGGGGTGGGAATTTCTCGGTGATTCTGCTACTTGGTAGCCCTTAGGAGATCTCTAATGTTATAGATCTGGGATAGTTTGTTGCCTTTCTCTGAGTGGCTTAAGGCTTATGTTCTGTCAAGAGAAGGATCAGCGTGTTCCTGCAGCAGTGACCACTCGCCTCTTCCGAGCCTATACCATAGAAGGAAGCTTTCTCCAGTCTCCCCCGCTGCCCCCAGTCTATCTTGTGAGCACTCAGTAAAGGTTCATATGTATAAATTCCCCATGAATCTATAGTTCACAGGGTTTTTATATTTTTACAGTAGCCCACATTTGGACTTTAGTAGTTTGTTAAAAACTTTAGCTGGTTTCCTCTTACTCATTTCTTCTATGTTCTTTTAGTGTCCTATCCAAAGTAAGTCAGTGCTCAGATCATGTATCTCCTTAGAGGCATTTGTTTCTCCTTAGGTTCCAGGTTGGTTTGTTTCCCTGTGAATTTAGCTCTAGTAAGTGTAAGGAAAGTTACGATTTGTACATTGTTTGGTCTTTTCTTGTTAGTTTGGGAGAGATGTTTTTTTCCTAGCTCTGTACATCCTGAGTGAAATCTGCTTTAAAAAAAAATAAAAAGACAATTTATTTAATCATTATCTCTGCTTTCTTACCTTTCATTGTATTCTACTCTTTTATAGTGTGGCTTATGACACTCTCAGATCTGCCAGAATGTTAACGATAACCTCCTTGTTTGAAATCTAATGGACCTTTTCAAGTTTTGTCTAGTCTACCTCTCTGGTACATGTGACACTGTTAATCATTCCCACCTACTTTTAAATTGATAACGCATTATGCTGCTTTTATTTCTTCCTCTTGCTGTTCTTCTTAGTTTTTAATCTTCTATTTTAAAACAGAAAACCAAATAATATGTTACTTATTTCATATTATTGAAGTAATTTAATTTCTGTTAATACAAATCTTAAAAACATAAGAGAATAAAGAAAAAAATCACTCGTAGTGCTACCATTCAGAGATGACAACTATGAACCTTCTGTCTAAATGACCCATGGTTTTACTAAGTATTTCACATAAAGACATTTAAAAATCTTGCATTTTGGCCGAGCTTGGTGGCTCACGCCTGTAATCCCAACACTTTGGGAGGCCGAGGTGGGCAGATCACCTGATGTCAGGAGTTCAAGGCCAACACGGTAAAACTGCATCTCTACTAAAAATACAAAAATTAGCTGGGCATGGTAGCAGGTGCCTATAATCCCAGCTACTTGGGAGGCTGAGGCAGGAGAATCACTTGAACCCGGGAGGCGGAGGTTACAGTGAGCCAAGATCGCACCATTGCCCTCCAGCGTGGACAACAAGAGTGAAACTCTGTCTCAAAAAAAAAAAAAAAAAAAATCATGCATTTTGGCTAGCCACAGTGGTTCACTCCTGTAATCCCAGCACTTTGGAAGGCCAAGGCAGACGGATCATTTGAGGTCAGGAGTTAAGAGACCAGCCTGGCTAACGTGGTGAAACTCCATCTGTACTAAAAATACAAAAATTAGCCAGGCGTGGTGGAACACACCTGTAATCCCAACTACTTGAGAGGCTGAGGTGGGAGATTCGTCTGGACCCAGAAGGTGGAGGTTGCAGTGAGCCAAGATCACACCACTGCACTCCAGCCTGTGCAACAGAGTGAGACTAAGTAACAAATGGATAAATAAAAATTTAAAAATAAGTTATGCATTTCATACTTTCATACCTGGATTGTTTTTCACTAAAGTTTATTTCACATGACATTTTTCTGAACTATACAGCTCTTAAAAATTAAAACACTCATCATGCAAATGTATCATGTTTTATTGGAACAGTCATATAATTGGAATTATAGATTATTTCTAATTTTTCCTGAGATAATTTAGTAAACATTTTTCTATAGATAAGCATTACTTACATATCTCTGATTTTATTAGTTTTCTAAAAGTGACAGTATTGAGTCAAATAGTATTATATAGTTTTAAAATGTGCTTTTCTGGTTTTTTAAACTACATAATGGATAGTGGTTGATGGAGTTTTTTTGTAACTATTGAGATATAATTCACAAACCATTCAGTTCACCCATTTAAAGTATAAAATGTAATGGTATTTAGTGTATTCACAGAGTTGTGCAGCCATAACTACAATCAATTTTAGAACATTTTCATTACCTCCAAAAAGAAACACCCTACCCATATTCACCTCAACCCCCTGCCACCCTCTATCCATAGGCAATTACTAAGTTACTTTGTATCTCCATGGATTTGCTTATTCTGGACATTTCATATAAATGAAATTATATAATATGTTGTTATTTGTTTGTTGAAACTTACAGATCACTTTTAGAATTGTCATCTTTACTAAGTTGAGTCTTCCATTTTATGAACATGGTATGTCTCTATTTAGGTCTTCTTTGATTTTTTTCATCAGTGCTTTTTAGTTTTCAGCATACATATTAGTACCTGTTTGGCTACACTAATACCTGTATATTTTAAAATAACTATTTAAATGGCATTATTATTTTTATTATTGTCATCATCATTTTAGAGACAAGTTCTCACTCTGTCACCCAGGCTGAAGTACAATGATGAGATCATAGCCTACTGCAGCCTCAAACTCTGGGTTCAAGTGACCTCCCCACCTCAGCCTTCCAAGTAAGCTAGGACTACAGATGCAGGCCACCATGCCTGGCTAATTTTTTAATTTTTTTGTAGAGATAGGGTCTTGCTGTATTGCCCAGACTTGTCTTGAGCTACTGGCCTTAAGTGACCCTCCCGCCTTAGCTTCTAAATGGTATTATGTTTTTAATTTCAGTTTCCAATTGTACATTGCCAGTGTACAGACATAAAATAAATTTTATTTTGTGTTGACCTGTATCCAGTGATCATGTTTGCTCACGTATTAGTTCTAGTGTTTTCTTGCTTTTTTGTCCTTTGTTTTTATAGATTTCTTCGCATTTTCTACATAGACAATCATGTCCTCTCTGAATGTACAGTTTTATTTCTTCTGCTCCAATCCTTATGGTTTTGGTTTTTGGGGGTTTTTTTCTCTTTATTGATTTGGGTAAGACTTCCTTAGGACTGGTGGTCAGAGTGTTCATGAAAAAACGAAATAAAAGGCATCTAGATTGAAAAGGAAATCCCAACAGGTTTTTTTTTTTCTTGTAGATACAGATAAGCTGATTCTAAAACTTACAAGAATGGCAAAGAAACAAGAAGAGCTTAAACTGGTTAGTACTTTTGTTGTTGTTGTTGTTGTTGTTGTTTTGAGACAGGGTCTCAGTCCTCAGTCTGTTGCCCAGGCTGGAGTGCAGTGGTGCAATCATGAGTCACTGCAGCCTCAGCTTCCTGGGCTCAAGCAATTCCCTGACCTGATTATCTGGGACTACAGATGTCAGTCACCATGCCCAGCATTTTTGTTTGTTTGTTTGTTTGAGATGGAGTCTTGCTCTGACACCCAGGCAGGAGTGCAGTGGCGCGATCTCGGCTCACCGCAAGCTCCGCCTCCCAGGTTCACACCATTCTCCTACCTCAGCTTCCCGAGTAGCTGGGACTACAGGCGCCCGCCACCAGGCCCGGCTAATTTTTTTGTATTTTTAGTAGAGACGGGGTTTCACCGCGTTAGCCAGGATGGTCTCGATCTTCTGACCTCGTGATCCGCCCGCCTTGGCCTCCCAAAGTGCTAGGATTACAGACGTGAGCCACCGCGCCCGGCCTTTTTTTTTTTTTTTTTCTTTTGATAGCAACAGCATCTCACTATGTTGCCCAGGCTGCATTTTGTACATCTTTATCTAATTACCTTTTTTTTTTTTTTTTTTTTCCAAGACAGGGTTTTGCTCTGTCACCCAGGCTGGAATGCAGTGGCGCAGTCTTGGCTCACTGCAGCCTCCACCTCCCCGGTTCAAGTGATTCTCATACCCTAGCCACCTGAGTAGCTGGGATTACAACCACGTCCAGCTAATTTTTATATTTTTTGTAGAGATGGTGTTTTGACATGTTGGCCAGGCTGGTCTTGAACTCCTGGCCTTGGGTGATCTCCCTGCCTCTGCCTCCCAAAGTGGGATTACAGGCGTCAACCACCATGCCTGGCCAAGTCTCCATTATTAGGAGGAAGACAATTAGTCCTTAACTATAGGTATTGTTAGCTATAGATCATCTCTAAATTCCCTTTACTGAGTTTGGTAAGTTCCTTCTATTCTTAGTTTACTGACTTTTTATTATGGAAATAACCTGTGTTTTGTCAAATGCTTTTCTGCATCAATTGGTATGATCATGTGGATTTTTTTCTTTAGACTGTTGGTAGACTGATGATTATATTGATTGATTTTTAAATAAACTAGCCTTGCATTCCCTAATAAACCCCACTTGGTCATGTTTATTATTCCTTTTATATATTTCTGGATATGACTTGCAATATTTTGTTGAGGATTTCTTTTTCTTTTTTTTTTTTTTTTTTGAGATGGAGTCTTGCTCTGTCACCTGGGCTGGAGTGCAGTGGCACTGCAAGCTCCATCTCCCGGGTTCACGCCATTCTCCTGCCTCAGCCTCCCACATGGCTGGGACTACAGGTGCCTGCCACCACACCTGGCTAATTTTTTGTATTTTTAGTAGAGACGGGGTTTCACCGTGTTAGCCAGGATGGTCTCGATCTCCTGACCTCATGATCCGCCCACCTCAGCCTCCCAAAGTGCTGGGATTACAGGCGTGAGCCACCGCGCCTGGCTGAGGATTTTTCTGTGTATGTTTATGAGAGGTATTGGTCTGCAGTTTTCTTTTATTTTAATGACTTTGACTGGTTTTGGCACCTCCAGTGTATGGGATCTGCCGAGTCATATTGCCTAAGTAACACGACTGTTATCTAAGAGCCTCAACCTGTTGTAGAGCTCTTTATGCTCTCTGCCCCACTCAAAAGAGGCAACCTTCCACATCTACTGATAGTGGGTCAGAGCAGTATTCTCAAATACTGCATCTGTTCTGAAGAAGTTTACCACATTTTATACATTTTCATTAGTGTTGGAAGTACAAAGTGCAATACATTTTTCTAATTTGGAGAAGAGATCCAGCATGTTCTATGCTACTGGACCCCTGAAACCCTTATCATTGGGGCAGGATTCTCTATCTTTGTGTTTTGTCTCTTGCTGCTTGGAGTACATTTTTTTCTGCTAAGTTATCCAGTATATTTGGTACTTTTGGTGAATAAGGCTTGATGAATATGATGCCATCAACATAGTGGACCAATATCATGTTACATGAAATGTTCAGATAGTTCAGGTCCCTTTTGACTATATTGTGATGGCAGAATTAACATAGTCTGGGGAGCAGGACCATGACAGTATATGTCAAGTAGGCAAACTATGCTTCACATGCCAAATCTGGCCTGTGACCTCTTTTTATGCAGCTCATGAGCTAAGAATTTTTTTAAAAACCTTCTAAATGTTTGAAAAAAATCAGAATAGTATTTTCTGGTATGTGAAAATTTTGTAAAGTTTAAATGTCCATAAATAAAATTTTATTAGAACACATTCATGCCCATTTGTTTATATATTGTCTATGGTGGTTTTTTGCTACAATGGGCAAAGTAGTTGTGATGGAGACTATGTTGACATTCTTCTCAATTTGCACTCTTCCACAGCACACTACAAGTCTCAGTGATGTAGTCATAACTTAATAACATATCAAGAGTCACACATACCATTGTCATGTGATGTTTTAAAAAATCACCAGTGAATATGCATTATGTTAAATCAAGAAAAGAGAAAGTGGATTTGAGTGTTACACTTTTAAGACACAATGGACTGTGGATAATTTTTTATTGAGTTAGATGACAAAGTATTGTATTTATTATGTGGTGACATTATAGCTATGCTAAAATAATATATGTCAATTTTATCAGACTAAGCTCTCAGCACAATGTTTTCAACTCATAGAAAGTAATGGTCAGAAAAGGTAGAAAACGTAAGATGGGATATCTCATGAAACATAATTTAGTCACGTACACAGACACAAAAATGGGCCGGGTGTGGTGGCTCACACCTGTAATCCCAACACTTTGAGAGACTGAGACAGGTGGATCACTTGAATCCAGGAGTTTGAGACCAGCCTGGGCAACACGGCAAAAGCCCATCTCTATAAAAAATACAGAAAAATAAGTTAGCCAGGCATAGTGGCATGTGCCTGTAATCCCAGCTACTTGAGAGACTGAGGTGGGAGGATCACTTGAACCCAGGAGGTGGAGGTTGCAGTGAGGCAAGATTGAGCCACTGCTCTCCAGCCTGGGTGACAGAGTGAGACCGTGTCTCAAAACAAAACAAAACGAAAAAATGTAAATGAGGCTACACCAAAGTAAGTTTCTAAGTGGTACTTTTGTTAGCCAGGCAAGGAAAATCATTTACTGATAGTGAGTTAATTAAATTGTGTTTGGTTGTAGTGGCTGAAGATATGTATCCTAAGAAAATTAACATTTAAAAGATTGTTTGCCTTTCCATAAGGAAAACTGAGGACACTGGGAACACCACCAGTGGTCAATTATAAAACAAGGCAAAAAAGAAAAAGGCAGTCGATTTTCTTGACTCTTGAATAGTCTCTTTGAGACAACTACAGGCAAAATGTATAAAAAACATTAACTTAGTATAACCTGAAGTGGAATCTGCTAAGATGTATTAAAACTGTCAGTGGTAAAGATTTATGTGGAACAGAAAAAGACTTAGTTGGACAAAGTTATAAAAGCCATAGTTAAAGCCATAGTTTTTCATTGTATTATTTATCAGCAGGTATTTTGTGGAAAATATTTGAAACTCTTTTTTTGTGTTATTGAACCAGTAGTGTTAACAGTGAACTTCACTGCTTTTGCAAGTTAAATATCATTTGTTCTGTGAATTTTTGTCCAAAAGAGATGCCGGCTATCCTGAATTTATTTACCACACAAAAGTTCAATGACTTTGCAATTGTAAAGTTTTATTTTGAATTTTTGAGCTCAGGGCCAAGACTGAAACTTTTCTAAGTAAGAAGAATCTCTCTCAACCAATATGTTAGAAAATTAATGACTTTGAAATTTATTTTTTGCTGCAGACTTAATAATTTTTTTAATTAATTCAATAGCAAATCACAGTTATGTGCTGCAGTAGAGTCATTTCAATGTTAACTCACATTGTTTGAATCAGAACAAGAAGTGGGATCTATAATTTTCATATGAATTTGGAGTGAGTATATTTTCCAAGCTCAACCTACAGTTCCAGCAAGAGTTTTTGGAACTTGATTCAAGTGCAAAGGAAATTTCCATGTTTTAAAATCCATTTAACTTTGTGGTTGAGGAGCTTCCACCTAACCGTCAATTGAAAGTGATTAATATACAATGTAATGAAATGTTAAACTGCAATTATCAAGAAAAGAATCTAATATAATTCTATGAATGCCTTCCAATTGATGAATATGCTCAATTAATATCATATGCTCATGACTGATGTCAGTATTTGGTAATATGTATCATCTTTGTTAAGGACATTTTCAAAGATTAAATGTGTAAAATCTCATTACAGATTAGCTTTAACAGGTGTACCTTACAATTAATTTTAGTAATTGGGAACACTAACTTTGTACCCCCATTTTAGCAAAATGTTATCTCCACACAAAAAGGATTCTCTTCTTATTAGGAGACTTGTATTTTCAAAAAAATTATACTAAAATAATATGTTTTGAACTTCATCAATAAAAAGTTTGGGAAATGTGCATTTTTTGGATAATGCAAATAAGTGCCTTTATCATATCCTCCATTTTGCCGCTTGACTCACTAAGCTTAAAATATTTACTATCTGGCCTGTACAGATAAAGCTTTGACAATCCCGCTATATATTATTTTTCTATATATATTAGATTATATTGTTTTTTCAATGCATACTTCCTCTGATTCACCTTTCTTGTGAATAGATATTGAAAAGAATGCAATCTCCAAATCAATAGATACACACCATGTACCAAAGGCCGTGTTAATTTGCTAATTATGATTTCTTTACTAAATACCACATCTGGCACAACAGCTACATTCAGTATTACTGTTTGGCTAAAATTACGGTAGTTCATTGTTTTCTGCCATAATTCATCCAGTTTTTGTAGAAATCTGACTTGTGAATTAAATGGGGATGAGATGAGGACTACCTGCCTATATTATTCACAATTCTCCAGAGAAACAAAACCAATAAGATGTGCATCTATAAAGAGATTTATTTTAAGGAATTAGCTCCTGTGATTGTGGAGACTTGGCCAGTCTAAAATCTGATTGAGGAGCCCAATAGGCTGGAGATACAAGAAAGAGTTGTAACGGGAGTCTACTGTAGATTCAGGAAGAATTGATGTGCAAATGAGGTCTGAAAGCCGTAGGAGAGAGAATTCCTCTTGCTTCAGGGAAATCAAGTTTTTGTTCTATTCAGGCCTTCTCCTGATTGGACAAGACCCACCCACATTATGGAGGGCAACCTACATTACTCAGAGCTCACAAATTTGAATGTAAATCTCATTCAGTAACTCTCTCAGAAACATCCTGAATAGTGTTTGATGAAATGTCTAGGCATCATGGCCCAGACAAGTTGACATATAAAATTAACCATTAATCCTATATCCTTTACATTTCTGAAGGTATGTCTGATCTCTGCATATCCTTTAGGGATACAATGCTATTTTTTACTTACTATCTTGGGAATGGATGGGACATTTTTAGGAACTTTACTAATGAATTATATTTGCTTTGACTCCACATGTCAGGGCACCAAGGTAAGGGTTCTACCAACCGCTAATATGTCCATTCTAGTTTTGTTGTTTGTTTTTATTATACTTTAAGTTTTGGTATACATGTGCAGAACGTGCAGGTTTGTTACATAGGTATACACGTGCCATGGTGGTTTGCTGCACCCATCAACTCGTCATCTACATTAGGTATTTCTCCTAATGCTAGCCCTCTCCTAGCCCCCCACCCGGTGACAGGCCCCAGTGTGTGATGTTCCCCTTGCTGTGTCCATGTGTTCTCATTGTTCAACTCCCACTTATGAGTGAGAACATGCGGTGTTTGGTTTTCTGTGCCTGTGTTAGTTTGCTGAGAATGATGGTTTCTAGCTTCATCCATGTCCCTGCAAAGGACATGAACTCATCCTTTCTTACGGCTGCATAGTATTCCATGGTGTATATGTGCCACATTTTCTTTATCCAGTCTATCACTGATGGGCATTTGGGTTGGTTCCAAGTCTTTGCTATCGTGAACAGGGCTGCAATAAACATACGTGTGCATGTGTCTTTATAGTAGAATGATATGTAATCCTTTGAGTATATACCCAGTAATGGGATTGCTGGATCAAATGGTATTTCTGGTTCTAGATCCTTGAGGAATCGCCACACTGTCTTCCACAATGGTTTAACTAATTTACAGTCCCACCAGCAGTGTAAAAACATTCCTATTTCTCTACATCCTCTCCAGCATCTGTTGTTTCCTGACTTTTTAATGATCGCCATTCTAACTGGCATGAGATGGTATCTCATTGTGGTTTTGATTTACATTTCTCTAATGATCAGTGATGATGAGCTTTTTTTCATATGTTTGTTGGCCACATAAATGTCCTCTTTTGAGAAGTGTCTGTTCATATCCTTCGCCCACTTTTTGATGGGGTTGTTTGTTTTTTTTCTTGTAAATTTGTTTAAGTTCTTTGTAGATTCTGGATATTAGCCCTTTGTCAGATGGATAGATTCCAACAATTTTCTCCCATTCTTTAGGTTGCCTATTCACTCTGTTGATAGTTTCTTTTGCTGTGCAAAAGCTCTTTAGTTTAATTAGATCCCATTTGTCAGTTTTGGCTTTTGTTGCCATTGCTTTTGGTGTTTTAGTCATGAAGTCTTTGCCCATGCCTGTGTCCTGAACGGTATTGCCTAGGTTTGCTTCTAGGGTTTTATGGTTTTAGGTCTTACATTTAAGTCTTTAATCCATCTTGAGTTAATTTTTTGTATAAGGTGTAAGTAGGAAGGGATCCAGTTTCTGTTTTCTGCATGTGGCTATCCAGTTTTCCCACCATTTATTAAATAGGGAATCATTTCCCCATTGCTGGTTTTTATCAGGTTTGTCAAAGATCAGATGGTTGTAGATGTGTGGCATTTCTGAGGCCGCTGTTCTGCTCCATTGGTCTTATATATCTGTTTTGGTACCAGTACCATGCTGTTTTGGTTACTGTAGCCTTGTAGTATAGTTTGAAGTCAGGTAGCATGATGCCTCCAGCTTTGTTCTTCTTGCTTAGGATTGTCTTGGCTATATGGGCTCTTTTTTGGTTCATATGAAATTTAATGTAGTTTTTTTCTAATTCTGTGAAGAAAGTCAATGGTAGCTTGATGGGGATACCACTGAATCTATAAATTACTTTGGGCAGTATGGCCATTTTCACAATATTGATTCTTCGTATCCATGATCATGGAATGTTTTTCCATTTGTTTGTGTCCTCTCATTTCCTTGAGCAGAGGTTTGTAGTTCTCCTTGAAGAGGTCCTTCACATCCCTTGTAAGTTGGATTCCTAGGTATTTTATTCTCTTTGTAGCAATTGTGAATGGGAGTTCACTCATGATTTGGCTCTCTGTTTGTCTATTATTGGTGTATAGGAATGCTTGTGACTTTTGCACATTGATTTTGTATCCTGAGACTTTGCTGAAGTTGCTTATCAGCTTAAGGAGATTTGGGGCTGAGACGATGGGGTTTTCTAAAAAGACAATCATGTCTTCTGCAAACAGAGAGAATTTGCCTTGCTGTCTTCCTGTTTGAATACCTTTACTTCTTTCTCTTGCCTGATTACCCTGGTCAGAACTTCCAATACTATATTGAATAGGAGTGGTGAGAGAGGGCATCCCTGTCTTGTGCCAGTTTTCAAAGGGAACGCTTCCAGTTTTTGCCCATTCAGTATGATATTGGCCATGGGTTTGTCATAAATAGCACTTATTACTTTGAGATATGTTCCATCAATACCTAGTTTATTGAGAGTTTTTAGCATGAAGGGCTGTTGGATTTTGTCAAAGGCCTTTTCTGTATTCATTGAGATAATCATGTGGTTTTTGTCATTGGTTCCGTTCATGTGATGGGTTACGTTTATTGATTTGCGTATGTTGAACTGGCCCTGCATCCCAAGGATGAAGCCGACTTGATTGTGGTGGATAAGCTTTTTGATGTGCTGCTGGAGTTGGTTTGCCAGTATTTTATTCAGGATTTTCGCATCGATGTTCATCAGGGATATTGGCTTGAAATTCTTTTTTTATTGTGTCTCTGCCAGGTTTTAGAACCAGGATGATGCTGGCCTCATAAAATGAGTTAGGAGTCCCTCTTTTTCTATTGTTTGGAATAGTTTCAGAAGGAATGGTACCGGCTCCTCTTTGTACCTCTGGTAGAATTTGGCTGTGAATCCGTCTGGTCCTGGGCATTTTTTCGTTGGTAGGCTATTAATTACTGCTTCAATTTCAGAACTTGTTATTGGTCTGTTGTGGGATTCAATTTCTTCCTGGTTTAGACTTGGGAAGGTGTATGTGTCCAAGAATTTATCCATTTCTTGTAGATTTTCTAGTTTATTTGCGTAGAGGTGTTTATAGTATTCTCTGATGGTAGTTTGTATTTCTGTGGGATCAGTAGTGATATCCCTTTATCATTTTTTATTGTGTCTATTTGATTCTTCTCTCTTTTCTTTATTAGTCTGGCTAGCGGTCTATTTTGTTAATCTTTTCAAAAAACCAGGCTCTGGATTCACTGATTTTTTTTTGAAGAGGTTTTTGTGTCTCTATCTCCTTCAGTTCTGCTCTGATCTTAGTTATTTCTTGTCCTCTGCTAGCTTTTGAATTTGTTTGCTCTTGCTTCTCTAGTTCTTTTAACTTTAATGTTAGGGTGTTGATTTTAGATCTTTGCTGCTTTCTCCTGTGGACAAATTTAGTGCTATAAATTTCCCTCTTAACACTGCTTTCGCTGTATCCTAGAGATTCTGGTACATTGTGTCTTTGTTCTCATTGCTTTCAAAGAACTTATTTATTTTTGCCTTCATTTCATTATTTACCCAGTAGTCATTCAGGAGCAGTTTGTTCAGTTTCCATGTAGTTGTGCGGTTTTGAGTGACTTTCTTAATCCTGAGTTCTAATTTGATTGCACTGTGGTCTGAGAGATTGTTTTTTATGATTTCCATTCTTTTGCATTTGCTGAGGAGTGTTTTATTTCCAATTATGTGGTCAATTTTAGAATAAGTGTGATGTGATGCTGAGAAGAATGTATATTCTGTTGTTTTAGGGTGGAGAGTTCTGTAGATGTCTGTTAGGTCTGCTTGGTCCAGAGCTGAGTTAAAGTCCTGAATGTCCTTGTTAATTTTCTCTCTCATTGATCTGTCTAATATTGACAGTGGGGTGTTAAAGTCTCCCAATATTATTGTGTGGGAGTCTAAGTCTCTTTGCAGGTCTCTAAGAACTTGCTTGATGAATCTGAGTACTCCTATATTGGATGCATATATATTTAGGATAGTTAGCTCTTCTTGTTGCATTGATTCCTTTACCATTATGTAATGCCTTGTTTGTCATTTTTTATCTTTGTTGGTTTAAAGTCTGTTTTATCAGAGACTAGGATTGCAACCCCTGCTTTTTTTTGCTTTCCATTTGCTTGGTAAATATTCCTCCATTCCTTTATTTTGAGCCTATGTGTATCTTTGCATGTGCAACGGGTCCTCTGAATACGGCACACCGATTGGTCTTGACTCTTTTTCCAATTTGCCAGTCTGTGTTTTTTAATTGGGGCATGTAGCCCACTTATACTTAAGTTTAATATTGTTATGTGTGAATTTGATCCTATCATGATGATGCTAGCTGATTATTTAACCCGTTAGTTGATACAGTTTCTTCATAGTGTCTATGGTCTTTACAATTTGGTATGTTTTTGCAGTGGCTGGTACCGATTTTTCCTTTACATATTTAGTGCTTCCTTCAGGAGCTCTTATAAGGCAGGCCTGGTGGTGACAAAACCTCTCAGCATTTGCTTGTCTGTAAACAATCTTATTTCTCCTTCACTTATGAAGCTTAGTTTGGCTGGATATGAAATTCTAGGTTGAAAATTCTTTTCTTTAAGAATGTTGAATATTGGCCCCCACTCTCCTCTGGTTTGTAGGGTTTCTTCCAAGAGACCCACTGTTAGTCTGATGGGCTTCCCTTTGTGGGTAACCCAATCTTTCTCTCTGGCTGCCCTTAACATTTTTTCCTTCATTTCAACCTTGGTAAATCTGATGATTATGTGTCTTGGGATTGCTCTTCTCGAGAAGTATCTTTATGGTGTTCTGTATTTTTCCTGAATTTGAATATTGGCCTGTCTTTTTAGATTGGGGAAGTTTTCCTGGATAATATCCTGAAGAGTGTTTTTCAACTTGGTTCCATTCTCCCTGTCACTTTCAGGTACACCAATCAAACGTAGGTTTGGTTTTTTCACATAGTCCCATATTTCTTGGAGGCTTTGTTCGTTCCGTTTCTTTTTTTTTTCTCTAATCTTGTCTTCACACTTCATTTCATTAAGTTGATCTTCAATCTCTGATATTCTTTCTTCCAGTTGATTGATTCAGCTATTGATACTTGTATATGCCTCATGAAGTTCTTGTGCTGTGTTTTTCAGCTCCATCAGGTCATTTATGTTCTTCTCTAAACTGGTTATTCTAGTTAACAATTCCTCTAACCTTTTTTCAAGGTTCTTAGATTCCTTGCTTTGGGTTAGAACACGCTCCTTTAGCTCAGAGGAGTTTGTTATTACCCACCTCCTGAAACCTACTTCTGTCAATTCCTCAGACTCGTTCTCCATCTTCTGTCAATTCCTCAAACTCGTTCTCCGTCCAGTTTTGTTCCCTTGCTGGCGAGGAGCTGTGATCTTTTGGAGGAGAGGAGGTGTTCTGGTTTTGGGAATTTTTGGCTTTTTTATGCTGGTTTTTCCTCATCTTCCTGGATTTATCTACCTTTGATCTTTGATGTTGGTGACCTTCAGGTGAGGTGTCTGTGTGGATGTCCTTTTTGTCAATGTTGATGCTGTTCCTTTCTGTTTGTTAGTTTTCCTTCTAACAGTCAGGCCCCTCTGCTGCAGGTCTGCTGGTGTTTACTGGAGGTCCACTCTAGACCCTTTTTGCGTGGGTATCACCAGTGGAGGCTGCAGAACAGCAAAGATTGCTGCCTGTTCGTTCCTCTGGAAGTTTCCTCCCAGAGGGGCACCCGCTAGATGCTAGCCAGAGGTCTCCTGTATGAAGTGTCCGTTGACCCCTGCTAGGAGGTGTCTCTCAGTCAGGAGGCACAGGGGTCAGGGACCCACTTTAGGAGACAGTCTGTCCCTTAGCAGAACTCGAGCATTGTCCTGGGAGGTCTGCTGCTCTCTTCAGTGGCAGGCAGGAATGTTTAAGTCTGCTGAAGCTGTGCCCACAACCACCCCTTCCCCCAGGTGCTCTGTCCCAGGGATATGGGAGTTTTATCTATAAGCCCCTGACTGGGGCTGCTGCCTTTCTTTCAGAGATGCCCTGCCCAGAGAGGAGGAATCTAGAGATGCAGTCTGGCTACGGTGGCTTTGTGGTGCTGGTGGGCTCTGCCCAGTCCAAACTTCCCGGGGCATTGTTTACAGTGTGAAGGGAAAACCGGCTACTCAAGCCTCAGAAATGGTGGTCGCCCCTCCCCCCACCAAGCTTGAGTGTCCCAGGTTGACTTCAGACTGCTGTACTGCCAGTGAGAATTTCAAGCCAGTGGATCTTAGCTTGCTGGGCTCCATCGGGGTCGGATCCACTGAGCTAGACCACTTGGCTCCCTGGCTTCAGCCCCCTTTCCATGGGAGTGAACAGTTCTGTCTCACGGGCGTTCCAGTCACCACTGGGGCGTGAAAAAAAACTCCTGCAGCTAGCTCGGTGTCTGCCCAAATGGTCGACCAGTTTTGTGCTTGAAACCCAGGGCCCTGGTTGTGTAGGTACCCAAGGGAATCTCCTGCTCTGCGAGTTGCGAAGACTGTGGGAAAAGCATAGTATCTGGGCCAGAGTGCACTCTTCCTCACAGCACAGTCCCTCACAGCTTCCCTTGGCTAGGGGAGGGAGTTCCCCAACCCCTTGCACTTCCCAAGTGAGGCGACACCCCACCCTGCTTCCGCTCGCCCTCCATGGGCTGCACCCACTGTCTAACCAGTCCCAGTGAGATGAGCCAGGTACCTCAGTTGGAAATGCAGACATCACCCGCCTTCTACATTGATCTCCCTGGGAGCTGCAGACCGGAGCTATTCCTGTTCAGCCATCTTGCCGGCCACCCCCCGCTTTTTTTTTTTTAATACTCCACAGAAATATTCTGAGTTTTTGTTTAGGAACAGGGAAAATAATCTCTGGGTTAGTCTCTAAACACAGTGAACTTGCTGTGAGACAGGCTTGGGTTAAGACTCTTTATTATCACATCCTCCTATGTCTCTTTTGAGGCATTTTATTTTATTTTTTATTATAATTTACTATGAAACAACTTAGAGATGAAGATCTCAGAATTTCACACATCATTGGCTGGGCGCAGTGGCTCACGCCTGTAATCCCAGCTCTACAGGTAGATCATGAGGTCAGGAGATCAAGACCATCCTGACTAACATAGTGAAACCCAGTCTCTACTAAAAATACAAAAAATTAGCTGGGCATGGTAGTGGGCGCCTGTAGTCCCAGCTACTCGGGAGTCTGAGGCAAGAGAATGGTGTGAACCCGGGAAGCAGAGCTTTCAGTGAGCTGAGATCGTGCCACTGCACTCCAGCCTGGGCAACAGAGTAAGACTCCATCTCAAAAAAAAAAAAAAAAAAGAATTTCACACATTGTTTTGAATTGATGATTAATCATCCTTTCCTTTCTTCATAGTATCACGAGTGCTTAATAACAGCCATTCAATTCTGTGATACTGAAATGGCATTGTTGTCTGGGGTAAATACCTGGGGTTCGTTGTCTCACACCAAGAGGATTAAGGACAAGGACACGTGGGTGGGTTAAGGAATAGAAAGTTAAATAGGCAGAAGAAAGGAGGGAGGATAGCAGCTCACTCTCTCTTGCAAGAGAGAGGCATCTGAAAAAGGTAAAGTGGAGGACTGCAGCAGATTTTATAGGCAGGCTTGAGGAGGCAGTGTCTCATTTAGGTAGGGCTCACAAATGGGTTTGACTAGGTATGATGTTTACATAGCAGTGGGGAAGGCTGGTTGCCCCACCCTAATCTTATGCAAATGGACTTTTCACTTGGCCAGCTCCATCTTGCCTGCTTCTTACTATACACATGGCTGGCAAAAAGAGAAGATGGAGCCACCATATTGAACATGTCTCGTCCCAGGTAGTATATTCCTGTAGGCACAACAGCTTGCGTTCACTCTGCTTGCTTGTTTATGTCTGCAGCTTAATTTTACAGGTTGCTCTTTGTTAGAAAAGAAAATTATTTTGGGGTTGCTTTTCATTAAAAGGAAAACCTTACCGAGGACTAATATACCCTCACTATCTGCCTAAGTAATTTATTTTCAACTCTTATGTCAATACTTACATACTTACCACTTTCCTCATTCCTCTTAAATCTGGAAGTATGGCACAAGCCAGTGCATTTTCTACATCTATTCCATCCTTTTTCAAGTTTTAGCAGTTGCATTACTGCTACAGAATGCCAAAAACACCACTAATTCTGGGGTCCTCATTGACAGCCAGCCAGTCAGTGAGTGATCCAGAATCTCAGCCTTGGAGCCTGCTTTCTAGGATCACTTCTGTGCACTGATTCTTTGGGTCAGTGGGTCCCCTTAGAAGCAGAACTCAAGAAAGAGATTCTTGTGCAGTGATTTATTGAGTGCTCTCAAAAGAAAATGAGAAAAGAAGGAAAAAGAGCAAGGATAGAAGCTAGGCAAAGATGAAGTTTCAAAAGCCTAACCTCAGCTTGATCCCCCAGGGAGCTCTGAGGAGTGAATGGTGCCGCAGAATTATCCCTCTTGAGATGTAATGACTTGGCTTTTGTAACCCCATATTTTTCCCTCAAGTGTCGTGGGCCACCCTGGGACACTTGCTTTTATACCTCAGATATTACTAGGTGAAGAGATTCTCATTAATAGGCTAAAATTGGTAATCGCCAATTTTAATTAGGTTCCTAATATTCTATTGTAGGATTGTACTGTATTTTATTTAGCTAGATCTCCAGTTATTAGATATTTTGATTGTTTCCCTTTGTTTCTATCATAAACCACATGGAGATGAACATCTTTCTCTAAATAATTGAGTGTAATTTTTAAAGTAAGAACAAGATAACTGGTAAAATATGAAAAAGCCCTCGATTTACCAGCTTTTTACTGTGTGATATCAGTGCTATATAAGGATGAAAGTTGAGTTTTTTTTAATAAATGGAAATATGTTAAAGTTGTTATGGATATGGACATGAGAAGTGGAAATTAAAATGGAATAAAAAATTATGATAGGAATAATTTGATATTTAAAAATAGAAGTTTAGACTGGGCATGTTGGCTCACACCTGTAATCCCAGCACTTTGGAAGGCGAAGGGGGGCAGATCACATGGTCAAGAGATCGAGACCATCCTGGCCAACATGGTGAAGCCCCGTCTCTACCAAAAATACAAAAATTAGCTGGGTGCGGTGGTGCGTGCCTGTAGCCCCAGCTACATGGGAGGCTGAGGCAGAAGAATTGCTTGAACCCAGGAGGTGGAGGTTGCAGTGAGCCGAGATCATGCCACTGCATCCAGCCGGGTGACAGAGAGAGACTCTATCTCAATAAATAAATAAATAAATAATAATAGAAGTTTAAATTTATGAGAGAATAAATATAGGTCTTATATTTAGGTACTGTTTGGGGAAAACTCTCTAAGCATGTTTTTCCTCTGCTTTCATACCACCACAGCAATCATCAACAGAGAAGCTTTCTGCAACCAAAGGTAAGAGAATTTTTTCCCACACACCAAGTGGCAGACACCACCTGAATGTCTGCTAATTAAATTCCAGCATGATCTACCTACAGATAGCATCAGACCCCATGGATTGAGGGTTCAGTCCCCAAAACTGAGCCCTCTCCTCACACCAGTGGCAAGTCCAAGCCTCTGGAGCTTCTGGCTGAGCAACTCACAGAACCCAGGGAAATGCTTATTTTAGTTTATTGTTTATTGTAACAGATATTACAACACACATGAAGCGATGTGCAGGGCAGGATATGGGGGAAAGTGCTCGGAACTTCCATGCACTCTCTGGGCATGCCATAATCTAGGAAACTCCACGTGTTTAGTTATCTGGAAGCTCTTTGAACCCAGTCTTCTTGGTTTAGTTTTGTTTTCCTTAATCCCAAATGTGATAGTACTTCTTGGGTTTTTATGGAGAATCATAGGCATGAAATGTGGTTGAACAAAAAGGGTACAATCTCATATTAATAGGCTGAATGGGGAAACCCAGCAATGCCTGTTTGGATTCTTCTTGGCCTCTCTGTGCAGCATTTCTTCCTCCAGAGTATGGGGCAGAACCTTCTCTGGAATGAGGGTCTTTTGACCCACAGTCAGATCAGAGTTCTGCCTTGAGCAGGTAAAGGAGTTCAGGAGGTCAGAGAGAGAGATTCTCTTTCCTGAGGCTTGCTCCTGAAGCCTGCTCCTGAAGCCTAAAGTGCCCCAACATTATAATGAAAGACTAACAAGAGCTATGCAAGTTATGAGCCAGGAACCATGGATGAAAACCATGGGTACCTATGACGTATATATACACATGTCATAGGTATGTATATATACGTATGTATGTATGTATATATACGTCATAGGTACCCACAAGAATTTTCTAATTTCTTAGAAATAATTTCTAATAATAGAAATTATTATTAGATAAAATTAGAAATTATTATTATATAAAATTTGAAATAATGAGATATAAGAATTAGCTGAAAAAGCAAGTTACTCCTTGCTATTCTTGAAGTATACATATATACATCATAGGTATGTATATATACGTACTCATAACTCTCATATATGTATATGAGATATATATGTATATACATATATATGAGAGTTATGAGACAGGAACCATGGATAAAAACCATGAGTACCTATGACATATATATACATACATCATAGGTATGTATATATATGTATGTATGTATGTATGCATGCATATATACATCATAGACACCCACAAGAATTTTCTAATTTCTTAACAAATATAATGAGATATAAGAATTGGCTGAAAAAAGAAGTTACTTCTACTAAGTATGTAAAATCAGATCTATATGCCATAATTGGGCCATAATAAGCAATTAATAAATATGTATACACTAGTAAATGAGTACAAGAAACTGTCCCAAAATATGTAAGTTAAGAGGATGGATTAATAGGAAAAAGAAAAGTTTGTGGTATGTAAAGCTAACACTAGGATTTAGGTAAATAAAAAATTGAAGAAAAAAGAATGTATGCTTTCTTCCAAGATTATTGAAGACATATGGCAAGATATTCCTGTAGGAAAAGACAAATACTTACAAAAAGTAAATTAGTATAAGATGGAAATTGATGACTGAAATGTCTGAGATATTCAATTTTTTAAAAATGCATCTTAACTATAGGGATACATATATAGATATGTAAACAAAACAAAGTAAATTATTTTTATAAAGTTAATAGCAGCAGATGCTCCTAAGGGAGAGAAGAGGTAAGCAATTGGAAAAATGTATCCCATAGCTGATAAGGTACTGGTAGTGGTGGTGTGGTGGTGGTGGTGGTGGTGGTGGTGGTGGTGTTTTCCTAACCTAGGTGGTGGATACATATATGTTGTTTCTAGTATTATGTTTCAAAACATACTTTTGGAGGTCTAATGTATTTCCTTATAAAAATGAAATTAAAAGTAGGTTTTAATACCCCAGAAGAATTTTAAATAACCAATAAATTCAAAAGAAATCACAGTTATAAAAGAGGAACAAAATAGCTCTTGTTCAGTTCATATGAACCATATTGATCTTGGTTCAACTTGCCAATTCCAAAATACTTAAAATACAAACATTCTAAATTAATCTTTACTCATTTAATATAACAAACTGTTGTCACAGTAAATTGGAATCTAAAATTTAAAAAACTCACTGCACAACAGAATTTGGAATATGAGATCTTTGACCATTTTACCTCATGGACGTGAGAATAACACATGAGAATAACATCATAATGTTGTTCTTCTGTGATGTTATTAATAGAATGAAAAAACACAGAAGGGTAGAAAATTGTCAGTTAAAGCTTTGTTATGTACAGAAGCAATCATAAAAGTAATTTAGCACTAATATTCAAAAAAGGATAGCAGTGACCCTGAACATGATTCTGTTGTTAGTCTATCATGAACCACTCCTAAAATAATAAAACAAATATTTAGTGGCAAAAAAGTGGTGCCTTCTTAAGATTATAAACATTATAAGCAAGATTATAAACATTAAGCAGCATTAGAGTTTTTAAAATAAACAAATCATTGTAGAGAAACTTCATTAGTGATTTATAAGAGAGGATACACATCATGTTAATTAAATTTACAGATGATGCTAAATTGGATGGTGTTGGCAAAACCAGTGAGGGCAGATAAAAGGGACCTAAAGTGGTTAGAAATATGGGCAGGAAATGAAATGTGATTCAACCTGGAAAAATGTAGCTAATACATCTGGGGAAAAATGATCAGAAACACAGCCATTCAACTGGCAGGATATACAGTACTTGGAAAGCAGTATTACCAAGAGACTTTGAGATGATAGTGGTAGCAAATTATATAAGGTCTTGTAATGCAATGTGGCAGTAAAATCAGTCAATGAGATTTTAGTCTGTATATGCAAAAGCTTCACATCATGTGGCTGAAAGATAAAAGTTATTTAAATGGTACTGCTGAGATCACAAAGAGAATACAAGTTTGGGGCATGTACATGCCCCAAATAAGCAAATCAAGTAGTGTTCAGACTAGAAAATAAATGTATAATGATCTTCAGACTTTAATCCTTAAAATATTAAAATAACAAAATGTATATTTTTTGCTCATCTCTGAGTATAGTTATGATAACATTTTACAAATATTTGTAAGATACAAACATTATGGAAGTCAAGATATTTTTAAAGGTAGGATAAGAGAGTTTATAGTCAAGTATTGGGATGAAATTAAGTAACAGAAATTTAAGACTGAATCTGGGAAATGTTTTCTGACAGTGAAATCTATTAGTCTCTGGAATGGAATCTCGAGAGAGGTGGGGAGAATTTCTATTCCTCTAGTCATTGGACTAGATCAAGACTTGGATAGCGTATTATTTGAAGTAAAAAAAAAAAAAAAAGGTAAAAACTGATTTGACCATTTTGCATTGGATGGGCTGCACACAATGACATTGTCAAATCTTATCCAACTGTCTTATATGGCCTCAGACTTCTCTGACATGCTATGTCCTATTATTAAGTAACTGCCCATTATTTTTTAAATGAATGCTTTCTAAAAGACCAAATTCATATTTTCCAGTTCATGGACTTCAATTTCCTAGATTTTTTTTCTTCCAAGTCATAGGAATGCTAGAAAATAAAACACTCCTCCTTTTCCATGTTGATGAGATATGGTCTTAAATATTCCAAGCCTTTTGGATCAAATCAGAAGAGGTAGCTGAATTCTGAAGTCTCACTTACACCAGTGCATTGAAAACATATTTTTACTGCAGTTTTGCAACCACAACTATGCAATATATAAAAATTCATTCACCTCCTTTTGTGGGTTAATCCACAGAGAGATTTTTACCAGATGGTATCCTGGTGATATTATTTACTTTTAGCAAAGCAATATAACTGAGTTTGAAAAATATACAGTAAAGTATGCACTTCATCCCAACATTAAAACATTCTTTCAATTGTACTTTTAAATTATATAGTCTAAAGTTTGTCTATAACTTTGTTCTGTGTCCTAACAGCAAAATGAAAGTGGAAGGAGAATACTTTAAAATGGCAAATAAATTTTAACCCAAAATGTTATTCTTTTAAGCAAAACCAAAACCAACCAAATAAAAATTAACATTAAAACATGTACCAGACTGTAGGCAAGAGGTAAATTAGATATATAAATTTACATACATTATATATCTATTTAAGGTATAGATAGGTATAAAGTATGTATATATATATTTAATAGTCTTTTTATTTTTTTATTTTTTATTACACTTTAAGTTCTAGGGTACATGTGCACAACGTGCAGGTTTGTTACATATATATACATGCGCCATGTTGGTGTGCTGCACCAATTAACTCGTCATTTACATTAGATATGTCTCCTAATGCTATCCCTCCCCACTTCCCCCACCCACGACAGGCCCCGGTATGTGATGTTTCCCTTCCTGTGTCCAAGTGTTCTCATTGTTCAATTCCCACCTGTGAGTGAGAACATGCGGTGTTTGGTTTTTTGTCCTTGTGATAGTTTGCTGAGAATGATGGTTTCCAGCTTCATCCATGTCCCTACAAAGGACATGAACTCATCATTTTTATGGCTGCATAGTATTCCATGGTGTATATGAGCCACATTTTCTTAATCCAGTCTACCATTGTTGGACATTTGGGTTGGTTCCAAGTCTTTGCAATTGTGAATAGTGCTGCAATAAACACACAAGTGCATGTGTCTTTATAGCAGCATGATTTATAATCCTTTGGGTATATACTCAGTAATGGGATGGCTGGGTCAAATGGTATTTCTAGTTCTAGATCCTTGAGGAATCACCACACTGTCTTCCACAATGGTTGAACTAGTTTACAGCCCCACCAACAGTGTAAAAACATTCCTATTTCTCTGCATCCTCTCCAGCATTTGTTGTTTCCTGACTTTTTATGATTTAAGTATATATATATATTTAATAGTCTTTAAACTATACTTCACATTGTTAATCTCTGTTATCACTGTGGAAAGAAGTAAAGAAAATAGAGGCTCCTGTTGTCAAAGTAGTTAACATCCTAGCTGGAGAGATATATGTGAGAGGCAAATGTAGGTGGTACAAATGCATATCAGTTATTTAATAAAAGCATTTCAGTGGAATTATGCAAATTGGGTAGAAGTTGACAAATGGATTTATTTCATTGTAGTAGAGAATATTTTGAGGTCTAATAAACGATCTGGGAGCCTGGGCAACATGGTTAGACTTTTTCTCTACAAACATTTAAAAAACTAGCAAGGCATGGTGGCGCATACTTGTGGTTCCAGCTACTCAGGAGGCTGAGGTAGGAGGATCACTTGAGCCCAGGAGGTTGAGGGTGCAGTGAACTTTGTTTGCACCATTCCACTCCAGCCTGGGTGATAGAGCAAGACACTGTCAAAAAAAAAAAAAAAAATCTTATGAAATGGTACTACAGAGTTGGGTAAACAGTATATTAGTCAGTGATCTTCAGAAAAACAGAACTAATAGGAGATACCTATCATGGGATTATGGACACTGGCTAGTCCAAAATCTGTAGAGCTTGTATCCGCTTTCAAGTCCAAAGGCTGGAAGCTGCTATAGAACCAGGAAGAGCAAATGGTATAGTTTGAGGCCCATCAGGCAGGATAATTTTCACTTATTCTGAGGAAGATCAGCCTTTTGTTCTATTCAGGCCTTGAAATGATTGGATGCCAATCCTAGATTATCTGCTTTGTCTAGTCTACCAATTTAAATGTTAATCTCATCCAAAAAACACCTTCACAAAAACAGAATAATGTTTGACCAAGTATCTGGGCACCCTGTGGCCCAATCAGGTTGACGCAAAATTAACCATCACACAGAGATGGAGAGGAAGTTGAACTATAGAGAACAATTCTAAGTTTTTGAGTAAGGAAATAACATCATAGAGCACTTGAGGACTATTCTAATAGCAGTACATAGAAAAAGTGTGAGAAATAGACTTGACTCAAGAAAAGTTGGTAGCTGTGGAAAGAGCTAGCAGGGAGGAGGAGGAGCTCCAGAATTCATGTCTAAAGGGGAAAGATTATGCCTTCATTATCAGCTACGACTATAAAGAGAGGCTACTAATTTGAGTTTAAAGAGATATCAGCCTGGGGATTCAAAGTTAAGTTGAAATAGGGAAGTTGGGAAAGTTTTGCTTTTTTGGATTTCTAAAAAAGATTTATTTTGTCTGCCTCTGAAAAAATAATTCTGAAAACCACAGTTTTATTCTACTTTACCCTTAAATATATTAAAAATATGTTTGAGAGAAATAAATGATCAGTTTTGTTTTGGGGATAATTATAATGTAGTATAGTGTAATATATCACATATAATAATAGAATATAAATTTTTGATGTTAATAAGCCATACAAGTAGAAGAGTCTGTGGCTATGTAAGTACAAATGAGTTGGAAACTGCCCTTTTTTTCTTAGCCAAATAAGGGATATTGAGCCAGGAAAACAGCACTTCCAGTGTCACAGATCTAGGGCACCTATTTTTTTATTTGGGGATGTTTACATATTTTTTGTTGTACAAACAAAAATACAAAAATTCCTAATCCAAGTACATAATAAAAAAAGACCACATAAATTAGAGGTAGATCTTGAATTTAGAATAATTCTCTTTAAAAAAAAAAAAAAAAAAAACATGCGGTGGCGCAGTGACTCACACCTGTAATCCCAGCACTTTCGGAGGCCGAGGCAGGCGGATTGCCTGAGCTCAGGAGTTCCCGACCAGCCTGGGCAACATGGTGAAACCCCTTCTCTACTAAAATACAAAAAAATTAGCTGGGCGTGGCAGCATGCACCTGTAACAGTCCCAGCTACTTGGGAAGCTGAGGCAGGAGAATTGCTTGAATCTGGAAGGCGGAGGTTGCGGTGAGCTGAGATCGCGCGCTCCAGCCTGAGCAACAGAGCAATACTCCATCTCAAAAAACAAACAAACAAACAAACAAACAAAAAACATGCAGGCTGGGCACACTGGCTCATGCCTGTAATCCCAGCACATTGGGAAGCGAAGGCAAGTGGATGATTTGAGGTCAGAAGTTTGAGACCAGCCTGGCCAACATGGTGAAACCCCGTCTGTACTGAAAATACAAAAAAAAATTCAGCTGCGCGTGGTGATCCACACCTGTAATCCCAGCTACAGCTACTGGGGAGGCTGAGGCAGGAGAATCATTTGAACCCGGGAGACGGAGTTTGCAGTGAGCTGAGATCATTCCGCTGCAGTCCAGCCTAAGCGACAGAGTGAGACTCTGTCCAAAAAAAAAAAAAAAAGTCTAATTACAGAAGCAGAATTCAAAGTTCATAAATAGAATTCAAATGTTTGTATCTTTACTAACACAAGACAATTCTGAGCCAATATCACATGGTAGCCTGCCAGCTAACAATTCAACTTGCAGAGTTTTTACTTTTTACTTCTTTGTAGTTACTCAGTTTTTTGTGTTGCTTCTTGCTTAACTTCCAACTTGATTTCCTCCAAACGCTGGAGAGATTCTTTAGATGCCAATGTTGAAGGAAGGGCAGGGGTCTGAGTGGGAGGTGTCTGAATCCCGCACGCTGCTTCAACCAAGACAGCTCCAGATTATTTTTGTTTCGTTGGTTTCCAAAAAAGATTTGTTTTGTCCACCTATGAGAAAACAATTTTGAAAACCACAATTTTATTTCACTTTACCGTTAAGTGTATTCGAAATATTTTTGTCAGAGATTATATCTAAAAGTAAAGATGTATCCTAGATAGTCCATAATTTATATTTAGCTCTTAGGAGTAGAACCCTTTGTAAACATAAAACTTTGATTCCCCCCTTTTAAAAACAGTATTATTGAGATTTAATTCACAGGCCATACAATTCACCCATTTAAAATATACAGTTAAATTTTTACATTGTTTTTACGTAGTTTTGCAACCATCACCACAGTCAATTTTAGAACATTTTCATGACCCCAGGAAAACACTCCTTACCCTCTAGTGATCACTCTCTGTTTTACCCCAATCCTACAAATCCTAGGTAACCTCTAATCTACTTTCTGTCTATATGAATTTGTCTATTCTGAATATTTCATGTAAGAGGAATTATAATGTATGGTCTTTTGTGACTGGCTTCTTTAACTTAGCATTTTTTTTAGTTTCATCCATGTTGTAGCATGAATCAATATTTCATTCTTTTTTATGGCTGAATAATATTCCATCATGTGGCTATAACACATTTTATTTTTATGACTTCATTTTTATACATTCAATTTATACTCTGATTTTAGAAAACATTATGTACAAGTGTAGAAGACTATAAGCCATGTAAAATTATCATTTGATTCAGTTATAGTTACTACGTACAAAGTGATGTGCTAGACGTTGTAAGAGACACCAAAAGAAGATAAAATAACTATCTTAGGAATACTGTTTAATGATTTACTGAGCTCCTTGTCATATTTTCTAATATTCTTACTGCAATAATCTGTGGATTGTCATCGTTGTTAATCCCAAAGAATTAGGACTTGATGCAAGTTATTTAAACTTTCTTGGACTCAGTTTATTTATCTTAGAAACAGAATGATAATAGAAAAGCATTAGTGAAATGATAGGTATAAAATGTTTAAACAGGGCCTAGAACATAATTATTTCTCAGTAAATATTCTATGCATCAGAAACCTAATGTATTGCCCTCCAAGACCACACTGTCTAATATGTAGGCACTGGTCACATTTTACATGCTCAGTAGTCACTTGTGGTTACTGGCTGTTATATTGGACGCACAGATAGAGAACGGTTTCATCGTTGTAGAAAGTTATATTTGCAGTATTACATACTACATATGACTACCAAACAGGGAAGAGAATTTTAAGGTAGTGATTTAGATAGCATCACATATGTTCAGAATGGGTTGGGATCTCTTCCTTCTGTAATGATCAAAGCCCAGGGAGGAGATGCTACTTGAGCTAAACTTTGAAGAACAGATACTCCACAAAAAGAAGGGATCATTTAGCAATATTAGGTGCAATATATACATACCAAAAGTACAAGGCACTTAAGAAGAAAAGGATTTATGGGACATAGTGGTAAAAATAAAACTAGGGACTTAGGAAAGAATTCTAGAGGATTTTGTTGTTTTGTTTTTTGTTAACAGTGAAAGTCTTTTTTTTTTTTTTTTTTTTTTTTTTACAAGGTCTCACTGTCTTTGTGTTGCCCACATTGGTCTTGAACTCATGGGCTCAAGCAGTCCTCCTTCCTCAGCCTCCCAAAGAGCTGGGATTCCAGACGTGAGCCACCGTGCCCTGCTGTCATTAACTTTTGATAAGGGAAATTTTATGTCAGGAAGTTTGATCTGACAAAATGGTTACAATGGATAGGATGGATCAGAGGCTATAAGACTTATTCACAGGATGTTGCTACAGATCAGGTTGGGCCATTAACAGCCTGAATTTGTGATAGTGTCACACAAACATAAGGTAGGTAGATAAAACTGTGTGCCTACCTTGCACAGATATCTGTGAGTATTGAAACGTTTAGACTAGGCGCAGTGGCTCATGCCTGTAATCCCAGCACTTTGGGAGGCCGAGGTGGGCGGATAACCTGAGGTCAGGAGTTCGAGTCCAGCCTGACCAACATGGAGAAACCCATCTCAACTAAAACTACAAAATTAGCCGGGCATAGTGGTGCATGCCTGTAACCCCAGCTACTCAGGAGGCTGAGGCAGGAGAATCGCTTGAACCTGGGAGGCGGATGTTGCAGTGAGTTGAGATCGCGCCATTGCACTCCAGGCTAGGCAACAAGAGCAAAACTCCATCTCAAAAAAAAAAAAAAAATACTGAACAGTGCCATAACCTCATAACCTCCTCCTTCCACCCAACATTGCCCCCTACCGGAAAGTACTCTTTACATACTTGAGTACTGCTATGTCTTTTCTTAATCATCTGATGACTCAACATCCTAAGTTACTTCAACATTTCCTCTTATACCCTGAGTTTTGTATCATTTACCATCCTGTTTCCCTTCTTTAGATTCACTCAGATTTGTCATGGCCTCTGAAAATGTGGTGCCGAATGAATCTCAGTGTTCCAGATATGGTTTGACCAGTCTAGGATTCAGAGAAACTGTTTCCTCTACTGTACAGGCATTTTATGTGTTGATGTGTTGATGACTAAGGGGAATCCCTGGAGAAATTATAAGCAGGAATTTGGGAAATTAGAACTGGTGCCCATTCATTTAGTATTTATTTTTATTTATACCTACCATAAGCTGTACTCAGAATTACAGATAGATATTTCATAGTAGTTGACCTGAAGAGGAAATACACACACACACACACACACACACACACACACACACACACACACATAAAATAGTGTACCGAAGACAGATATTTGGACACAATGTTTTTGAGTGACTTTCTCTGCGGAGGAGGAGCTCGGGAAAACGGATGTGAAGTATCTAAATGAAGCAGACATAAAAGCAAAGAAAGGAGAGAATTTCGAGAGAGGCAAAGAGTTAACAGGGTCTGGAACTTCAAAGAAGCCAAGGAGTTCCAAGAAAGGCTACTGGATTTAGCAATTATGAAATTCTTGATTGGCCGGGCGTGGTGGCTCACGCCTGTAATTCCAGCACTTTCGGAGGCTGAGGTGGGTGGATCACTTGAGGCCAGGAGTTCAAGAACAGCCTGGCCAACATGGCAAAACCCTGTCTCCACCAAAAATACAAAAATTAGCCAGGTGTGGTGGCGCCCACCTGTAGTCCCAGCTACTTGGGAGGTTGAGGCATGACAATCATTTGAACTTGGGAGGCATAGGATGCAGTGAGCCAAGATCAGGCCACTGCACTCCAGCCTGAGTGACAGAGTGAGACTCTGTCTTGAAAAAAAAAAAAGGAAGAAATTCTTGATTACTTTTTTGTTTAATGAGATGGAATCAAGCTTTTAAGAGATCAAAGTTTTAGTGTGAAAAGGAAGAAAGTAGAACTCTTATGAACAGAAAGCATAGGCTAAAGAGGATAGTAGGACACGTGTATAGCTGTTTTTCTGGGTGAAGTTTGGAATTAGTCAAGGAACTCAGTTGTTTACGTGAAAAAAAAATAATAACCAGGAAAATTCTTAAAAAGTAACATAATGGGCTGGGTGCGGTGGCTCACGCCTGTAATTGCAGCACTTTGGGAGGCCAAGGTGGGCGGATCACCTGAGGTCAGGAGTTCAAGACCAGCCTGACCAACATGGAGAAACCCCTTCTCTGCTAAAAATACAAAAGTAGCCAGGCGTGGTGGCGCATGCCTGTAATCCCAGCTACACGGGAGGCTGAGGCAGGAGAATTGCTTGAACCCGGGAGGCAGAGGTTGTGGTGAGCCAAGGTCGCGCCATTGTACTCCAGCCTGGGCAACAAGAGCGAAACTCCGTCTCAGGAAACCCATCTCACATGCAGAGACACACATAGGCTCAAAATAAAGGGATGGAGGAAGATCTACCAAGCAAATGGAAAACAAAAAAAGGCAGGGGTTGCAATCCTAGTCTCTGATAAAACAGACTTTAAACCAACAAAGATCAAAAGAGACAAGGCCATTACATAATAGTAAAGGGATCAATTCAACAAGAGCTAACTATCCTCGATATATATGCACCCAATACAGGAACACCCAGATTCATAAAGCAAGTCCTTAGAGACCTACAAAGAGACTTAGACTCCCACACAATAATAATGGGAGACTTTAACACCCCACTGTCAACATTGGACAGATCAACGAGACAGAAAGTTAACAAGGATATCCAGGAATTGAACTCAGCTCTGCACCAAGCAGACCTAATAGACATCTACAGAACTCTCCACCCCAAATCAACAGAGTATACATTCTTCTCAGCAAAACACCTCACTTATTCTGAAATTGACCACATAGTTGGAAGTAAAGCACTCCTCAGCAAATGTAAAAGAACAGAAATTATAACAAACTGTCTCTCAGACCACAGTGCAATCAAACTAGAACTCAGGATTAAGAAACTCACTCAAAACCGCACAACTACATGAAAACTGAACAACCTGCTCCTGAATGACTACAGGGTACATAACGAAATGAAGGCAGAAATAAACATTTCTTTGAAACCAACGAGAACAAAGACACAACATACCAGAATCTCTGGGACACATTTAAAGCAGTGTGTAGAGGGAAATTTACAGCACTAAATGCCCACAAGAGAAAGCAGGAAAGATCTAAAATTGACACCCTAACATCACAATGAAAAGAACTAGAGAAGCAAGAGCAAACACATTCAAAAGCTAGCAGAAGGCAAGAAATAACTAAGATCAGAGCAGAACTGAAGGAATTAGAGACACAAAAAACCCTTCAAAAAATCAATGAATCCAGGAGCTGGTTTTTTGAAAAGACCAACAAAATTGATAGACCACTAGCAAGATTAATAAAGAAGAAAAGAGAGAAGAATCAAATAGACACAATAAAAAATGACAGGGGATATCACCCCCGATGCCACAGAGATACAAACTACCATCAGAGAATACTATAAACACCTCTACGCAAATAAACTAGAAAATCTAGAAGAAATGGGTAAATTCCTCAACACATACACCCTCCCAAGACTAAACCAGGAAGAAGTTGAATCTCTGAATAGACCAATAATAGGCTCTGAAATTGAGGCAATAATTAATAGCTTACCAACCAGAAAAAAGTCCAGGACCAGATGGATTCACAGCCGAATTCTACCAGAGGTACAAGGAGGAACTGGTACCATTCCTTCTGAAACTATTCCAATCAGTAGATGAAGAGGGAATCCTCCCTAACTCATTTTATGAGGCCAGCATCATCCTGATACCAAAGCCTGGCAGAGACACAACAAAAAAAAGAGAATTTTAGACCAATATCCGTGATGAATATTGCTGCAAAAATCCTCAATAAAATACTGGCAAACTGAATCCAGCAGCACATCAAAAAGCTTATCCACCACGATCAAGTGGGCTTTATCCCTGGGATGCAAGGCTGGTTCAACATATGCAAATCAATAAACGTAATCCAGCATATAAACAGAACCAATGACAAAAACCACATGATTATCTCAATAGATGCAGAAAAGGCCTTTGACAAAATTCAACAACCCTTCATGCTAAAAACTCTCAATAAATTAGGTATTGATGGGACGTATCTCAAAATAATAAGAGCTATTTATGACAAACCCATAGCCAGTATCATACTGAATGGGCAAAAACTGGAAGCATTCCCCTTGAAAACTGGCACAAGACAGGGATGCCCTCCTCACCACTCCTATTCAACATAGTGTTGGAAGTTCTGGCCAGGGCTATCAGGCAGGAGAAAGAAATAAAGGGTATTCAATTAGGAAAAGAGGAAGTCGAATTGTCCCTGTTTGCAGATGACATGATTGTATATCTCGAAAACCCCATCGTCTCAGCCCAAAATCTCCTTAAGCTGATAAGCAACTTAGCAAAGTCTCAGGATACAAAATCAATGTGCAAAAATCACAAGCATTCTTATACACCAATAACAGACAGATAGCCAAATCATGAGTGAACTCCCATTCACAATTGCTTCAAAGAGAATAAAATACCTAGGAATCCAACTTACAAGGGATGTGAAGGACCTCTTCAAGGAGAACTACAAACCACTGCTCAATGAAATAAAAGAGGACACAAAAAATGGAAGAACATTCCATGCTCATGGATAGGAAGAATCAATATCATGAAAATGGCCATACTGCCCAAGGTAATTTATAGATTCATGCCATCCCCATCAAGCTACCAATGACTTTCTTCACAGAATTGGAAAAAACTACTTTAAAGTTCATATGGAACCAGAAAAGGGCCCGCATTGCCAAGTGAACCCTAAGCCAAAAGAACAAAGCTGGAGGCATCACGCTACCTGACTTCAAACTTTACTACAAGCCTACGATAACCAAAACAGCATGATACTGGTACCAAAACAGAGATATAGACCAATGGAACAGAACAGAGCCCTCAGAAATAATACCACATATCTATAACTATCTGATCTTTGACAAACCGGATAAAAACAAGCAATGGGGAAAGGATTCCCTATTTAATAAATGGTGCTGGGAAAACTGGCTAGCCATATGTAGAAAGCTGAACTGGATCCCTTCCTTACACCGTATACAAAAATTAATTCAAGATGGATTAAAGACTTAAATGTTAGCCCTAAAACCATAAAAACCCTAGAAGAAAACCTAGGCAATACCATTCAGGACATAGGCATGGGCAAGGACTTCATATCTAAAACACCCAAAGCAATGGCAACAAAAGCCAAAATTGACAAATGGGATCTAATTAAACTAAAGAGCTTCTGCACAGCAAAAGAGACTACCATCAGAGTGAACAGGCAACCTACAGAATGGGAAAAAATTTTTGCAATCTATTCATCTGACAAAGGGCTAATATCCAGAATCTACAATGAAGTCAAACAAATTTACAAGAAAAAAACAACCCCATCAACAAGTGGGTGAAGGATATGAACAGACACTTCTCCAAAGAAGACATTTATGCAGCCAACAGACACATGAAAAAATGCTCATCATCACTGGCCATCAGAGAAATGCAAATCAAAACCACAAAGAGATACCATCTCACACCAGTTAGATTGGTGATCATTAAAAAGTCAGGAAACAACAGGTGCTGGAGAGGATGTGGAGAAATAGGAACACTTTTACACTGTTGGTGGGACTGTAAACTAGTTCAACCATTGTGGAAGTCAGTGTGGCGATTCCTCAGGGATCTAGAACTAGAAATACCATTTGACCCAGCCATCCCATTACTGGGTATATACCCAAAGGATTATAAATCATGCTGCTATAAAGACACATGCACACATATGTTTATTGTGGCACTATTCACAATAGCAAAGACTTGGAACCAACCCAAATGTCCAACAATGATAGACTGGATTAAGAAAATGTGGCACATATACACTATGGAATACTATGCAGCCATAAAAATGATGAGTTCATGTCCTTTGTAGGGACATGGATGAAGCTGGAAACCATCATTCTCAGCAATCTATCACAAGGACAAAAAGCAAACACCTCATGTTCTCACTCATAGGTGGGAGTTGACCAGTGGGAGCCCTTGGACACAGGAAGGGGAACATCACCTACCGGGGCCTATCGTGGGGTGGGGTGGGGCGGGGGCGAGGGATAGCATTAGGAGATATACCTAATGTAAATGACGAGTTAATGGGTGCAGCACACCAACATGGCACATGTATAAATATTTAACAAACCTGCATGTTGTGCACATGTACCCTAGAACTTCATAATAAAAAAAAAGTAACATAATCAGGAAAGACTCTCCCACTAAGATACTAAAACATATTACAAAGCTATGTTAATTTAAATTGTGTGTAAGAATACATTAATAGGCGGATCAATTGGTTGAATAGAAAGTACAGAAGTAGACTCAAATACTTATGGAAATTTAGTACATGTTAAAGGTGATGTTTCCAGTTGGCATAGAAAAGGTGTATTATACAACAATAAGAGATAGTGTGACAATGGGCTGGGCATCTGTACACACACAGAATGCTGGATTCTTACCTCACACCTTACAATAAAAATTTCAGATGAAACAAAGGTTTTATCTTGAAAAATAAAAACAAAAAAGTATTAGATTAAGCCCTGGGAGAATTATTTCTTTATACCAGAGGTGAGAACTCCTAAGTTGGACACAAACCTCAAAAGTCACAATGGAAAAGATTAATTAATTTGATTAAGTAAAAATATAAAAATTTCACAGTCAAATATCATAAGCAGAGCAAAAAGACTAACTATAAACTGTGGGAAACATTTAAAATTCTGTATTGCAAATAAGATACCTTAGTGTATTAGGAGCCTCTAGAAATCAATGAGAAATACCAACTATTTCATAAAATAAAAAACAGACAAGTGATGAAAAGGGTAATAAATCTAGTAACTCCTAAAATCTTGATGAGATTGTCATATTTTTAGAAGAGACAAGTGAATTAAGACTACACTGATGGACCATTTTT
This sequence comes from Homo sapiens, assembly GCF_000001405.40. Classification (NCBI taxonomy): domain Eukaryota; kingdom Metazoa; phylum Chordata; class Mammalia; order Primates; family Hominidae; genus Homo; species Homo sapiens. The sequence continues at coordinate 72,524,591 of NC_000016.10, read as the reverse complement.
TAAATCCATCAGATAGGCAAAGGTAAAAATTTTGATTAGTTCTGTGGAGGAAAAGCAACCTCACACATTGTGAAATAAGTTGGTTGTAACTGTGTGAATTTATTTCTAGTTTCTCTATTCTGTACCATTGCTCTGTGTGTCTGCTCTTGTGCCAGTGCCATGCTGTTTTGGATACTATAGCTCTGTAGTATATGTGATGCCTCTAGCTTTGTCCTTTTGCTCAGGATTGCTTTAGTTCTTCAAGGTATTTTGTGGTTCCATACAAATTTTAGGATTATTTTTTCTATTTCTGTGAAGAATGTCATTGGTATTTTGTATTTCGATAGAGATTGCATTGAATATGCATATCACTTTGGTCAGCATAGAAATTGTAACAATATTAATTCTTCCAATCCATGAGCATGGGATATTTTTCCATTTTTTGTGTCCTCTTCAGTATCTTTCATGGGTGTTTTATAGTTTTCCTTGTAGAGCTGTCTCACTGTTTTGGTTAAATTTATTCCTAGGTATTATTTTATTTTATTTTTCATAGCCATTGTAAATGGGATTGCTTTCTTTTTTTGATTGATTATTGTTAGTGTATAGAAATGCTACTGATTTGTACATGTTGGTTTTGTACTCTGCAACTTTACTGAATTTATCAGTTCTAATAATTTTTGGTGGAATCTTTAAGTTTTTCTAAATGTGAGATCACATCATCTGCTAAGAAGGATAATTTGACTTCTTTTCAATTTACATGTCCTTTCTTTCTTTCTCTTGCCTAATTCGTTTGGCTAAGACTTTCAATACTGTGTTGAATAGAAGTGATAAATTGACATCAGATTTCACCTTTTCTTTTAACAAAAAAAAGGTTTTACAGTGGGTCAGCCCAATATGAACTATTGGAAACATCTCTAAGATAAATTAAGGAAATACACACACTATGGAATAAAACAGCATGAAGAATCTATGTTTAAGAGGTAGCTATCTATTCTCCAGGGATTTATGTTACCCTTCCATAGAGTAAAGTTGAATAAGTACCAACTCAGGGACTAAACTTCCCAGCTTCTGCATTTAAAATCACTGTTACTTCTTGTGGAATATGTGCAAAGTGATCTGATAGGACTTCTGGGCAGGGTGATTAAGAAGCAATTATGTCTTAATCTCTCTCTCTTTTTCCTCCATTTGCTGCTAAAGTGAAGACTGAAGCCTTAGGCTATGGCAGAAGTTGGGCGCCTGAAGTACACGTGGAAATATGCCAACTGAACATTGGACTACCACGTGAGTCCAAACTAAGCTTTCATTGTGTTAAACCACTGAGATTTTAGGGTTTAGTTATTACAGCAGCTAGCATTACCTCACCTAAGCAGTATGTTGTCATTTGAATGTATCTATTAAATGTAATACATGTGTGCATCTGTATGTACAGTGTGAGAGAGGGAATACACAAACTGAGAATGGTGTTTCACTCTTGGGATGGATGGTATTCAGGTTCAACATAAGAAGGAGACTTCTCATGTTCTGTTCTTTATACCATATTGTTTGAGTGTAATATCTAGCAAGAAAAAAAAATATTTGACCTTAGAAGGAAAGGAAAAAGTAGGGAGAATATTAGAGATATGAAAGATACTGAAGGAATAGGGAATACTTGAAGAAGTAAATTTCTTAGATGCATTAAGAAAAAAACTGATTCAAAGGCATAGTTAGAGGCTTATAACCAATAGAGATTCCTTATCCTCTGACATGAGAGGTGGCGGAAATAGCAGTTATATTGCCCATAACAAGAAAAATAGTGCAAGTGAAAAAATACCAAAGTGTAATTTCTCACCTGTCAGATGGACAGAAACCCAAAAGTTAGATAATACATTCTGTTGGCAAGCCTGTGGGGAAACAACATTCTCATATATCAGTGGTGGGTGGGAGGAACAAGAATATGGTAAAAAACATATCTTTGACCTAGGACTTCCCCTGTGGTTATCTATCCTGTAGGTCAAGGGTCTCCTACCCCTGGGCCATGGATCAATACCAGTCTGTGACCTGTTAGGAACCGGTAGCAGGAGGTGAGTAGCAGCCTAGCGAGCACTACTGCCTAAGCTCCACCTCCTGTCAGATCAGTAGTGACATGAGATTTTCATAGGAGCAGAAACCCTATTGTGAACTCCAAACACAAGGGATCTAGGTTATGCACTACTTATGAGAATCTAATGCCTGATGATCTGAGGTGGAACAGTTTCATCCTGAAACCACCGCCCCCATGTGTGGAAAAATTGTCTTCCACAAAACTGGTCCCTGGTACCAAAAAGGTCAGGGACCACTGCTGTAGGTAAACCTGCACTGGTACAAAATGACAGAAATATACACAGTCATTTATTATAGCATTGTTATATTGTTATATTGTTATTATAGCATTGTTGCATGAATACAGGATTGGAAATAAATCAAGGATCTAGTAATAAGGGACTGGTTGAATAAACCATGGAACACACGCAAACACACACACACATATACAAAATAGAGCTGTATATACTGGTATGGAGAGATATACAGAATGTATGAAGCTGGTGGGGTGAAGGGAAACAATATATAGAGCAGTGTTTATTGTTTGTTACCTTTTGTAGGAAGAGTGGAAAAGTAAGAGTATATATTTGTATTTTCTTGTATTTTTGTAAAGAAACTGGAAAAATAAAAAAAAAGCAACTAATAAAATGGTTACCTATAAGGAGTTGACAGGAAATATGGTGGCAGGAGTGGGACAAAGATTCATCTGTTGCATTTTTTGTATAACATTGACTGTTTAAAAACTTTTTGTTGTGTACTTTACACAAAAGAAGAAAGAATAGGTTAACTAACCTTGATACCCATCACCTAGCCTCAACAATTATCAATGCATGAGCTATATTACTTCATCCATAATTCCACACCCATTTCCCTTCACTAAATTATTTTAAAGTCAGTGTCAGACATCATATTATTTCATCTGTATATATCCGTAAATATTTCACTGTGTATCGCTGACAGATAAAGGCTGTTTTTTAAGAAATCATATCACACTAAAAATTATTGTAATTTCTTATGTCTAATGGAAATTTAAATAATATCTAATTAGACTACATTTTTGTGACCATTACCTTATATTTCAGCTGCCCTGCTTCCTTCTTTATTTATAGTGTCTAAGTTTATTGTGGGTCTTCTTAGTACAAATTAGCAATAAATTTTCTCTTGGAAATAATCTTAATCTCAGAGAAAAGCCTCAAGAATATTACAAAGAATTTCTGTATACTCTTCCCCCAGATACCCAAATTTACCATATTTGCTTTGTATCGTCCTCACAGTCTGTCTCTATGTATGATATTATATATTTAATTATATATGTGTTATGTTTTTCTGAACCATTTAAGGGTAAGTTGCAGACATAACGCCTCTTTCCCCCAAAATACGTTCATTTGTATTTTCTAAGAATATTCTGATATATAACCACAGGGGAAATTAACATGATACAATACTATTATGAAATCTACAAATCTGATTCATATTACACCTTTTTTTCCCTTGTATTTCTTTGCCCTTACAGGAAATAAATAAATTTTTTTTCTGTATCAGAGTGCAATCTAGTATCTCACGTTGCATTTATTGTCAGATCTCTTAGTTTCCTTTAATCTGAAATCATCCTTGTTTGTCTTTCATGACTTTAACCTTTTTTAAGTAGTGCAGGCTAGATATTTTGAAAAATATTACTCAATTTGGGTTTGTCTGATGTTTCTGCATGGTTAGAATTTTTGGTGAGGACACCACAGAAGTGACTTGGTATCTTTCTCAGTGTATCATATTAGAAGGGATGTGATATCTTTTTATTCACATGTTTATGTTTAATGTTGGTGTTAACTTGGATCATTTGGTTTATGTGCCATCTTGTAGGTTTCCCATTGTGAAGTTACTCTTTTCTGTCTTATAATTAGCAAGAATTTTGTTGGTAAAATAATTTGAGATGATGGAGATATCTTGTTCTTCGTAAGGTTTTCACCTATGAATTGTAATATATATTGATGATTCTTGACTAAATCTGCTTTTACTATAATATTTGCCAAATGATTTTCTTACCAAATAGTCCTTTCACATTAACTGGCTGGTGTGTTGCTATGAAGAAAAGCTTCTCCTCCTCTCCCATTAAGAAAAAAAAAAGGATCATTATGGACTCACGGATATCACATTTTTTCAGTGCTTATATTGTCCCAAATTCAGCCAGTAGAAATCTCTTCAAGCTGGCTCCAGTGTTTCTCAAATGTCCCTGTCTTTTTTTTTTTTTTTTTTTTTTTGACAGGGTCTTACTCTGCTGCCCAGGTTGGACTGCGGGTGGCACCATCACAGCTCACTGCTGCTTAGACCTGAGTTCAGGTGATTTTCCCACTTCAGCCTCCTAAGTAGCTGGGACTACAGGTGTTTACCACCACAGCTGGCTAACTTTTTTGATTTTTTGATGTTGTTGTTGTTGTTAGTAGAGACAAGGTCTCACCATGTTGCCCAGGCTGGTCTTGAGCTCCTGAGCTCAAGCGATCCTCCTGTCTTGGCCTCCCAAAGTGCTGGGATTACAAGTGTGAGCCTCCAAACTTGGCCCCTAACATTTTTTTTTTTAAATCTCTTCCTTGCTTTCTGGTATAACAAAATGTTCCAGACTCATGTTCTATATTCCTTGCCGCAGTTCTTCTATTAAGCCGTTTCTCCAGGGAGCCCTGGTTTCTTTTAATGATGTAAATCGTCATCTGTATACCAGATATACTTATTGTTACCAATTTTCAATTCTTCTTGCCTCAGTGTTGACTTTTAAAGCATGTAAATGTATTGTCTTATTAAAACATTATAGTTAAAAAAAACAGACCTGAAATCTCAAATAGATTGCAAAACCAAGTGAATATACCATTAAGAAGAAAAATGTAATACTGTCTGAGGACGCAGGCTTTAGAGTTGAATAGTTTAGGGTTCAAGTTCACCACCCCCAGTTAATAGTTTTGTAATTTCATTTTATTTACCTGCCAAATGATGATGGACACCCTCATTGGGTTGTTGTGAAGATTTAATGAGATTTAAACCTAGTGACTCATATTTTACATCTAAATGTAGCGATGGCTTTATGAATAACTGTTTATACTTAGCAAGTATTGGACATTATATTCAGGAAGTATTTGTTGAGTTGAATTACAGCTCTCTCAACTATGAGATACATTTCTAGATTCATTAGTAGTGGACTGTTTCTAGTATTCCCTAATTCCATATTATTAATTCATAGACATGCGGACACAAAGCAACCTGGAATTTCTCTTCAGCTCCAGGATGTTCTGAGTTGATAGAAGCTTGAGCCAACAATACCTAGATCAGACTTGTTAGATATACGGAAATAATTTATAAAAACCATTTATTTCAGATTAAACCTATATCTGCCTTATTACTAAATTTCTGCAGGTATATTATTACAGTGTTTTAAACTTTGACACTCTAGAATTATAGGATGAAAGTGAGTAGCAGGGAGAACAGCAGAATATTGGATTTAACATAATAGTGGAACTCATGTAGTTTAGCACAGGAAGGAATAGACAGGAGCATGTTATTATAAATTGGATTTTCAGTTGGTTCATACATGTCATACAATATGAAAGTGTTCATTTAGGTTCTTATCAACTTCAGGAAGATGGCAAGTTGGCTGCTTTTGCAGCTGCATCTGTTATAGTTTCTTATTCCCCAATAATTATGAACTGTATATATTCAAGATATAATATACACATGGCACTGATGGAGCTATTATGCTATCATTATCAGTAGTATTCACTCCTACCCTGCCAAATAAGCACCATACTGAATGTTTTGGATGGGGAAAAAAGGGACAAGCCAGTGCAGCAATGGTGGTGGTTAGTCACTTATACTATAGCAAAAAATTGGACTGGAGAAGGACCATTTCCTTCAGCATAACTCTCTATATTTCATAACCTTTGCCCAAAACTATTCAAACCAGCAAAAATGACTTATCCTAATTTATAAAATGTTTGCCAACATTAATTAGATGTTTCTTCTACTTCTCTTTATATAGATTACCTTGAAGGAATGTATGTTCTTCACGTGGATGGAGAGAGATGCAGTGTGTGTTTATTTTAGAAATACTGTAGGAATATAGAAAACATAAGTAAAAGTTGTGATGGATAGTTGAAAGGTTGCCTTCTACAGACATTGTATTAGTCAGGGTTCTTTTAAAGGGATAGAACTAATAGGACAGATATAGATATATATATTATTATCAGACTTCCTTAACTTACATGATCACAAGGCCCCACAATAGGCTCTCTGCAAGTTGAGGAGCATGGAGAGCCAGTCCAAGGCCCCAAACTGAAGAACCTGGAGTCCGATGTTTGAGGGCAGCAAGCATCCAGCATGGAAGAAAGATGTAGGCTGGGAGGCTAGGCCCATCTCGTCTTTTCACATTTGTCTGGCTGCTTTATATTCCCTGGGAGTTGATTAGATTGTGCCCACCAGATTAAGGGTGGATCTGCCTTCCCCAGCCCAGGGACTCAAATGTTAATCTCTTTTGGCAATACCTACACAGACACACCCTGGATTAATACTTTGTATCCCTCAATCCAATCAAGTTGACACTCAGTACTAACCATCACAGACATGTAGGCAGAACTACAAAAAGGAAAAGAAGGAACTGTGATAGCTATCATGTGAGAACTGTGTAATAACTATGTAATGGGATTTTATAAATATTCTGATAATTTTTTTAAACGACATAAGTAAGCTAAGGTTTTCTTATATTCCACACTACATGGTGAGGATTGAGTTACTCTTTTTATAGTATCTTTAAGGTTCACAATTAAAATATATTATGAAATCTGCCAGACACAGTGGGCCACGCCTGTAATCCCAACACTTTGGGAGGCCAAGGTGGGTGGATCATTTGTAGTCAGGAGTTCGAGACCCACCTGGCCAACATGGTGAAACCACCACTGTACTAAAAATACAAAAATTAGCTGGGTGTGGTGGTGTGCACTTGTAGTCCCAGCTACTTGGGAGGCTGAGGTGGGAGGATCGTTTGAACTTGGGAGGTGGAGGTTGCAGTGAGCCAAGGTGGTACCACTGCACTCCAGCCTGGGTGAGAGTGAGACTCTGTCTCAAAAAATAAAGAAAATATATTATGAAATAGTTACAGTACTGTAAAAAGTATTACAGTATGGCACAAACTTGTGGCAGCATGTGCAGCTGTTCTCAGAAGGCAATGCAGAGTGGTGTGGGCGTGTCATTGCTCTAAACTTTTCAATGATTGCTAATGACTATTTCACTTGGGCATGTAAAAACCATAAACTTAATTCCATTAATTCTCAATACAAAAAGATGTGTTCATGGAATGTTCAGGTTTTCATTTTCCATTGCTTTTCAGACCCTAGGGAAACCTTGAAATTATTCCTTAAAATCTGAAACAAGAGTTTAGATGTAGACCTTCATGTTTTGTTACTCCTGACATTATCCCTGGATAATATCATTCATTCTAACAGTTTTAGCCACAATACATATGTGGTGACTTAAAGCACACCTCAATACCACCATTTTCTTTTCTTTTTTTTTTTTTGTTTTTTTGTTTGTTTGCTTGTTTGTTTAGACATAGTCTCGCCCTGTCGCCCAGGCTGGAGTGCAGTGGTGCGATCTTGGCTCACTGCAACCTCTGCCTCCCGGGTTCAAGCAATTCTCCTGCCTCAACCTCCCGAGTAGCTGGGATTATAGACTCGTGCCACCACGCCCAGCTAATGTTTATATTTTTAGCAGGGATAGGGTTTCACCATGTTGGCCAGGCTGGTCTTGAACTCCTGACCTCGTGATCCACCTGCCTCAGCCTCCAAATGTGCTGGGATTATAGACGTGAGCCACCGCGCCCAGTGCCACCGTTTTCTACTGCATCAATACTGAAACAACAACTAATGATCCAAATAGACCATGCTCTTTTCTTTCTTCGTATTGTTTGCTCTACCAGAAATACCTGATTCTCAGGAGCTCCACTGTTCTAATCCATGTCTTATTTAGTTGACTAACTTTTGCTTATATTCCAAGATAAGTTGCACACCACCTCTACTAAAGAGCTTTCCCTGATACCTGCCAACATCTGTGGACCTTGCACTTCCTAATTTTCTGCATCAAATCTATTCCTGAAAGTATACTGAATAATAAGGTTTTGGATAGTAAAAGCCTTCATTGCATTATTTTAAATGGAAAGAAACAGATTAAACATTCTAATCAACAAACAAGGATTTCCAGAATGAATAAAAGAGCAAGATGCCACCATATGCTCTCACAAGAGACATACTTTGGATTCAAAGACACAAAAAGGTTCAAACTAATAGATAGGAAAACTTATACCACAGAAACAGTAATCAAAATAGAGCTGAAGTTGGTGTACTAATATGAGACTTTAAGGCAAAAATTGTTATTAGAGTCATAACAGGACAATTTAAAGTGTCAATCCATCTAGAAGATGTAAAAATATCAAACAAATATGTACTAACACCAGACCCAAGAACATAAAAAGCAACAACCAACAGAATCGAAGGGAGAAGTAGACAGTAAAATAATAATAGTTGGAGACTTCGTACCCCATTTCCAATAATAGCACAACTAGGAAGAAGATCAACAAGGAAGTGTCATACAATACCACCAACTAACATGAACTAACAGGATCTATAAAACACTCCTCATAGCAACAACAAAAGTATATATTCTTCTCAAGCATACATAGAATAGTCTCCATAATAGACCATCTATAGTCCATAAAATAAGCCTCAATAAATTTAAATGATTGAAATCATGCAAAGCATGTTTTCCTACCACATTGGAATTAAATTAGAAACAAGGGAAAGAAATTTGGGAAATCCAGAAATATATGAATAATTAACAATACACACATGACCAATGAATGAAAAATTTAACAAATGAAGTGAGAAAATACTTAGAGATTAATGAAAATAAAAATAAAACACAGCAAAAGGTATGAGATACAGTTAAAGCAGTACTTACATGAAATTATTGGTATAATGCCTATATTTAAAAAAAGTTGAAGTCAATAACAATCTTAAGAAGCAATAAAAAGAACAAACTAAACACAGTGAGGCAGAAGAAAATAATTAAAATTTGAACAAAAATAAATATAATACAAGATAGAAAAACAATAGAGAAAATCAATGAAACCAAAATTTGGTTCTTCGAAAAGATCAACAAAATGGACAAAACTTTAGCAGACCAATAAAAAAGAAGATTCAAATTATTAAAATCAGAAATGAAAGAGGAAACAACACTTAAACCGCATGTTCTCACTTATAAGTGGGAGCTGAATGATGAGAACACATGGACACAAGGAGGGGAACAAAACACACTGGGCCCTGTAGGGGGTGGAGCTGGAGGGAGGGAGAGCATCAAGGATAAATAGCTAATGCATGCGGGACTTAATACATAGATGATGAGTTGATAGGTGTGGCAAACCACCACGGCACACGTTTATCTATGTAACAAACCTACACGTCCTGCACATGTATTCCACAACATAAAATTAAAGAAATGAAATGAAAAGGATTGTAAGGTAACACTATAAACCACTGTACACCAACAAATTATACAACTTGAGATGGAAAATTCCTAGGAAGACAAAAACTACCAAAGCTGACTCAAGAAAAAATAAAAATTTGAATAGACCTGTATAAAAAGTAAAGAAATTTAATTAGTAATTTTTAAAATTCCCACAAGCCTAGGCCCAAATACCTTCATTGGTAAATTGTACCATTTGTTTAAAGAACATTAACACCAATCCTTTACAAATGCTTACAAAAATACCTGAGTAGGAAGTACTTCCCAACTTACTCTTGTCAAGTCAGTATTTCCCCGATTCCAAAACTAGACAAAGCAAACATGAAAAAACAATGCTGACCAATTTCTCTTGTAAATATAGATGCAAAAATCTTCAACCAAATACTAGCAAATCAAATCCAGCTATATTATAGTATATATATTCACTATAACCGAGTGGGATTTATCCTAGGAATGGAAGTTTGCTTTGACATCTGAAAATCAATCTATGTAACGCATCAAATTAATACAACAAAGGACAAGAATACATAATCATTTCAATAGATACAGAATAAGTTTTTGGCAAAATTCAACATTCTTTCATGATAAAAACATCCAGCCAACTAGGAGTAGAAAGACAATCTGCCAACCTGATAAAAAGCATCTTCAAAAACCACACAGCTAACATACTTCTTGGTGAAATACTAAATGCTTTTCAGAAAGGTCAGGTACAAGATGATGTCCACTCTCAGTACTTCTCTTTAACCTTGTACTAGAAGTTCTAGCCAGAGCATTTAAGTAAGAGAAAGGAATAAAAGGCATCCAGTTTGGGGAAAAAAATGTAAAACTCTTTCTGTTTGCATGATCTTGTATAAGCATACTTCATTTTACTGTGCTTCACAGATACTGCCTTTTTTTTTTTTTCTTTTTTAAACAAATGGATGGTTTGTGGCAACCCTGTGTGGATGAAGCCTATAGGCACAATTTTTCCAACAGCACGTCCTCATTTTGTCTCTCTGTGTCACATTTTGGTAATTCTTGCAATATTTCAAACTTTTTTATCATTATTATATCTGTTATGCTCATCTACGATCAGTGATCTTTGATGTTACTATTGTAATTGTTTTGAGGCACTACAAACTGTCTATGAAAGATGGTGAACTTAATGAATGTGATGTGTGTTTCTGACTGCTCCACTGACTGGCCATTTCCCTGTCTCTCCCTATCCTCAGGCCTCCCTATTCCCTAAGATACAACAGTATTCAAATTAGGTCAATTAATAACCTTGCATTGGCCTCTTAGTGTTCGATTGAAAGGAAGAGTTGCACATCTCTCACTTTAAATCAAAGCTAGAAATGATTAACCTTAATGAGGAAGGCATGTCAAAAGCCAAGATAGGCCAAAATCTAGGCCTCTTGTGCCAAACGATTATCCAAATTGTGAGTGCAAAGGAAAAATTCTTGAAGGAAATTAAAAGTGCTACGCCAGTGAACATACAAATGATAAGAAAGCAAAATAGGCTTATTGCCAATGTGGAGAAAGTGTTAGTGGTAGAAGATCAAACCAGTCACAACATTCCCTTAAGCCAAAGCTGGATCCAGATACAAGGCCTTACTTCTCTTCAGTTCTAGAAGGCCATGAAAGGCAAGGAAGCTGTAGGAAAAAAAAAAAAAAAATAGGCCGGGTACGGTGGCTCATGCCTGTAATCCCAGCACTTTGGGAGGCCGAGGCTGGCAGATCATGAGGTCAGGAGATGGAGACCATCCTGGCTAACATGCTGAAACCCCCGTCTCTACTAAAAATACAAAAAATTAGCCAGGCATGGTGGCACACACCTGTAATCCCGGCTACTTGGGAGGCTGAGGCAGGAGAATCACTTGAACTGGGAGGCAGAGGTTGCAGTGAACCAAGATTGCGCCATTGCACTCCAGCCTGGGCCACAGAGCAAGACTCCGTCTCAAAAATAAAAATAAATAAATAAATAAATAAAGCTAGCAGAGATTGGTTGATGAGGTTTAACAAAAGAAGCAGCCATCTCCGTAACATGAAAGTGCAAGGTGAGGCAGCAAGTACTGATGCAGAGGCCTGCAGCAAGTTATCCAGAATATCCAGCTAAGGTAACTAATGAATGTGGCTACATTAAACAACACATTTTCAATGTCGAGGAAATAGCCTTCTATTGGGAAAAGATGCCATCTAGGACTTTAATTGCTAGAGACAAGTCAATGTCTGGCTTCAAAGAATTAAGGGACAAGTTGACTCTTGTTAGGGGCTAATGCAGCTAGAGTCTTTAAGTGGAAGCCACTGCTCATCTACCATTCTGAAAATCTTAGGGCCCTTAAGAATTATGCTAATTTGGGGGGTTTGGTGGCTCATGCCTGTACTGCCAGCTACTTGAGAGGCTGAGGTCAGAGGATTGCTTGAGCCTGGGGATTTGAGGCTACCCTGGACAACATAGTGAGACCCCATCTCTAAAAATAATAATAAAAAAAAAATTATGTTAAATCAACTCTACCTGTGCTCTATAAATGAAACAACAAAGCCTGGGTGACAGCACAACTGTTTACAGCATGGTTACTAAATATTTTAAGCCCACTCTCAAGACCTACTGCTCAGAAGTGAAGAATCCTTTCAAAATATTCCTGCTCATTGATGATGCACCTCATCACCTAAGAGCTCGGAGGTGTACAAGGAGATTAATATTGTTTTCATGCCTGCTAACACAGGAACCATTCTGCAACCCATGGATCAAAGGGTCATTTTGACTTTCAAGTCTTGTTATTTCAGAATAGATAGCCATTCCTTTGATGGATCTGGGCAAGGTAAATTGAAAACCTTCTGGAAAGGAACCAGCATTCTAGATGCCTTTGAGAACATTTGTGATTCATGGAAGGAGGTCAAAATATCAGTATTAACAGAAGTTTGGAAGAAGTTGATTCCAACCCTCTAGGAAGACTTTGACGGGTTCAAGACTTAATAGAGGAAGTAACTACAAATCTGATGAAAATAGCAAGGGAGCTAGAATTAGAAGTAGAGCCTGAAGATGTGACTGAGTTGCTGCAATCTCATGGTAAAACTTTAATGGATGAGGAGTTGTTTTGTTTTGTTTTGTTTTGTTTTTTCTTTTTTTGAGACAGAGTCTTGCTCTGTCACCCAGCTGAAGTGTAGTGACACGATCTCGGCTTACTGCAACCTCTGCCTCCAGGTTCAAGTGATTCTCCTGCCTCAGCTGTAGCTTGGATTACAGGTGCCTGCCACCACGGCCAGCTAATTTTTGTATTTTTAGTAGAGATGTGTTTTCACTATGTTGGCCAGAAGGGTCTCGAAGTCCTGACCTCAAATGATCTGCCCACCAAATATTTAAAGAATATATTAACACATATGATAAAATATTTTATTCAGAAAAAATGAAAATAACCCAAAGGTCCATCAGCTGAAGAATGGAAAAGTAAAATGCCGTATATTCATACAATAAACATTCTTTGACCATAAAAAAGAATGAAGTAACATTATATACTACAATATGGATTAATTTTGAAAGCATTATGCTTAGTGAAAGAAGCCAGTCACAAAGGCCACATATCATATGATTCCACTTATAAAAAATGTCCAGAATAGACAAAACAATAAATATTTTGAGTCATTGAGGTTTTTCCTTCTGTGGCTCATATTGTCCCCATCAGGCCTATCGTCAAGTCCTGTATATTTCTTCTAATTGAGAAACTCTTCCTTTTCCCCCAGTTTATATTTTTCTCTAACGACATGTGCTAGTAATTATTTGAATTTTATTTAAATCATTTAGGTATTAACTCACTTTATAACATATACTCAAACATATGTATGAGTGAGTAAGTATGATTAGTTCTTTTCTATCATTAACAGATATAAAATCAGGCTGGCAAATACTTGGCTGACATTTCATCATTCCTTTTCCCTAATCAATCCACTACTCTGCTTGTAAGCTCAGATGGCCTAGGAACATTTCTTGACACAGTCCTGAGCAGTCACTTATAGTCATTCAGAGTTGGGCCAGGAGATGAGACCTGTTTGTTGTCCCTAATAGGGAAGCAGGTAATGGTGTGATTAAATATACCAAAACGTTTCACTGTCTTTATCTTGTTATATTTTTGGGGGGAAAGGTGAGTAAAGGGTAATCTATGTTTGTTACAATTATAAAAAATGTGGTCTTAAATTTTCTGAAAAGGTAGACTTTTATATAATGATAATAATTGTGAATGATTGGACTTCTATAATACTTTCTTTCAACCTGAAAAATCTTTTTTTTTTTTTGAATGTTTCCAAAATTTAAGTCATCATTACCAAAAGATGGAAAGAGTCTGTTAACTTCCATGGCTTAGGGGCTAAATGGTACCTTCTCCCTTCTTTTGTAATAATGTTTTTCTTAAAGCATTCAGCTCTTTTCAATAAGAGATGATTTTGTGTTAATTATTCTACTTGTTTCATTTGTATCTTTGGTAAGTGGAATAGTGGCAAACAGAATTGCTTCTTTTGAATAGCAATGAAAGGTCAGAAGTGAAGACTTCCTATTTATTTAGCTGTCATATGCTTTACTCATATAAAGGAAAACTGGAAGGATTTTCTTTTAGTGCAGTGCAGTGTGAAAGTTCATAAGGTTAGAAATAATTTTCATCCTGACTTAAAACTCATAGGTAATTTAAAAAAAAGATTTAATTACAGTTGTCATTTCTGTGATTTCTACTGAGAAAACAGTGGGGAGACTACCCCACTGAATGTTCTCCCTCATTCCTGAATAATTACTATATTCTTGAAATGGTGACCTTGTCAGGTGACACTTTAGTGGGAAGGTCAGAGAGCATCTGATTTTTAAAATGCTTGAATTCATCCGTACTAATTGCACCTTAAAAAAATTTAGCATTTTGACTAAATGAATCCTTTGACTTTTAGTGGTACTCTAATGCTGGCTTAGGTCAATAATATTTGCCTTTGGTTTATTGATTGCAAAACAGAAAAACCATTCTGAGAAGCTTTGCTGTTTGGGGAAAGTTTAAATTTGTTGGATCGTGCCGTTTTTGTGTGTGTTAAAATATATTTTAAACAAACTGAAAAAAGAGTAATATAAGCAATACTCTTAGGCCTGTTACACTGGTTAATAAATTGCCATTTTGTCATGCTTGCTACAGAATTTTTAATAATAATAATGGTACATTATAGATATAAATCATGTTTTAACAAATCTGCTTATGTTTCTTCTCAGAAGTAAGCTGTACCTTGAAGATAGTGGTTTTATTCCTAAGAAATCTTATTATTATATGTTTATGTATCCAAAAATGGTGTATATTGTTGTATAACAAGTTTTTGAGCTATAAATGGCATCACATTGTGTATGTCATTTGCAGTTTGCTTTTTTCTCAACATTCTATTTTCGAAATTCATTTTCATTGATACATTTTATGGTATTTCATTTTAAAAATATGTACCAGTTTATCATTCTTTATTTTCTTTATTTGAGATAGAGCATCACCTTGCTCTGTTACCCAGGCTGGAGTGCAATGGCACAATTTCGGCTCACTACAACCTCTGCCTCCTGGGCTCACATAATTCTCCCACCTCAGCCTCCCTAGTAGCTGGGACTACAACCATACGCCACCACGCATGGCTAATTTTTGTATTTTTTGTAGAGATGGAATTTTGCCATGTTGTCCAGGCTGGTCTCGGACTCCTGCAGTCAATCGATCTACCCACATCTGCCTCCCAAAGTGTTGGGATTACAGACATGAGCCACCGCGCCCAACTTATCCATTCACTTCTTAATTAACATTTGGGTAGTTTCCATTTTTTCAACTATTATAAACAATGTTATAATGAATATTTTTTTGCCTTCTTGTGCTTGTATGTAAGATTTTTGCCCCATTGTGTACCTAAGAATGAATTTGCTGGGTATACGTGTATTATAAACTATATTAGATGTTGGCAAATTGTTCTTCTAAGTGGTTATAGCAATTTACATCTGCATCCCCAACCATTTTAAAAACACTTTCTGAGATATAATTTACATGTCATAAATATGCATCACTGGTATATCGTGTACAACTCAGTGGGTTTTAGTATATTTATAGTTATACGAATGTTACAAAAATCTAATTTCAGAACATTTTCATTTCGTCATCCCCAAAATAAACATTGTACCTATTGGTAGTCACTTCTCATTACTCCCCCTTCCATTTGCTCATGCCCTCCAGCCCTGTGTCATCACTAATCTACTTGTTGTCTCTATAGATTAGCCTATTCTGAACATTTGCATATATGATACTATACAATATACAATCTGTGGTCTTTTGTAATTGGCTGCTTTCACTTACCATAATGTTTTTGAGGTTCATAGATGTAGCATGTATCAGTATTTCATTCCTTTCTCTTTTTTTTCTTTTGTCAAATCATATTACCCTGTTTTATTTCTCTGTTCATCATTTGATGGACATTTGAATTGTTTCCACTTTTTTTATGATTGTGAATAATGCTGTTGTGAACATTCATGTATAAATTTTTGTGTGGATAATATGTTTTCTTTTCTCTTGAGTATATTCCTAGGAGTGGAATTGTTGGTCTTAGTCATAACGATGGCTCTATGTTTAACATTTTGAGGAATTGCCAGAAGTGGCTGCATCATCTTACAATCCCACAAGTAATGTCTGAGGGTTCCAATTTCTCCAGATCCTCCCAAATACTTGTTATTTATTGTCTTTTTTATTACATATCCTAGTGGGTATGAAGTGGTATCTCATTGTGGTTTTGATTTGCATCTCCTTAATGACTAATCACTAATGAGCATCTTTTACATGCTTATTGGCATTTCTATATCTTTTTTGGAAAAATTTCTATTCAAATCCTCTGCCTATTTTTAAAATTGGGGTTTTAGTATTTTATTGAGTTATATGTATCTTTCGTATATTTTGAATGCAAGTTTCTTATCAGATATATGATTTGCAAATACTTTTTTCCTGTCAGTTATCTTTTCACTTTCTTGATAGTGTCCTTTGAAGAACAAAAGTTTTTTTCAAATTTTTGACGAAGTTCAGTTTTATCAAATTTTTTTATTGCTTGTGCTATTGGTATCATATATAAGAAATCACTGCCTAAGTCAAGGTCAAGAATATTTACTCCTTTTTTTTTTCTATGCGTTTTATAATTTTACCTCCTCCATTTAGGTATTTGATCCATTTTGACTTAATTTTGTATAGGGTGTGAGGTAGGGGACAACTTCGTTCTTTTGCATGTGGATATCCCTTTACCACAGCATGATTTGTTGAAAAGGTTTTCTTTCCCCCATCAAATTATCTTGCCAACCTTATTGAAAATCAATTGACCAGAAATATAAGGGTTATTTCTGATATCTTAATTCTGTCTCATTGATCTATATCTCTATGTCAATACCATACAATCTTGATTACTATAGCTTTGTAGGCTGTTTTGAAATTGGGAAATATAAATTCTACGCTTTATTGGCTGAGTGCGGTGGCTCACGCCTCTAATCCCAGCACTTTGGGAGGCCGAGGCAGGCAGATCACGAGATCAAGAGATCGAGACCATCCTGGCCGACATCGTAAAACCCTGTCTCTACTAAAAATATAAAAATTTGCTGGGCGTGGTGGCAGGCACCTGTAGTCCCAGCTGCTTGGGAGACTGAGGAAGGAGAATCACTTGAACCTGGGAGGCAGAGGTTGCAGTGAGCCAAGATCGCGTGACTGCACTCCAGCCTGGCAACAGAGCAAGATTCTGTCTCAAACAAACAAACAAAAAAAGATTCTACACTTTATTCATCTTCCTCAAGATTATTCTGGCTATTCTGGGTCCTCTGTATTTCCATATGAATTTTAGGATTAGCTTGTCAGTTTCTGCCAAAAGACATCTGATATTTTGATAGAATTCCTAATGAATCTGTAGTTCACAATTTGGGGAGTGTGGACATTTAATACTATTAAGTCTTTCAGTCCATCGGAAGACCACTGGATGTCTTTCCATTTATTTAGATCCTTGAAAATTTTTAAATTTCTTTCAATTATGTTTTATAGATTTTAGTATACATGTCTGTCCTGTTATTATATTTATTCCTAAGTATTTTATTCTTGTTGATGCTATTGTAAATGCAATTGTTCACTAAGTTTTATTTTCAAATTGTAGTCTATACATTGGTAGCATATAGAGATACAATTGATTTTTATATTTTAGTCTTATGTTCTTCAACTTTGCTAAGCTCGTTTAATAGATCTAATAGCTTTTTTGGTTTATTCCTTAGGGTTTTGAATGTACAAGATGCAGTCCAGAGCTTATTCATGCTCTTGAGTTTTTAATTTCGGTGACTGTATTTTCATTTCTAGTTTTTTTCCACATATACCGTTGTTATTTCATATCTGACTCATTTTATAGCTTATTGCCTTTTGCCTGAAATATTTTATATTTATTTTATTTATGCCTTCAAATATTCCAAACATACTTCGCTGAAAGTCATGGAAGTCGTTGTTAGGCTTTTTCAATGAAACTAATGCTATGTGGAGTGAATTCATTTTCTTTTTCTCTAATTTTTTTTTTTTTTTTAGACAAGGTCTCACTCTGTTGCCCCAGCTGGAGTGCAGATCTCGGCTCTCGGCTCACAGCAACTTCAGCCTCCTGGGTTGAAGCTATCTTCCCACCTCAGCCTCATGATTAGCTGGGACTATAGGCTCATGCCACCTCACCCAGCCTATTTTTAAATTTCTTTTTGTAGAGATGGAATCTAGCCATGTTACCCAGCCTGGTCTTGAACTTCTGAGTTCAAGTGATCCTCCTGCCTCAGCTTCCCAAGGTACTGAGATTACAGGTGTGAACTACCACACCTGGCCAGAGCGAATTCATTTTCTGAGTGTTGATTTGTTGATTTTGTTTGATACCTTTGTTAGAATTTGATTTCTGTTAATTTTGGTTTTCCGTCCTATTTGAGTAGGAGGTTTTATGAGTGTTTTGCTCTTTTTGTCCTTGTTCATTCCGTCCTGTGATGATCTTTCAATTACCTACAACAGACTCCCCAAGGCTTCTGTCCAGACATATGCCTTATAATGACAGTTCAGCTCAGAGTGATACAGATTCAGCCACTGAGCTTTCCAGTGAGGGGAAGCCACACACCAGCCTCCAATATCAAGCTATTCCCTATTTCTCCAAAACCTATTTAGTCCCCCTTACCATACTGGAGCCGAATCCTGGCTACCACTGTTTCCCTCCAGAGTCTAGCACACAGTAGCCTCAGCCCTGCACACTGTTTTGCAATTCTGTCTTCATACTGGTCCATAGAAGTACGTATCGTGTTTGTGAGCCTATTTATGTATTTTGTTTTTGGTTATCCATTTTTATATTTTATCTCCCGTGTTTTCTGTTTTGAGCAGAGGGCATGTGTCAAATTTTATATCAAATAATGAAGTCATTATATCTTCATTATTGAAAACCCAAAAATATTTATTCTGTTTTGTTTTGTTTTTTATAGAGATGGGGTCTTGCCATGTTGCCTAGGCTGGTCTTGAACTCCTGGCCTCAAGCCATCTACCCACTTGGTGCCCCAAAGTGCTGAGATTACAGATGTGAGCCACTGCACCCAGCAATATTTATTCTTTAGGTTAATTTTAAATTGTCAACAGGGTGAAACTTGTACTTGTTCTTCCATATTGAATGTTATTTCGTTATTATAAAACAAGTCATATAAAATGAATATTTTCATTCTCTGAGAGGTCCCCCTCCCCCGGGAAAATTCTTTCCATAGTAACTAGCATGTGAATATTTATTTGCTGTATGATAAGCAGTGTGCTGAGCATTTTACCTATATTATCTTATTCAGTCACAATAACCCTTCAAAGTTGATATTATTGTTTTTTAATAGAAGAATAAATTGAATTTTAGACTGTTCAAGAACTTGTCAGTAGTCAACAGAACCAATATTCAAATTCGAGTCTGTCTGATTTGAACGCCTGTGCTTTAAATCATTTTTTAATGCTTTTCTATTTTAATTGTTGTGACGTTTGCATTATATTCTCTTCTTCCTTTTGGCAAATTTGTGCAATTTTAATGATGCTTTGGTATAGAAAAATAAGAAACCCGAGACAGGAACAGACTGGATGATTTTAACGTTGTCAGAGCTTCAGCTATTGTATACGATACTGTAAGATTTCAGCTTTCAGAGTATGTTTGAGGAATATTCCCTGAACTAGGGGGATCTTTCTTGATAAATTATTAATTTTACTATTGTTAAAGTTTTGGAGGTGGTGATGAGAGACTTCTTTTCCCTATCTTTTCATTTTTATTCCTTTTTTTTTTTTTTTTTTTTTTTTTGAGACAGAGTCTCGCTCTGTTGCCCAGGGTGGAGTGCAGTGGCGTGACCTTGGCTCACCGCAACCTCTGCCTCCCGGGTTTAAGCAATTCTCCTGCCTCAGTCTCCCGAGTAGCTGGGACCACAGGCACGTGCCACCACGCCTGGCTAATTTTTGTATTTTTAGTAGAGATGGGGTTTCACCTTGTTGGTCAGGCTGGTCTTGAACTCCTGACCCCGTGATCCGCCCGCCTCCGCCTCCCAAAGTGCTGGAATTACAGACGTGAGCCACCGCGCCTGGCCCTCATTTTTATTACTTTTATAAGCTGACTTACATAGAGGTATACTTATGAGTATGTGGCTTTGGGGACTTTTAAAAATAGGATTAGTTATTATAATCTTACATTCTAAAGGGAAGAATCATTTTTTTGATGTTAACAGTTCACACTCTCCATATATTATCATATGTGATGACACTCGAAAAAGAGACGTCCTAATTACAGAAGGGTAAGAGAAAGGGAGAGAGTTGGCATTAATGAATTGAGTGGTGTCTGGAAGTTTTTAGCAGGTTTCCTATATTAGGCATCTATAGATGAAGAATTAAACTTAAGTCTCATGCCCTGGCAGCATTTATTAACTAACTGAAATCTGCAAGTATTTCTTTTATGGAGAATGATAGGCAACCTATACTGGACAATTGAACTTAAAGAATAATGATTGGGTAATTATAGTGTTGAAAAGGATTTGAAGTTATAAGAAATCGGGAATTAATATAATAAGTATCAGAATCAAGAGACTAATAAGAAGGATGTATATATGCCAAAGCTCAACTAGACTGGTTATTAGAGTTTTAGGTGCTAGTTTGGAGTGG
Source organism: Homo sapiens (assembly GCF_000001405.40). Classification (NCBI taxonomy): domain Eukaryota; kingdom Metazoa; phylum Chordata; class Mammalia; order Primates; family Hominidae; genus Homo; species Homo sapiens. The sequence goes on along the minus strand of NC_000016.10, from coordinate 72,503,844 downwards.
AGTATTGGAGGGACATGATTTTTGTTAGATTTTTAGTGATGAAATAAGTAGGGGAGAATAGAGTAGTTCTAAATGGGCTGGAACTATCTGTTGAAATGAATCTCCTCTGTGCCTTTCTTCTAATTGTAGGAGATGGTTTATTGGAAATCTCAAGTTTGAGCTACTCAGACTCTGTATCCCATCCCTCTAGGGCCAGCTCAGCCCTTCATTCTGTCAAAGCAGATAAAACAGAACAGCTTGCAATTTGCTATAAAGGGGTCCTTGGGATGAAGCATTTTAATGTCCATAAAGAGTAGACAAGACCTTCATTTTTAAAGACTCCCATGGAACATTTCAAACGGCATGAATTTGTCTTGGTGCCCTTTGCCAAAACTAATAGATTTAGGCTGTGGAGTTGTCGGAAAGCTGAGCATTCAGGCCTACTTATCATCCAATAACATTTTACTATATTTTTCTTATTTTAGCCCACATGCCCTAAAACTGACAACATATTGAGTAAATAATACTTACATAAGAAACACTACTAATCTTTAGGCCTATGTCAGTTAAACATAGAAGGAATGCAGAATTACAATAATATTATTTAAAAATAAAAAATCAGGTACAAAGATCTAATTGATTTAACTTGACTTTTTTTTTTTTTTTTTTTAGTTTGTTTACTTGTTTTTAATTTTGCCTCTGTTTATCATTCTGAGGGTGAGCTGCGTTTCTGGTTCAGATAGCTATTCCAATCAAGAGCCCTGAAGAAGAAATGGCACAGAGGGACTGAAGTGTAGTAAAATACAAAGTATGTTATTTTGAATTCTTCTCATGCTCTGAGAACAGGAATATCTTAAGCTTTGATAGAATGGTGCAATTTTATATTTTCCATTTGACTACTTTAAAAGGTTCATTGTCTTTTAATTAAACTACAGGGGGGAAGAGCAGAGATTAAAAGATATAGTACTATAAAGGGGATGGCTTTTAGCTACATGAGTGAAGACACCACAATAAAGCAAGATGGAGTGCAGCAACAAGTTTTGTGCCTTGAAGCCTCCTCTTGTCTGACTGTGGCGGTAATTTGGAGTTAATTTGTGCAGCTTCTCAATAAAAGACTTTGTGTTTTCTATTCTTTGATTCTTCATAGCATCTCTTCCCAGCTGTTCTTTTATCTTTCCTTTTATGTGGCCCAGTGCAGCTTATCCAACTAGATGTGATAAGGAGGCAAACCATTTTAGGTAAGAAGCTTGGACCAGGCTCAGTACATGAATATTTTCTATTTATCACCTGCTTTTTATTTTCTACAAAATGACTACCTCAAGTAACACCTTCCATGAATCTCCTACTTTCTACTCTCACTGACAAGTAGAGGCCCACTTTTCTCCTGTAGTAATTTTGTAGTTTTAGCATGGGGTGAATGTTTGTGATTCTGTATTTGGCACTATATTACAACTAGTAGTTGTCTTATATTCCTTTGTCTGCATGAAGATTTTTTTTTTCTTTGTGTCTGTTTTTCTCCCCTTGCTTTCTACTCCCCCACATGTCCCCAAGTCCTTCAAGCCAATGAGGCTGTGGTGACACCTTCTGGGCAGTGCTGGGAGTGAATTACAGTCATAAGTTCCATGGTGGTGTTAACATACCAAAGATTGGGTGTACAATACTAAATTTGATTTGCTTCATTAGAAGAATTGATATTTCATTCTACATGTGCTCAGAGTGTCTAGAACTTGTGAAATATCAATGTTATTTCTTAGTAATAAGCAGTGATTTGTAGTTAGTTACATAAAAAGCCAATGGGCCTGTATGCTTAATCAACGTAGGAGTATGGTGCTTGGTTGGGCCTGAAAATAAGTTAACAGAGCAAATATTAATGTTTTCATGTTATTAGATTATCAACACTGTACTTCTGCTTTTTTTTCATGACACAGCAGTATTAGGTTATATGCCAGTGTTTTGTAGCAGTGGGAAAAATGTCCCATAAACAATCTCTGTAGAAGCAATGTCATCCACCTCATCCATCCACTGTCGGAGAGTACAGGATGAAGGTTTCTCCAGGGCTGTTCTTATCTATTCATGTCTCGTGTTAGCTTTAACAGATGTGTAAGGAGTCTTCTATGTGGCCTTTGTTGGAAACTTGCCTTTTTCTGAACAAACTTCATTCCCTCCACCTCTACTTCAAAGCGGATGTAACTCTTTCTTGTATTAAAAGATTTTAAATGATAACTTCTTCACACAGATAGCATGAAACAGTAAATATGCATTTACTATTACCAATTTACTTATTTTTTGTTGACCTCTGCTCGGACCCTAATTATGATAAAAGCTGTAGTTTCTAATGAAATCACTAGATAGTTTTAGCAAAGTTGCCATTACTATATCTCCAAGAAATTGGCTAATATTAAAATACTTATAAAATACCAAACTTTATAAGTTTGGTATTAAATAATTTTAGGGCTCTCAAGAATCTTTTCTCCAAATGTAGAGGCACCAAGCAACAAAGGCGTGACTGGCTGTCAACGTGGCTATAAAACTTCCCAGCTCTATAACATCACCTTAGGGCAATGTCAAATGGAAAAGCACAAGACATTCAACTTAAGGGTGAGGATGACCAATACAGTTGGATATGCAGACTTTAAAATGGCACCACATTCCTTATCTTTGCCTTTTGCATCATCCTTTGGTCAAATATTGCGTAGCCAATGTGTAATACATACATTTATGTTTGGTACAGAACCCAATATTTCTACTATTACTATATAATAAAATAAAAGCAAGAGCACATTGCTTTGTAATTTTGATTTGCAAACAGATGGTAGATAGCTGGAAAATAGACTAGAGCTATAAAAAATTGGGGAAAATGCTTTCATGAAATTAAAAGAAAACTGACTTAAAATACTAAGGGTGTGAATGGGTAACAAAATATCATGTAGTAAATGTGAAGATGATGGTTTTATTTGAAGTGGGGGGAGGGAGGAAAAAAGCTAGAAGGAGGCAAAAACACAATTTGGCCTAAAATTGAATTTCTCTGATAAGGCATTTCAGAAGCGGCTTGTCTTATTCACTCAGCAGCAAAATAATCATATGCGCTTTAATAATCTTTATTTTACAGGAGTGCGTTGCCAGGGTAACGGAATGTAAGCAGGGGAACAGCACCTTGCAGATCACAAAGGCAAATCTCTGGAAAGAAATTTCACTGAGTTTCTCTTTTCCTTACCAGTGTAATAACAACTCGTATTTTCCCTGCACTATTTAATAGTCTCACATAAACATTCTTTCCCATTTCCCTTTTCTGTATCTGTTTAAACATGGACAATAGCATAAATCTGAAACTGTCAAGCTCAGTGAGCTAAGCAAAAAAGCAGATGTTATACCTTTAGCATTTTTATATAATTACTTTTTATTGCTATTTTACCCCATCTCCATTCCTCCTGACCTCATTGTTATTTCCTTCTCTCTGTAAACCAATCTGATGATAGTATTCCAAGTAAAGGGGGTTTGAAGTAGGAGTTGGTATTTGGCTATATTAATCAAAAATTATTAGCTAAGCTTGCCTGTATGGAGATTCTAAAGAGGCAAAGATTGCAACTGAAACATCTGTTTTTGGAAGAGGGTAAATTGAATTATGTAAAATGGAGTGACAAGCATTCAGGCCAAAAGCTGCAAAAATAATTATTTCTTTATACTTGTGCACATACACAAATAAGTATACACACACAAGACAGGAGTGAAGAAGGAAAAGAAGCAAATTTAGGTTATTTTAGCTTTCCGCTGGGCACTGGAACCTCAGTTAGTTCTGGGAAATTGTCTGATTTGAAATTAACAAAATGAAAGTTGCCAATACCTTTCCAAAAGAGGTAATAACAACTGGCAATAAGAATGTGCTTACTGATCATTTGATTGGATCAAATTTATAACTAATCTATGGTTTATAAATATTTGCCTGTCATTGTCTTTGCCAAAGGCCATAGCCTGTGAAAGAGAATGCAGAAAGAAAGTAATATTAGACTATAGAACTGGCAAGAAAAAAAAAAGCCTTCATAAAATTAGATATGAAAATCTATATTCACATGATGTTTAAAGGTTTGACTTCTGCCAAGAATTTTACATTAATGCTACGTCTTAGTTTTAACATGTTCACTGTGTACCCAAGTATAGTTCATATAGTTCTTTCTCTAAGTCTATGGGACAATCAGTAACCACAAGCAAGTGCTCACAGATCAGTTTCTGGATAGATTGCATTCTAAATTATATTATTCTCAATTTTGATGAAATGTAATAAAGTGTTTTAATTAGTTATTAAATTTTTCTAGAAATTATTCTTTTTTTGTAATATAAACCCTGCCCTAATACTTAAAATTCAAGCCAATTAAAGCTACCTTAAAAACAGATAATGGTAAAAGAGCAAGTAAAATTTGAAAGGGCCAAGAAAAAGACTTGTTAAAATGGCAAATTGTAAGGAAAATGTTCCATAGTGATATAACTAATGTATTTCTGATGTTCACAAAAATGGAAAAGGGTCATACTGAAATATTAATAGTAAGATTTCTGATGTTCCAGAAGCATTTCAAACCCAAGTGCTATGGAAGTCAAAGCTTGATTCTCATCAAGCACTATTGAAAGTTCTGGAGAAAAATTTTTAAACCCACTAGAATCCATTTAACATCATTTCTCCATGTTATAAAACTGTTGACTTAAAATCAGCTCCCAATTTTCATTCTGCATAGAATCAATTTGACACTTTCCTGGAGCCAATATCTTCTTGGATATAAAATCTCTGTTTGATGTCTATGAGGTTAACTATTTCTTAAGAGCTTATAATAAGATAATGTTGCCGAAAGGACAGACAATTCCCTCTCCCTGGGCTCTTGTTTACCTCTGGATTCTATATAGAAATTCCTCTATGGAAATAAGGTTAGTAGTTTTGGGTGCAGAATAGTATGAATGTTTTCTTAGCATTTGAGCATTCATCCCTGGTACCTGAAAATCATCAATAATTTTACATTTTTATTGTTAATGAAGATAGCATATGGATGGCAAATGAAAACATGTTGGTAAGTAAGTACTGTTCATTTAGTGATCTTCAGCAATAAAAATTTTCTAATTATTTGCTAGCATTTGCTCTTCTTTATTTGGTAAAATAAAATAAAACAATTCTTTCCCCTAACCTCTTGAGTATGGTGCAAGTTTGCAACCATGTGTAACAGAATTTTAAAATGGGACTCTCCTTGTTTGTTTTAGCTATGGCCCTAAGACAGAAGATTTCAAGGTGAGATATGAAGACACCCTCCAGTTCTTACATGAGCAGAAGGGAAAAAAAACAGTTATGTGATTCTTAAGCTACTTAATCATGTCAAGGATATAAAAGGATTGGGAGTTTCGAAATTGAGGAAAGGAGGATGTTTGGAGAGAATTGTTAGTGTGCTAAGTGTCCCATCACACCTCCAAGGGGAAGGAAAGGAAGGTCTCCTTTTATCTGAATCCAAGAGAGGAAGGCTTTAAGAGATGTAGAACTTAGTTAAGTGACCCCTGCCATTTAAGACCAGCTAGCTGACACATGCCTAAGAAATCTAAAGAGCCATGAGATTGATTGGCCAGCTGCTTTGAAGGTGGAGTGACAGGTGACTGTTAGGCAAATGTTGCTTAAGTGTATGCCATGGATCAGAGGTAGGGCATATCCACAAAAAAGATGATACAAGGTTGTCTTAACTCCATAGACTGCCTGGAGGGTTCCAGTGATCCCAAAAGTCAACTGAACTGCCATCTTCTCAGGAGCAGTAAGCTGAGAAAGAGCCTCAATTAAATCAAAGGATCTGCAAGTGAGATTCTAACCACCCTCTCTCATGGCAGGTGCCTATAACAGGACTTCAACTTTTTTAATACTAGGCTAGACTAAACATATTAATTGCTGAGTATTTTGATTGCCTATAAATGAATAAAAACATGAAATCTGCCCTGAATTTTATGCACAGACATGGGAAGCCCTATAGAATAAATTAAAAGAGATACTGAAAGTCAACAACAAAGTTATTTATTACATACCAACAGTTTTTTAAATTCAAATTATTTTTTAATACATAAATGCATGAAAATGTGATCTTGAAAGAAGGGTTGTGTGTTAGGAAATAACATTACACATTTCTTTTGACCCCTATTATCTGTATCTCTGTAGTCAGTATTTCTACCCCTTCTACTTTACCATTCATACTTCAGTGAGAAGGTACTAAAGTCAGGCAAAAAAAGTATTGTAATCAGGAAGATTTTTTTTTTTTTATACCAACACAGTCATGAAATATGATTTTTATTTTTATTTTTTTTATTTATTTATTTTTTTTTTAATTTTTTTTTTTTATTGATCATTCTTGGGTGTTTCTCGCAGAGGGGGATTTGGCAGGGTCATAGGACAATAGTGGAGGGAAGGTCAGCAGATAAACAAGTGAACAAAGGTCTCTGGTTTTCCTAGGCAGAGGACCCTGCGGCCTTCCGCAGTGTTTGTGTCCCTGGGTACTTAAGATTAGGGAGTGGTGATGACTCTTAACGAGCATGCTGCCTTCAAGCATCTGTTTAACAAAGCACATCTTGCACCTCCCTTAATCCATTTAACCCTGAGTGGACACAGCACATGTTTCAGAGAGCACAGGGTTGGGGATAAGGTCACAGATCAACAGGATCCCAAGGCAGAAGAATTTTTCTTAGTACAGAACAAAATGAAAAGTCTCCCATGTCTACTTCTATCCACACAGACCCGGCAACCATCCGATTTCTCAATTTTTTCCCCACCCTTCCCGCCTTTCTATTCCACAAAACCGCCATTGTCATCATGGCCCATCCCCAATGAGCCGCTGGGCACGCCTCCCAGACGGGGTCGTGGCCGGGCAGAGGGGCTCCTCACTTCCCAGTAGGGGCGGCCCGGCAGAAGCGCCCCTCACCTCCCAGATGGGGCGGCTGGCCGGGCGGGGGGCTGACCCCCCCACCATCCTCCCGGACGGGGCGGCTGGCCAGGCAGAGGGGCTCCTCACTTCCCAGTAGGGGCGGCCGGGCAGAGGCGCCCCTCACCTAATCAGGAAGATTTTTGTTAGATTGTTTTATCTATGTGAATTTATCTCTTTTTCCAAAAGCCTTTCTACAGCTTTTCTTGATTTAATATTTTGCCACTTTCTTTTTTTGTCCAGAGCTCAAGTGGGTGGGGGGGGTATGAAAATCAAGGGGCCTTGATTAATCTACAAACAGGATCACACATTAGTAGATATCTGCGAGTTAACGGTAGTTATTTTTAAAAGGATATAATCAGTTTCTTAATATAGTATAATGGATTAAATAATAAAAATAGATATTGTGTGTTAATGCAGTATTCTAAAGGCTAATGGTCTAAATTACCTTTAATAAATTTTAAACATATAGGAAGAATCTCTAAAACATTATCCAAATAAATATTATTAGCATTATTACTTTTAGGTTGGTTTCCTTGGGACAATCTGGCCTCTGAGTTTTGGTGTGTTGGCTTGGGCTATAGCTATACTTACACCTTTTATTTAATTTCTTTATAACATGGGGACTTCTCAGAATGTAGGAGATAATGACAGGGAAGCCCAGGTAGAGAGTGAGATACTAATAGAGAGATGTTAGAAAAAGCAGTAATAATAGAACTCTGTTTTGGAGATCGTATGATAGAAAACAGCCAGCCGCTGCAATGATGTGCACATGAACAAAAGGAGGGATGATGTGAATGTCTTCAAGGCGACCCCATAATGCCCTATATAAAAAGTATTATTTTCTCTTGACCTTAACAAGCATTATGTATCTTAATTCAGACAGAGAAATCAACATATTTTCTAATGTCATAAAAAATGCTAAGGGCAGAAATCCAATTATTAAATATAGTTGGTCTTAGTGCTCTTATGCTGTTTAATTATTCTCATTAGTTGAATGAGACCTTTCCTGTCATTAGCAAAGTGATTTCTATTGCAATCCATGTAAATGGTCAGTGTTTTTTTCCTTTAAAGTTTATACTTTTTCTGCCTACAGGTACAGAGCTGTAACTTACTATAAAAATTAGTTGGTACAGATAGTACTAAAAATTGTTATTGAAATATGTTATCAAGGAAATTGATTAAATATTTTCTGAACATTTCTAACAGTGCTTATAATTTTATCACAGTGAAACATACTGAAAAGACTGACTAGTTCAAATCTTGGCTATGCTACTTGATAGGTTTGAGAGTTTGAATCAGTCACTTAACTTTCTGAATCTTTTTTCATTTCACCTATAAAATGGAAATAGTATTTCTTCCCCTGCTTAAATGATAATTATTGTAAAAATCAAGATAAGGCAAGTTGAAGATAAAATTAAGATAAGGAGTAATATATCAATATAGATATAGCTCCATATGTATACATATACATGATGTTTTCACATAATGAAAATATCATATATGAAAAATATATATGATATATACAGTCGTCCTTCCATATCATGGGTTCCACATTCATGGATTCAACCAACTGCAGATTTAAAATATTCAGAAAAAAATGGATGGTTGTGTCTGCATTAAACATGTACAGCTCTTTTTTTATGTCATTAAAATCTAAACAATATAACAATCATTTACATAGCATTTACATTGTGTTAAGTATTATCACTAATCTAGAGATGATTTAAAGTATATGAGAGGATGTGTGTAGATCATATGCAAATACTACACTATTTTATATAAGGGACTTGAGCATCCATGGATTTCGGTATCTTCAGGGGGTCCTGGAACCAGTCCCCCTGGGATACTGAAGGATGACTGTATGTGTGTGTGTATATATACAGTCATCCCTCAGTATCCAGTGTATATATTATATATACATATATAATTGTTACATGAAAATATCATATTATGATATTCTTTTTCATTATGATTTTAAATGCACAGAAGTATCCAGTTGTGATTTTTCCTTTCCATTGCTGAGAATTGTTTGTTTTTTTGTGTGTATGTTTGTTTGTTTGAGACGGACTTTCACTCTTGTTGCCCAAGCTGGAGTGCAACGATACACTCTCAGCTCACCACCACCTCTGCCTCCCAGGTTCAAGCAATTCTCCTGCCTCAGCCTCCTGAGTAGCTTGGATTACAGGCAAGTGCCACCATGCCTGGCTAATTTTGTATTTTTAGTAGAGATGGGGTTTCTCCAAGTTGGTCAGGCTGGTCTCGAACTCCTGACCTCAAGGGATCCGCCTGCCTCATCCTCCCAAAGTGCTGGGATTACAGGCGTGAACCACTGCTCCTGGCCTGAGAATTGTTTGTTGAATGAAGATATAAATATATTTTCAGTCAATAGGAGGATTCATCAGGTCCCACAATTATGGGCAAGTCATGGATTTTAGGAGAAAGTAAGAATTTCAATAGTTTTCCTTCATTCTAGAGAACGGAGTTAAAGTTTTTAGACTAGGAACATAGGAAAGAAACAATCTTATTTAGAAGAATGCTGAAAGAACTATAAAGAGATTTCCTGAATATTTCATTTAGATACGTTAGCTTGCATTTTGGCTTTTGGATAATAGAGCTTACTATCTCAGTAGTAGAATAAAATGAAACTCTTTTAAAAAAAGACAACATTCGCGTTACTCATTTTTTATGGAAACCACATACCTCCACAGAAGTCTGTTAAAATAAAGACGATATTGCATCTCTGACTAAGAGTGAGAATAATGTAATTCATCACAGATAAAATATGTAGACTCTTAAAAGCGAGTCTCGGGCTAAGCTTAAAACTTAAATTATTTAATTCAACAATGGAAACAATTTTTAGAAATACTGTTTTATTATTAACCGTGACAATCCCTCCCCATCTTTGTTTGTTCCTCCCTTCATCTCTCCCCTCTCACCACAGGCCCTTTAATCACAAACGATGGAACATATTTGAATAATTTGCTGTTAATAAACTGACAAGCAAGTTATCTTGGCTATAGTTTGAGCTGAGTAATGTGTAACAGTTAAAATATGTTAAAGCTTCCAAATAAAGCTCTAACCAGAAATGTTGTCAGCCAAAAATAGGAATAGGTGACTAGAGACGACAGTGAGTACTTGTTCATTTCCCATATTTTAAGAATCATAAACTAAGAACTTTTTTTTAAATTTAGAATACCAGACACAAGAACCTTTTGACATTTTATGCTTAGTTTATAAACAGACAATTTTACAGAAAGCATCACCTTTTTTGTTCTTTAAGGTATAACCTCATAATGCTTCTTCGTCATTGTGGAATAGTAGAGGCTTATATGAGTCCTCCCACCCCACATACAAATTAACTTAGGACAGGTATGTACAGGTCATCAGATTTCATCATTAGTATTAATTAACACTTTGCAGTGACTTCTGTGTGAATGAGTTAGAAAGCATTTTCCAAAGAGTAGGACAAATATGTTCCATGAACTCGGAATTTACAATTTGGGAGATTATTTCTGTGTTCCTTTTAGGAAAGATAAATTCCTTTTGTTTACTGTCTTCAGCTTGAATTCATATTTTTCTAGCCATAGGGTGTGTGTGTGTGTGTATGTGTGTGTATGTTTGTGGCTAAAATAATAGGATGTATCATGGACTGAGAGAAAGGCAAATATTTATTTCATTGTTAATACGATTGTATTAACCTTCATAGTATGAACCATCTACTTACTTTATGAGTGATTAACTGAGATCTTAGTAAGATAGTAATTATAAGTCTGGCTTGAAGTTTGAATTATTTGATCTTTATTATACTAGGCCATATACCCTGGTAATAATTATGGGGGTCTTGTGGCTATTGTGTCTGAAATGTTTGCAGACTTATATGTGATCTCTTGTCATTTGAGAGTGGATTTGGCATGACCTACTTCAATATAATTCCTATTAGTAACTCCATTGAAGTGTTAAATGATAAATCCTTTGAAATTTTTTCCTTGGATAATCCTAACTTAACCATATTATGAAAATAGAAATAGCTCTCTAAGGAGGCACAGCGTGTGTGCGTGTGTGAGTGCACGCATGCGCATGTGTATTAGCATCTAGTCTTTATGAAGAGCAGCTACTTTGGGCTTCCTTTTGTCTCACAGAATGTTAGTTAAAGCTGCAGTTGACATTTTCCTGCATAATGCAAGGATTTATGAGAACACCTCTTCATTTCAGGGCATGTATATAAGATTTAAATATAATCACAAGACTTAAAAGAAATGATCCAGTTTCTTATTCTAAAGCAGAAAGACAACACTACTTTATCCCACCACTAAGTGTCACGATGAGGGTGACATGTTCCAATTGTGATAAATCTTGTCAGAAACAAAATAGTTTGTCTCTAAAATTTAAGAGTATTTACACCTTAGTTTTCAGAATGGAATTGTCTGCAAATATAAGCGATCGACTAATGGTTGTTCTCCATTTAAAGCAAAGATAACTGTTTATCTTAGCTGATTACAGACCACCAAACCTAAGGATACTTTGTAGATCATTATAGCTGAGAAGGGATATAAAAAATGAACACCAACAAAATTGCATAAAGGAAATGGATTCTTATCATCATTATAACCAAGTGTTTGTTACTGACTGCCTTCTCTCTTCTTTTTCTCCACCCCCACATCTCCCTGTACATCTTTCCATTTCGGGGGAAACTGTGAACATTTTTATGATTTTTTTTCTCTAATTAAGCTCCATTCTCTGTTAAGTGGACAATGACATGATAACTTAGTTGGACTAATGTAGTGTTACATGGTGGAGATTCTTTATCATGCCTATTGAGGTTCTGCTTTTTTAAAATCTCTTTTAGCTGGGAAAGAATTAATTCATAATTTACCATAATGTTCAAAGGTAGGGTAGAAGTTTCTTTTTTAAAAATAAACCATGATATTTTCAACAGCTTAAATTAGGTGATTTACTTTTTGCTATCATAGTAACCTGGATTCTTCCATCTTTTGAAGTGGAAACTGTCCTAACCCCATAACCTCGACATCACTGTGAGTAAAACTCTTTTTAATTATATGACTGTGTAGTGTGCACATTAGCATTGCTAATCAGCTTACTGCAGTGGATTTGTATCTTCACTACTAATGTTCATAGAATGTCCATTGACATAATTGCAGGTCTGTATCAGTGCTTAGATGCTACTGTATTTAAAACCACAGGTCGGAATTTATTAGTGCATACCACAGTATATGGAAAAATTTTAAACCCGATACAATTGTATGTCACTAACTTGAGTTTACATAGTTTTATCTGAAATCTTCATGGTACATAATGCTATAATACACTGGATCTTTAGCTTAAAAATAAAAAGACACTATCTCACTTGTTTTTGCTGTATTTTTTTCTTCTATGATTGAAAGGCAATCATCTCTTCTGGGGGAAGGTTTTTTAATCTATGTGAAAGAATAGCTGATGATTTCTGAAAATCACTTTCAAAGCCCTGTGTGAGGTTATCATGATTGTCACAAATGAATATTTATTAAATGTCCATTGAGTTCTTGACATCATACTCAGGTTTACAGAAATTTTACTGAAGACATACAATAGTGTTGAGGTGTAAAGGAGAGAAGATACCTGTGAATTTTGTTTTATACATATATAAATATGAAAGAAATTATTGCATAATTAGATGGCATGTATATATTTTAGTAAATATATGGTATATTTCTAATGCCTGTGAAGATGGTAGAAATATGATGAAAGAAGTATATATGGAGCAATTTCTATTTTATTATTTAGATATATTTTTATATGTATAATATTTATTAATATTCTAATATTTCCTTCTGGAAACTAAAACAAATTTTTATGTAAATCTTCCTCAAATTAATAAGTTATAAGAATAAAGCAGAATATAACAGCAGTCAATAATTAAGAATCATCTTATGTGCTACCCACATTTGCCAGTGCCTTATTTAGTGGAAAATGCAGTTGAATATAACTATTGAAAGAAGAAAAGAGTTTAAGACGATAAAAATGACCAAAATAAGATTTTTGCAAACCTCTTGGCAATAAAATGACATAGCAAGAGTTTCATGGTAAAAAGAGGACCAACAGGTCCACGTAGGGCAAATAGAAGGGAACAAACTGAATGCAGGATTATTACCATGACTGGTATAATAGTTAATGTGAGAAAATTATGTTAGTCTAAATGAAGTCCATAAAATATGTCATTCACAAATTTATGAGGAATTTGGGAAATCAGAGTTGGAGAAAAATAATTAATGAAGGAAATGAATGCTGATAAAGAATGGTAATTCATTCATTCAACCAGTCACTCATCACATTTATGATACACTGCTGCCTAGCAGATGCTGTGCCATGGGCTATGTGACAAATAAAAAGATTTAATAGAGAATTCCTAGACAGGCAACTTAGTATTAACTTGAAAACTCTCATACTACTACATATTTAGAAATACTATAATATGCAACAAATATCGTTTTGGTTGTATAGCTGTGCTTACAAGAAAGTAAGGAAAAATCTTAAGACCTGAAAATATATAGGGTTTAAAAAACAGAGTGGGAAGCATGAGTAGTGACATGGACTACCATGAGAATGGGATGGTGGGATGTCTTGGCCCAAGGATATAGATTTAATAGCCAGTCAAGATTTGGAGACAAGATCTGGGGCCTACATGGTGAACAGAGTTAGAAATGAAACACCAGTATTAAGCAGGAACCCTAGGAGCATTATCAAATAACAGGATATTAAAAACAGAAACAAAACATCTACTTTTCAGCAGAGACAGACCACAAGGAAGATTTTTTTCTCAACCTGGGCCCAGTGTCTAAGTGGGGAAAATTTTAAAAGCTTCCCCATGAATTTCTGATCATAATCATAGGCATACCCTTTTTAGGTTTGAGGTTTAAATTTATACTCCTGACTAGTTCTATACACTGGGAAATCAACCAACGTATAGTTACTGAATGTTAATACTCCTGAGGTGCCTTACAGAAACTTAAGACAAAAGCCATTTTAAAAGGGTGTGTTCTCAACCCAGGCTACGCTGTATTCCCTCAGAAAATCCACTGCTTAGCATGGGCTCACTTTCTGAAAGTTATAAAATATGCAAGGAAACAGCCAGTATGAACAAGAATCAGTAGAACCAATATATACCAGTATTATCCTCTATTAACTTCTGATAATTGAGCACATAATATAAATATTAAAATACAGGCTATTTTTAAGCAAAATGAATAAGCAAAAAAAAGAAGAATATCTAAAAAATGAAAAATATGGCCAGTGAAGAGAGAATTAACAACTGTAAGATAAATTTGAGGAAATTATCCTGAAGGCAGTACAGAGTTATAGAAATAGAAAATATGATATGGAGTTCAACATACATCTACTAAGAGTTATAGATGAAGACCATGGAAGAATGAAGGAGAGAGAATATTTGATGAAGAAGTGATTGAGAATATTTCTTACAGTTTGTAGCACCTAAATTTCTGTAGCAAGATACCTTTTAATTTTAAATACCTGGAATCGTTTCTCTTTTCCCAGTTGATATATATTTCCACCTAAGGTATTATTCAAGAATAAGGGCATAATAATGACATTTCCAGAACAAACAAGAAGTGAAAGAGTCCACTAACTTATAGACTCTGTGAAAGAATTACTAAAGAATGTACTTAAAATAATAGAATGAGCCTAGAAAATAAAGAGCATTATACTGAGCACACACACAAAAAAGCCAATCCCAAAAGGCTACTTAAAGTATGATTCCATTTATATAGCATCTTCAAAATGACAAAATTGAAGGAAAGCATTAGTAGTTGCCAGTGTTAAGGATGGTAGGTAGAAGTGGGGCAGAAAGGAGTAGGGGGGTGAGTATAAAGGAATAGCATGAGAAAGTACTTTATGATGACAGAACATTCTGTATCTTGATTGTAGTGGTGGTTATATGAATCTACATATGTGATAAAGTGACGTAGAATTATACAAAAATGTCATATCAATGTCAGTTTCCTGGTTTTGGCATTTTACATAGCTATTTAAGATGTAACCATTAGGGAAACTGGATATTTGAAATTCCTTGTATTAATTTTGAAACTTTTTATGAATCCAATTATTTTAAAATAAAAAATGTAAAGGGAAAATAGGAGTGAAACTAAAATACTGGACAAGAATACCATGTGGAAAGGAGGAAGACTTTGCTTTAAGAGTCTGAAATTCCTTGTATTCTTTGGAAGGAAGATATAGGATTGACATTGGGATTTAAATCAGTTTTCAATGGTAAAAGCTTAAGTGTATCTATTAAAAATTAAAATTCCAATGTGTAATTTTCAAACCAGTATAAAGGGAAAATATAAGAATTAAGAATATTTAGGAGATTAATTTTATTTCTGGCAATGTGGCTAAGTACTAACGCCAACTTCCCAGTAAAATATTAAAAATAATGAATAAGACTTAAAAAAACTTAATTATATTCATGAGTTGGTTAGAAAATAAAGGAAATTCAAACCTAAAACTAAATGAAAGCAAGACCTAAGTCAGGCAAGCAAAACACTGCAGTCAGCTTTCACCTTGAAGACATTTGCTAAAGTGAGTTAACTGTAAGTTTGGTTTTTATGATTTTCCAGAGAATAAGAAACAGGAGTTGAAATCCAGGAACTTCCCAAGTAAATGTCTTCTTAAAGCTGAGAACCAAAAGGGATAGAATATCAATGTAAGAGTGAACTAAAAATAAACCCATCCTATACCCATGTCCTCAAGAGACTGGAAGGAAAATGGCTATATTTAAATATAGTGCTCTATGGAGAGGTTGTGAGTATGTGGGTGGCAGACACTAGGGGGGAGCAGATACAGCCCCTGAAAATTCATAGCCACAAACCAGATATAGCATGGGTCTGTATCCCTATACATACTACTTGTGGTCTGAAAATCCTCAAGCCAAGAATTTTAAAGTAAATTTACTTAAAATGTTTTAAGAATAAAGGAGAGGTTTGAAAACAGCAGCAAATAGATTTGAAGAAAAACCAGTTTCTAGTAATTAAACTACCATAGCTAAAATTTAAAGCTCCAAGAACAGGTTTAACTGAGATAAGAAACAGCTAAGGGAAACTATGTGAATTAAAAGATATATCTGAAGAAATGTGTAATGGAATGTTGTAACAAATATATGGAAAATGTCAAAGTGATTAAGGAACATGGGAAATGAAATGAAAAAATCTAAATTATGACTAATCAAAATTTAGGAGAAGAGACAAAGAATGGAGTAGGGATAATGGCTGACAACTTTTCTGAAAGGCACTAATCTACAAATTCAAGAATCTCAATCGAATCATAAGAAGGAGAAATAAAGAAATTAACTGCCAGGAACATCACTGTGAAACTATAAAACAGTAAGATCAAGGAGAAGATTTTAAAAACAGCCAAGGGGAAAAAAAAATCAGGTTATCATCAAAGAAACAGCTGTTAGACTGACAGCCAATTTCTTGACACAAACAGTAGAAGCTGATAAACTATGGGATTATATCCTCAATGTACTGAGAAAAAACAACTGTCAACCAGAATTCATCAAAAGTATTTTATGAAAACAAGAAGAGAAAAAAGACATTTTTAGATATTAGTAATGGAGACAATTTGATACTAGCCAATCTTTGCTAAAGAAAATTCAGAAAATATATACTTTAGGCAAAAGAGAGTAATTTCAAGTGGAAGATCTGAAATGTAAGAATGAATGAGACATAGACAAAATGGTAAAATGGTGTATAAATCTAAAGAAAATTGTGCAAGACGATACTAGTAAAATATTGTGTTGTTAAAAACAAGTAGAGGCTGGGCATGTTGGCTCACGCCTGTAATCCCAGAACTTTGGGAGGCTGAGGAAGTCAGATCACTTGAGGTCACGAGTTCAAGACTAGCCTGGCCAACATGGTGAAACCCCATCTCTACTAAAAATACAAAACTTAGCCGGGCGTAGTGGTGCGCACCTGTAGTCCCAGCTACTTGGGAGCCTGAGGCAGGAGAATGGCGTGAACCCAGTGGGCAGAGGTTGCAGTGAGTTGGGATAGCACCACTGCACACTCCAGCCAGGGCGACAAAGGGACACTCTGTCTCAAAAAAAAAAAAAAAAAAAGTAGAGCTAACATTTATGAGAGCAGAAACCTATAATGAGGGTATAGAGTGACTGGAATTAAAACTTAAGATAAAGACCGTCATGTAAGTATAAAAGTTCTTTTCACTAGAAAGATAAGATATTTGAAAATGCACATAATAAGAGGGTGTAAAAATAAATAAAGTAAAAACTGACAGAACTAAAAGGAGACAAGTTTACCACCAACCTATTTGGAAAAGGTTTGACATATCTCTCAATTTTTACAAGATTCATCTAATATTAATAAATTGATTACTGTATTTAATCACAGTATTAAAATCAAGAGAAAGGAATAGCTTTCATATATTTTGTAGATGTTCTTTTTTATTCCCTCAATACTCAATATAAAAAAAATTTAAATTGGAAAAAAACCTCAAGTTAATGGAAGGCAGAAAAGGACAAGGAAGTTCTAAGAAAAAGTAAAATAACAAGCAAAAATAAGATGATAGAAAAACACCCAAATATCAGTTTTCAAAAATGTAAAATACACTAATTTACCAAACTAAAAACTAATATTGTCAGATTTTTAAAAATTTACCTAGATTTTACTTATAACAGGTATGCGCGAAACATTAGGGCACAGAGATTAAAAGTTAAAAAAGGAGGCAAACACTAATAAAAAGAAAGCTAATATAATATTTTGTTAGACCCAGTGTTATTTGGGTCTAACATAGCTTTATTAGAGGAAAACAACACTACTGCAAATTACAAAATGAAAACTCCAAAGACAATATGTAAGAAAGACTTATTAACGAGGCCAAAAATGGACAGAATTAGAAGAATAAAATGACAAGTCTGTAGCCATAATGAGAAATTGAATATCATTCTCTAAATAACTACTCAAGCATACAAATTATTAGTAAGGCTGGAAAAGATTTGAAAAAAATAACAATATGATCTCAGGGATAGATGTAGTGCAGTTAATCCAATAGTTAATGAATATACTTTTCAAATAAATGTATAGTATTTGTAAGAACTTAACCGTACTAGGGCACTAAGCAAGTCTCAATAAAGCCTTAAAAATCAGTTTGATATCTCTAAACATAATACAACAAAATTAAAAATGAAAAATAGAAAGATGCTCAAAAGCACCCCTTAGCCTGGAAAAATTTAGAAACACACCTCTAAACTCATGAATCAAAAATAAATATTATAATAGAACTTTGAGAATATTTAGAATGGAATAGTATTAAAAATGCACTATTTTTAAAATTGTAGGATGAAGCTAAGGAGGTACTTAGAGTAAAATACATAGCTAAATGCTCAACTCAAAGAGTAAACCTAAAGAAAGTAAAAAAAAAGCAAATATAGAGCAGAAATTGAAGAATTAAAAAACAAGATAGAATTTAAAAATTGTTCTTTGAAAAGACTAATAGACAAACGAAGCAAAATTGATAAAGAAAACTAATTATTTAAAAACGTAAGGGAATACAATTTACCTAGCTCTGTTCCCCTGGAAACCTGTTTTCTCATTTCCCCTGGAGTTGCAAATAATAATGGCAGCTGACTTTTGGAATGTGAGCTGTTCACCAGGCACTGTTGCTTATGTTAAAAATGACACTTCTTGGGTAAATTGCTTTGGCCTGGGAGGGTTGTAAATAAGCTAGTAATACCTGGTAGGAAATCTTAGTGTAGTGACTAGAAGCTATGCTGTTTGGTGGCGGTGTGGCCTGTTGTGATGACTGCTCCTACTTAAGAAGAATGTCTGACATTGCCTTGTCAATATGCTGTGTATCCTGACCTGTATTCTGCTAAAAAAGAATTCATGGCCGGGCTTGGTGGCTCACACCTGTAATCCCAGCATTTTTTGAGGCCGAGGTGGGCAGATCACTTGAGATCAGGAGTTCGAGACCAGCCTGCCAACATGGTGAAACCCTGTCTCTACTAAAAAAAAAAAAAAAAATTAGCCAGATGTGGTGGGAGGTGCCTGTAATCCCAGCTTCTTGGGAGGCTGAGGCATGAGAATCACTTGAACCTGGGAGGCAGAGGTTGCAGTGAGCTGAGATCACGCCACTGCACTGCAGCCTGGGCTACAAAGTGAGACTGTTTAAAAAAAAAAAAAATTTATGTGAAGCATGGCCATTAATAGTTATATGAATCTAATTTTTAGGTGAGCTCAGAAAACATCCCCTGGTGGGCATAAATTGTTTCATGCCAATAAATTTGAAAACTTAGCTGAAGTGGACAATTTTCCAGAAAAATAAAACTTTTCCAAACTGAGTCAAGAGTAATTAGAAAACACAAGTAGAATCATAACTCTAAAAAGTTAATATAACTATACCTTTTTAAGAAATTAACTTTTTTTTTTTTTTTTTTTTTTTGCTTATTGGAATACATTGTAAAAAGTGACAATACAATCCAGAGACTGGGAAAGCATTTTGGTAACATGCACTGAAGCCAAAAATGCTCATACCCTACAGCAGAGCAAATCTAGGTATTACTCAAAGGAAATTCTCATACTTATGCACAGAGACATGTATAAGAATATTGGTTACATCATTGTAAGAATGAATAATTGGAAACAAACTGTCCATCAAAAGAATTGATAAATCTCCTATGATGGATTAATGTAAAAGAGTAATACATAGCCAAATTAATGAATGAACTAGAATTGTTTGCATCAACGTGAACAAATACCATAAACAATGTAGAGCAAAGTAAGCCAGTAACAAAATATTTACATTGGGATGTCATTAATTAAGTTTTAAAATGCAGAGGTAGTTATATATTTAATAAAAGTATAAGAAACATCCATGGGAATTTAGAATAATGGTTATCTCTGTAGGGGAAGGAATTGGGATGGAGAAGACTGTTATAGGATAGTTCAGTTTTAGCTTTAATTTTTTCTTTCTTAAGCTAGATACTAGTTAAATTTATCATAAGTTTTAAAATAGCATTATTTTATTAAACAAAAATATATAAGGCATGATATCAATTTTTGAGGTACTTACATTACAATAAGGGTAAATGATAACAGATCATTAACAATAAAAGGTATCACAAAATCACCATAAGAAAAGAAAAGAGAGCAAGTATTGCAAGATTTCAGATAAAGGAACAATGCCTTCTCTGTTGGGGTAAGAAAAAATTTCGTTGAGAGGTAGGCATTTTGTTGGGGTAAAATTCTGATAGACTTGTTTTTAGGGTTCTATTTTGTCCTTTTCCCCTCATTATACATTTAGTGAAATCTTTATTGCATATCTGCAAAAAGACATGGTTGGGAAAGCATGGAATATGTTTTAAGATAGGGCAAGTGAATCAATTTGAGAGGTGCAGTGGATTTGTGAAGCAAGTCGTAGACAATGAGGATATATTGGTAGCTACAGGCAAGATTAGCATAGGTCTTGAATGTCAGGTGTAGCAAATTAGACCATATTCTTTAGGCCATTGTTTTTCAATTTTTTTCTTTTTAACCATGCTTCACAGGATACATTTATATTGTGACTTAGAGTCATGACTGGAACCAGTGCTTCCAAAAATAGTGCTTCCTTTGAAAAACACTGTTTTAAGCAAATGAAAAATTGACTGTCTTCAAGTAGCAATGTTATAATGAAAATGCACACACACAAGTGTGTATGTTTATCTGTGTTTTAAAAGTAATGTATTAAAAAATGTATCTGACCTTAGTTTGCAGTCAGTTTTAAAATGAAAAGATTTTGGATATAGGGAGACAAGAAAAGGAGCGGTTACATTCAGCTAGACATAAAAGTTTTACAGTTGAAACGAGAATTGTGAAGGAATAATCAGTCAATTTATGACTTTTGGAGAAAAAAAAAAAGCCTTGATTACCAGGAGTGTTAAAACCTTTAACAAAAACGAAAGAATGTGGCACCTGGTCTTTATCCTGAAGTAGTTAAATTTTCATGACACATTGTGAAAGGAGACATTGTGACCTACATTTTAGGTTTGTGGTCTGACTTTATGTTACAAAACTGCTGATGTTCAAGAAAATGCAAATGGTTGATGAAAGCATTAGGACATTTACTAAGGTACTTGGATCCTAATATGAAACTAAAGTTGGAAATTAGGACACGTAATTTGTTTATTGGTGGCATGATGGATATAGATATTAAAAACTATCAAGGTTAAATAGACTGTATATAGATGCTTGGTCACTGGTTAAGTGCAAATAAAGGAGTAAATGTAAACTGGATTAGAACTGGATTTTGAGGTTTAAAATAACCTGGACTTTTGAGTGAAATACAGATAAAAAGAGGTGAAGCATTCTTCTAATTCAATATGAAAATAAAAGTTAAAAACAATTTCTGAGAGAAAAGAAACTGGCATTGGTGTCAGTTATAGAAGGGAGTTTGGAGTGGTTTGCAGGGGGAACTTTTATAGCACCATCTTGATTTCATTTTGTAATACTGCAGACAAATAGAGAAGAGTAAGAAAAAGAGATGTTGGCTGGGCACGGTGGCTCATGCTTGTAATCCCAGCACTTGGGGAGGCCGAGGTGGGCGGATCACGAGGTCAAGGGATTGAGACCATCCCCGTCAACATGGTGAAACCCTGTCTCTACTAAAAATACAAAAATTAGCTGGGCATGGTGGCATGCGCCTGTATTCCCAGCTGTTCAGGAGGCTGAGGCGGTAGAATCACTTGAACCCGGGAGGCAGAGGTTGCAGTGAGCCGAGATCATGCCACTGCACTCCAGCCTAGCAACAGAGTAAGACTCCCTCTCAAAGAAAAAAAAAAAAAAGAAAAAGAGATGTTATTTTTGAACACCAAAGCTGTTTCACCTGTAAGAGATATGATAAAACGGTTCTTGGTTAAAAGGAAAACTACTGTCAATTTTAAATTGCCTGAATTTTATCTTAGGGTGCATTGGCATGTTTAAGATGACAGTTACCTTCTAACTTGATTTTTTAAGTTAATTTCTACTTCATACTATTTATTCCTCCACTCAGCTGATCACTTTTTTAAATTAGATTTTTTATTTTGAGATAATTGTAGGTTCACAATTGTAAGAAATAATTTGCAGAAAATACTGTGTATCTTTTATCTAGTTTTCCCCAATGATAACATTTTGCAAAACTATAGTACATATAACCAGGATGTAGACATTAATATGGTCAAGATACAGAACATTTTTATTATTTCAAGGATCTCTTGTATTGTCTTTTACAGCCACACCCACTTCCTTCCTGCCCCAACTCTCCTTAATTCCTGGCAACTACTAATCTCTTGTTTGTTTTTATAATGTTGTCCTATCAAGAATGTTATGTATCATACAGTATTAATCTTTGGGGATTAGCTTTTTTAAAACTCTGTATAATTCTCAGGATTTTTGTGTGTATCAATAGCCTTTTCCCTGTTATTGTTGTGACTCTAGACTCTGCCTCTGTCTTCACATCACCTTGTCATCTGTCTGTCAAATGTCCCCTGTGTGCTATAAGGACAGTTGTATTTAGGGCACACCTGGATGGATAATCTAGAATGATCTCTTTATCTCGTGATTCTTAATTATATCCGCATAGACCTTTTTTTTTTCCAACTAAAGTAACATTCCTTGTTTCCAGAAATTAGGATGTGGACATATCTTTTTGGGAACCCCACCCTTCAACCCACTACGCTGCTCTAAACATTCCTGTACCCATTGTTGTTTAAGGAGAAAATAAATCTTCATTTCATTAAGATAAGTGCCTTGGAATGCAATTGCTGGGTTGTGTGGTAATTGCATGTTTAGTGTTTTTGAGAAAATGCCAAACTATTTTCCAGAGTTGCTGTACCATTTTACATTCTATCAGTGATGTTTGAGTAATCCAGTTTCTCTGCATCCTGAGCAGCATTTGATGGTGTCGCTATTTTTAATTTTAGCCATTCTGATAGATGTGTAGGGATGTCTTATTGTGGTTATAATTTGTGTTTCCCCAGTGGTTTGTGGCTAATGATGCCTAATATTTTTTCAAGTGCTTATTTGCATCTGTATATCTTCTTTGGTGAAATATCTTCATGTCTGTTGCCTGTGTTCTAATTGGAGTATATGCTTTTTTACTGTTGTTTTAAGAGTTCTCTAACTAGACTATTTTCTTCCACTCTGTAGTTTGCCTTTTTATCCTCTTAGCGTGGTCTTCTACAGAGCAAAAGTTTTTAATTTTGATGAGATCATATTTAGCACTTTTTCCTTTCATGGATCATGTTTCTGGTGTTGAGTCTCAGAGCCCTTTCCATAGCCCTAGATCTGGAAGTTTTTCCCCAGTGTTTTTTCTAAAATTTGTTTATAGTTTTACATTTCACATTGAATTCTGTGAATTATTATGAGTTAATTTTTATATGAAATGTGAGGCTTAGGTTCAGGTTGTTCTTTAGTCTATAGATTGTCAATTTCTCCAGCAGCATTTGTCATAAGGCTGGTTTTTTCCTCCATTGAATTGCTTTTGCAACTTTGTCAAAAATCATTTGGGCATACTTATGTGGCTCTATTTCTGGGTTCCTATTTTGTTCCATTGATATGTTTCTATTATCCCATGAATACCATACTATCTTGATTGTTATCTCTAAGTCTTGAAACTAGTTAGACTGATTCTTCACACAATGTTCTTTTGCAAAATTGTTACAGCTATTCTAGTTGTCTTTCCATATGAATTTTAAAATAATCTTTTCTATATAGAAACATCTTTCTGAGATTTTTATAGTTAAACCTGCATATTCATTTGGGGAGAAATGACACCATTGCTAGGCTGAGTCTTCCCATCCATGGACACAATATGTTTTTCTATTTATTTGTAGTTTTCAACCTACAAGTCCTTTATATGTTTTCTTAGATTTACATCTAAGTATTTCACTTTTTAAAATTGTTATTACCAAAAAAAATATTTTAGATACAGGGTCTTACTCTGTTGCCTGGGCTGGAACGCAGTGGCTTGATCGTAGCTCGCTGCAGCCTTGAACTTCTGGGCTTCATTAAGCAATCTTCCTGCCTCAGCGTACTGAGTAGCTGGGACTACATGCACATGCCACCATACCCAGCTAATTTATTTTATTTTATTTTATTTGTAGAGACAGGGTCTGGCTTTGTTGCCCTGGTCTTGAACTCCTGGCTTCAAGTGATTTTCCTGCCTCAGCCTCCTGAAGTGCTGGAATTACAGGCATGAGCTGCCACACCTGGTGAAGTATTTCACTTTTTAAAGGATTGTTAATGGTATTGTGTTTTTAAAAAATTTGGTGTCATTACTAGTATATAGAAGTACAGTTGATTCTTGTATGTTTATCTTGTATCCTGCTGAACTCACTTTGACTAGTTTTGTGAGTTTTTTGTAGATTCTTTCAGATTTTCTACCTAGATAATCATGTCATCTGCAAATAAGGATAGTTTTACTTCTTCCTTTCCAATGTGTATGCCTTTTATTTCTTTCTCTTGACTTATGCCATTGGCTAGAACTTCCAGCACTGTTAAATAAGGGCAATGAAAGCAGATATCTTTGCCCTTGTTCCCCAATCTTAGAGGAAAAACATACAGTCTATGATCATTAAGTATAATATTAGCTGTAGGGTTTTTTTACAGATGTTCTTTATCAAGTTAAGGAAATTCCCCCTCTATTTCTGTTATTCTGAGCATTTTATCATAAATGGCTATTGGATTTGTCAGTCCTTTATTTGCATCAATTGATATGATCATGGGATTTAGCCTGTTAATATAGAGGTACGTATAAATTGATTTTTAAAATATTGAACAAGTGGGCCGGGCACAGTGGCTCGTGACTGTAATCCCAGCACTTTGGGAGGCCGAGGTGGGTGGATCACCTGAGGTCAGGAGTTCGAGTGAGCCAAGATCGTGCCACTGCTCTGCAGCTAAGCAAAAGGGCAAGACTTTTCTCAAAAAAAAAAAAAAAAAAAAATTGAACAAGTGTTGTTATAAACCCAACTTGGTCATGATGTATAATTCTTTTTCCATACTGCTGAATTGATTTTTTTTGCATCCATGTAAAAAGGGATATTGGTCTGTAGTTTTCTTTTTATCCTGCTTTCTTTAAATTTTTTTTTTCCCTGTTTTTGTCTGGTTTTAGCATCAGTGCAATCCTCGCTTCATAAAATGAACTGGGAAATGCTCCCTCCTCTTCTGCTTTCTGAAATAGATTATGTAGAATTGGTGTTAAGTGTTCCCTGAACGTTTGGTAGAATTCTTCAGTGAAATATTCTGGACCCGGAGATTTTTCTTTGGTAATTTTAAAATTATAAATTCTTTGCTGTTGTTGTTTTGTTTTTTTTTTTCTGATACAGGGTCTCACTCTTTTGCCCAGGCTGGAGTATAGTGGCCCAATCCCGCCTCACTGCAGCCTCAGCCTTTTGGGCTCAGGTGATCCTTCCACTTCTGCCTCCCAGGTAGCTGGGATTACGGGTGTGTACCACCATGCCCAGCTATCAATTTCTTTAATACTTGTAGGCTATTCAAATTATCTGTTTCATATTGGTGAGTTATGATCAACTATTTTTTGAGTAATTGGTCCATTTCATCTAAGTTGTCAAATTTATATGTGTAGAGGTATCTGTAGCTCTTTGTTTTTTTTTTTTATTTTTTTTAGGGTATGCAGTGGTGTTCTGTTTTATTATTGATGTTGATAATTGCTGGAGTTTTTTCACCTGTCTAGATATCTTCAGAAAAACCAGTTCATCATTTCACTCATTTTTTTCTGTTGTTTTCCTGTTTTCAATTGTATTGAGTTCTGCTCTTTTATTATTTCCTTCCTTCTGCTTGTTTTGGGTTTATTTTGCTCTTCTCTTTCTAGATTCTTAAGGTACAGCTTAGATTATTGATTTGAAACTTTTTCTCTTTTTCTGATGTATGTAGTTAGTACTGTAAGTTTATTGTATGCTGTGTACTACCACCAAAACCAAAAAATATATATAATTTGAAAAATGCCATTTATAACAATAAAAGACATTAAATATAAAGGAATATATCTATATAAGGTACAAAATTTTTAAAGAATACATGATAAACCTTACTGAAAATTGAAAAATCTGAATATATGGTCAGAGAAACTATGTTTATAAATTATAAAGATGATGGTTCCCCACAAATTAGTTCTAATCATTGCAATGAGATTCAAGTACTGTGCAGCCTAAAAGAATGATAAATGCCTATTATAGATACTATTTCGTACTCATCAGATTAACAAAAAATAAATTAGAATTGAAAATATTTGTAAGCACAAATGTGGGGAAAAAACTCAAAAACTACAGGTGATAGTATATACAGGTACAGTTACTGGGAAGAACAGTTTGATAATATCGAGAAAAGTTGAACATACTTTTATATGTCTTCATGAAACTCTCTTGTATATCCACACTAAAAGTTAAGATTAATGTTCATTGCTGCTTTGTTAATAATCATGAAAAATCCGGAAAGCCTAATTGTCCGTCCATCAGAGAAGGGATGAATCTATTTGGGAATTTTCATTCAGTGGAATACATATAACAATTAAGATAAATGAACTAGAACTACATGTATCATTAGGAATAAAACTCTAAAACATAATGTTGAGCATGAAAATATTATTGCAGAGTGTTTGCAGTATGCTAGCATTAATATAAACTTCTAAAATGTGGAAAGCATTCATGGGAATAATGAACGTTAAATTCAGGGTACAGTTTACATCCTGAGAGGGAGGAAGCTGGGGAAATGAGGTCCCTCATTTCCATAATGCTTAAACTAAGGATTTCCATAATGCTTAAACTGCAACTGTAATGTTCTTTTTTAAAAAATTAAGCAAACATAGAAATGTTAAATTTGACAAAGCTAGATGGCTATATAGGTGTTAGTGGCATTATTCTTTTTACTTCTTTGTATGCTTGAAATATGTGATAATTAAAAAAATAAAAATAAAAACAAAAATATTTTGCTAATGGACCCAGAAACCATACATACAGCTTCTTTTAACAATAAAAATCCCAAAAGAAAGAGGGGTAGTAAAATTTCTCAAAGATCACAACGAAGGAAAGAATAGGCAGTGTAAGTAAACTTAATCAGTTTGTTCCTGTGGGGCTAGCTAATAAGTGTTTGATTTATACCTCTATATTTCAGGTACTAGGTATATAGAAGCCCACAGGCTAAGCCTCACAGGACAACTATTTCTTCTCTTGTTGTTTATTTCTCTTTACCTGTGTTCTAATATTTCTCTCTTCTCTCTTCCCTAGATGTGATACTAGCCTAATGTTTTGCTCTTTCATCTGTCGATGAGAATCAGGACACATATCTTTATTTCAATTGATCCCTTTTCTAAGTCAAAGGGCACACACACGACAGACTTAAACCAAGTCTCTATGCCTATAAAAATCCTCAAAGAGGGTTTTTTCAAAAAGTGGGAGGTAACATTTTCAGGATCCTCCTGTAGAAGCCGGTTTTCTTTTCCCTTTTATCTCTAGCCTTCCTCACAGAGAAAACTCTCTTTGTTGAAGTTCACTACTAGAACAGGTATGTGTGTCAAGTGTTTGTTGTCTTTTGAAGGAGCTACTAATATGATAATATATAAGCCTTAAACACACTTCAAAATTATTTGTTAATTTCTGTGAGAAAGGATCTAACCCATTTAATGTAATGTATTACATAGATTCATCTGACTATGAAGATTCTGCCTGATTAATCTTAAAAATTGAAAGGCTTTGCTAATGTACGTCACTGTTTTCTAAGCCAGCACAATAAAGTAATAGGAGAAATTTTCAATTAGCAATCGTTATATTTAGTTAAGCCCTATATATTCTGTTATCACCAAAAGGTAAATTTATGTTATTTATGTTGGGTGGTAATAAGTACTATAGAGGCGAATAAATCAGGTAAAGGGGGTATAGGGTGCCAGGGGTTAGGGTGATTGCTCTTTTATAATGAGTGGTCAGGAAAAGTTTTTGACTCTGGGAAAAGAATGTTTCAGCTAGAGGGAGCAGTACTTATAAGGGCCTGAAAGTGACAGCATATTTGACACATTCCAGGAACAACACGGAGGTGAATGAAGGCTGGAATAGAGTGAGAGAGAAGATGAATAGCAGGAAATGAGCAGAAGGTTGGGGATGAGGGAGTTTGGATCAAGTAGGGCCTAGTATTGGCTTTGATTTTGAATGAGGCAGAAAGCCATTGAAGCATTTTGATCGAGGATGGACCTGACCTGACTTCTGTTTTAAAAAGATCCCTTTGGCTATAGAGAAGAGAAGATACCTACTCGCCATTCTACCTTTATAATCTGGGGAAATTTATAAAATAATAATAGTAATAGTTAATTTTTTATGCTAATATTCACTACACTATGTTTTTCAAGTATTCATTTCTTACCACAACACTATGAACTAGGACTATAATTATCTCTTATTTTACTAATGAGGAAAGTAAAACAAAGAGGTTAAGTAAATAGCCTAAGGCCTCATAGCTTGAATTCAAACCCAGGCAGTCGGACTTCATTGTTTCCACTTTTAATTAATGAAAATGCCATACTGTCTCTTCTACTTCAGGGTGGTATTGTGAAGAATGCATGGGTGTGGGTGTGAGTGTGTATACCTTTAAAATGTTAAAATCCACCAAGTATATGAAACCGATGAAGTAATGGAAAGAATAAAATTGTAATAGAAATAAATTCCATAAGTAGTTTTAGGGGTAGGGGATAGAACTCATGGTAGATTTTTGATTTAAGGGAAAAAAATTGCTTGTAAAAGATGTGTGAAGAGAATATTGCATTGAAGGAAGAACATTTCTAAAAATAGTTCATTAAAAGGCAAACTTAAAGAGTAAGAAAAGATTAAAATCTAAGTGGCATTATTTAGTCTGGGTAAGAATTGACTGAAGCTGGATAAAATTAAATTTGAATAAGATCAGCAAGTATCACAAAGAACTAGAAGTGTTTTCATCATCCTATAGAAAACTGATCCTCTGGTATACCACAATACTTTCTGAAAGTGTCTACATTAGCAATTATTTGCCTGTTTGCTGGATTGAACTGGGTTTTAAAGATCAGTTCCATTTGAAAGGAAAATGTTTCTAGTGGTGGTTTAAGACACTTTTTTTCTTGTTCGGTATTTAAACTGAGTCATACAATTTGAGACTACTGTGTCACATTTTCCACCTTTCATTCTCCTCAAGAGGCAGCAGTCAGGAGAAACAGGAGTGATGAACATTAGTGGCAGAGTATGTGGTTACAATAGTCAATAAACCACAGGATGCTTCAGATTCTTAAACAGCTAAAAGAAAAAAAAGCCACTACGTAGAGTCCACAGAAAGAGTGATTGTCTAAAGCTGGCACTCAGAGAGCAAGGACCCAGCCATAATTAAAGCTTCCCTATCCCATTGTATCTCCTTTTACATAGACATCCTGAGAGAACCCATAACCTTGACTGTGTCTGAATATTTTACAAACTAACAAAGCAGTTTTGTAAAGAAATAAACAAAAACAGTCTAGTACTTAATTGCAGTTGCAACAGTGTTAAACAGTCTTGCATGCAGATTAAAGAAAGCCTCCAGGCTTAGATTTTAAGACTTTAAACCAGTTCATTCTAATCTCTCCAGTCTCTTGTGATGACATAAAGTATCACATCCTCAAAAAGAACTGTTTAGGATTTGTATTTCAAAATTTATTAAAATTCTTCCTTTCCCCTGGACTGATTTTTAACGTTTGTCTGAATAGATTCCATATTTAATTACGTAACACAGACTGATAAACATTTTTGAGGTGCCAGCTCTTTAACTGACCCTTTAATTGAACAGATATAAGCTGTTACTCTGTGAATTCTAAATTAGCCAAAAAGAGAAAACTGGGAAAATCCTGACAATGCATCAGTTTTAACATATCCCCTTTCTTCATTTCTTCAGTTCCAGCTTTTATCTACTTAAATCTAATGAAGTTAGCTTAGATACAGACTTTCTAATAGAAGTAAGCTTTTAGAAATAAATTTAAAGAGCAGAAGACTTGTTTTGTTTCAGGAGTAAGGTACAGAACATAACACAGTAGACAAGGAACAGAAGAGTGAATGTGAGCTAAATAGTTTTACAAACCACAGTCTTCAGGGTTGAAGAGAAGGGAGATGTTGATAGGGCAAATTGAAAAGGACTTTTGATATGAAAACAAAGTAAAGCTGCTTCTTGAATATATTTAAAATTAACTCTTTAGATTACCTATATAAAGCCGATATTTACTGAGCACCTATTATGTACCCAGAGTTTCATATAATTTTCACATGTAATGAAATATCTTTCTTTTGATTTTTATATATTTTTTTAAAATATAAAAATCTTTGGCTCACAGGCCATACAAAAACAGGCAGTGGGCCAGATCTGATCTTAGTTTGTCAGTCCCTGCTCTACAGCAATGAGAATGGACAAACTATAACTACATACATCACTGTGAATTCATGTCATATAATTTTAAGTGAAAGAAGCTAGACACAAAAGAGTACATACTAGAGCATTCTATTTATACAAAGTTCAGAAGTAGGCAGAATTATCTGAGATGCTAGAAGCAAGACAGAGACTACCCTTGAGGGAGTTGGTAGTGACTAAAAAGGAGCAAAGGGGAGCTTCTGGGTAACTAATAAAACATTCTGCTGCTTGGTCTCAATGCTGGTTACACAAGTGTGTGCAGCTAGTGAGAATTCATAGCATACATTTTTTATTTGTGCACTTTTCAATATGTATGTTACTTGAATAAAGACTTCATTAAAATGGGAGGCTATTAGTTATATGGAGTAGGAAAGGAAAGAATAGGTATATGTACAACAGTACTTTTCTACCTGAAAAAAAAAAAAAAGACAGAAAAGGCACAGCAACTAATGGCAGATTTTTTTTAAAGGATCATTGAAACGTTTAAAAATAATTAGGTCAATAACAAAATTCCAAAACAAAAGAATGAAGATTAAATGAAATATTGTTATAAAATGGCTGAGCTTTTCAACTCCTTTAAACTCTCTGATTTGAAAGATCATTTCTGTTTCTTAAGGGAAATGATATAGGTAAGACTATATTGCTGAGGAAGTTCCCAAAAGGAAGAAATCAGAGGATCATTTGACATTTCACTAAACCTTTAGCCTTTTCAAGCATCTCTACATATGTACTGATTAGTTTTCTTCTGATGTCTTTGGATCCTGCCAGTGCTGTAGTTATAAGTTAGCCATAGTGAGTCTCAACTGTGCAGCCTTGAGAAAATATAGCCTTTTCGTATTATGCTATAGAACTGAAATTTAATTTTAATTTTTATACCCAAAGGACAAAAAAAATTATCTAAAAGGATATATACTTAAACTTGAAGTGATTTATGTTTCCATGGGTTGATTCCGCTGTTTCGGTGGCATCTATGGGAGATTTAAGAACTTATTTGGGATTTGCCATAGCTGCCAAGAAGTGAGTCCTGTGGCTATAGGACTCTATGAAATTTTACAATTAATTTTTAAACCAAGAAAGTATAGAGAGTAAAGTAAGCTATTATGTAATGAGAAGACAATAAGAGAATTTTTACTTTTCATCTGTTTGTCACTGAGCTTTGGAATAAGAAAAATATTGTTTTTTAAAGCTAGAATACCTTACTGGCTGAACTCTCTTTATAGCTCCTTGGAGTATTTGCATATTGTAACATTCACATATTTTCCATCGGTCTTATCATTCACCCTCATTGCAACATTACTGAGCATTTTTAAACCAAATTTATTTTGCTTAAAACTTCATTTATGGATATATATTTTGTCCTGTTGAATTGTCATCTTCATTCACAGACCAGCACATACAGACTATTCCATCCTGATTTCTAGAAATTTTAATATTTAAAAAATCCTGCTGCTTATAGCTGTGATACCTGATATTATTTATGGGTTTTCATAAAGGGGGGAGTCAAAAGGAAAAATACAGTACTGTCTGGCCTCTCTCTACCTTCTTCTTCTCTATCCCCCCTTTCCACAGAGCAGTTTAATTTTAAATGATAAATGTGGAAATTAGAGACCATCGAGAAAATCCAATTTGGTGAGGAGTTTTAAAAATCCCATAATAAACGCGGAGTGAAATGTATTATTTAATGCGGGGCGCCAATGGCTGCTATTATGGGCTATTAGCAAATCGGGGCTGAGAGTGAATCTTTATCACTTGGTGAGTGCGGGTTGGTCCTGCCTTTCCCTCTGCTATTGATTTGTAGCCGCTTGTCATAATGACACCGGGAAGCAATGAATGGAAGATGTGCTTTTGATAGGATTCAGGGGGGTCTTGGAAGGGGGAAGGAAAATTCAGCAAGTTTTCTATCTCTTCTGCCTGATTAGATTTTTTTTCTTCTTTTAAGAGCTTTCACATTCCAATAAAAATGCTAAATCAGCGCTACACCAGAATTGTTATGGCGTAAATAGCTAGTCACATTTAAAGGAGGAAAAGATATAGAAATATCAACCAGACTATGTAACGTTAGATGAATTTGACTTTATAGAAATGGAGTTGCACATTTATATGCTTGTGAACACATGAAGAGCAGTGTGAAGAAGTGTCAGGCATAATACTAAGTATACACACTACATCAAGATACACCTCTGTTTTTCTAAGTATGCGATCATTTGCCTTCAGTATGTGATAGAAGATGATTTAGCTTTGTATGAATGTGTCCATTTTAGGAAGATCAACTCAGTTTTTGTTCATGTGTTTATTTTCATAAAGAGCACATAAGAAGAGGTATATTTGTACTGACGATTAAGTAAATTTAATCTCCTGAATCTACTAGTCATAGCAGAAATTTACTCAACATTTTCAGATAGGAAAACCATACTGTTGGAGGACAGGGACACTCATGGGGTAATCCAATGGAAGGAAAAAAGATTTCTCCATGGAAAATCTACCCAAGATTTTCTTTACAGTAAGTTAGCTGTGGGCATATGGAAATAGTTTTTTGTAGCCCAAGTATGTTTTTTCTATCCCCTTTAAAAGGAAACAATGGTTTTCCTTCCAGGCTCTTTTATTCCAAGACAATGCTAGGCATAAAAGTTCCTGTCTTTACATGCAGAAGTGCATGCATGCAGGCAGTATGATGTTACAGCAACGGAAAGGGCTAATGCAAGCATGGAGGGAGGAGTGCATTCAGTGAACATTTGACACCATTTTGACAGTTGTATCAAGTGATAAAGTCTGCCTTCTCACTTGCTTTACTTCTCAGGTAGGTCTAGATGACAGCAAGAAGAGCATAAATATTCCCCCTACAGTAAGTAGAATACCACGGTTAGATACTTATTAACGGTTCGTGGTGATCATTTATCCCTTTATCCTTTCTAGTTGAAGACTAAAAAACATTAAAATACAATGTTGCATGTAAGCAGAAACCATATATGAAAAATAAATCCCATCTGGATCCTTAGAAACAAACTTAAACACCAGAAGGTCTTCTAGTCTATTGAAATATACCATGAAAAAATATATATGGAGGACTGGTTTATAGAATTTAATGTCAGGGAACCAAAAAGCAGCTTTGAAAAAAAAATCAAAACAATTAATCTAAGTGTATTTCTCACATTTATGAAGTAAAAAGGGCTGTGACATACTCTAGGTATTAATCTCCCTAGAAGAGTGTGTGATTTAAAGCCAACAGTAAATGAAATGGATGTTCATAGAGATGTGAACCAAGAACAGATAGACTATTTATCTGTAGTTGGAACTTTGTGCTATAGAAGGACTACTTCCCATTTGTCACGCATACCTGAAAGGACTTTATGAGAGCTTGCGTCTTTTCAGATGTTGAAAACAATGAATGCCCTTTAACAGAGAAGGTTTCCCAGGCAATGCAAACAGATACCAGAGTTCATACACTTCCATACCCCCCTTAACCTCCCATTAAAGGACTGTGCCTAAATTGTGATAAGTTAGAATGTTGCCATTTACTATGTATCATTTATTAAAAACTAATTAAAGGCAGAAAGAGGCATTTCTCCATTTTTTTCAGTGGCAGTTTTATTTTATCCTGTGTAATGGAAGTGATTATTATTTGGTCTATATATAGCTGTTTCATACTACAATGAATTACCTGTATTAAAGTAATAATACCATATGTTCACACAGCTTTTGTTCTAATGTAAAAGCACAATTAATCATTCCAAGAGCACAATGAGAGGTAGTCGTTTCCATATTTCATATATATTAAGTGATTTCCACTGTTATCCACTGAAAAGCAATAGAGTTCAAAATAGAAATGTGAAACATTTCTATTTTTCTCCCCTGTGGTTATATAAAATATATCTTATTCTATAAATTGAGATAAAGAAATTTAGAAAATAGTTTTTTCTATTTTTATTTACTAAGAAATCTATTGAAAACTATAATAAAGTTTATTGTTGGTTTATTACATCCAGTAGTTATTTCTTCTTCCATAGTGACACGATGAAAATTTTACTACTATTGAAAATGTTACTACTATTAAAATTTTACCTTTTGAGGGCGTCATAAATAAGATATATAAACTATCAACAATTTTTCTGATTAAGAGTAACTTGAATAAATACCTGAAATAAGATTAGCGTTTGTTTACAAAGCACTTTCAAATATATTAAGTGTTAGTATCATTGTTATGATTGCTTTTATTATACTTGAACAACAGAGATAAGTAGTAGAAGAAAAAATAGTATTTGTGCATATATATAGAATGAGGGAAGGGAGAAATTCAAGACAAGAATAAATTCTTGTTTTTTTAGAAATAGAAAACTGAAAAGAAAGCAAATAAAGAGAAAGAATGAGATAGAAAGGGAATTAGAAATTCCCAGACATAAAAATATTAACACATAAGAGGTTATAAAAAACAGTAGATTGAAGAAACTATCAAGATAAATGAAAATGAAGATGTTAAGCAGAATTTAACATAATGTTTTATACATCCATTATCTTCTTTAAGCTTTTGTGGGGTAGCAAAAAAACACATGATCTTTCCCAAAAGTGTACACAGCACAGTAAAATTTCTATAAGCTCTGTGCATTATCACACCAATCCTCCCATTATCAACACTCCTATGTGGTTTCTGGCAAGAGTTATTGCTCCTGCTTGATAGAGGAGCAGTGGAGAACACTGACTTTTTCAAGGTCAATGATGAGTCAGGGGTAGATATAGAACCTAGAGTTGTTTTTTTTTTTTTACTCTAAGTATGTGGCCTTGTTATACCCATTTCTCTGTTTTTGTCTTGGATTTGCTAAGTTCTATTTAGACACCATTCAAGGGATTTAGATAATACAAGTACCTGAAGAGACATGTTTCAAGAATATTTTATTTCTAAACATTGCCCCACTCTGGAAACATTAAGATATGTGCTACTTTTTCTTTGTACCTCTTATATTTTGGGTTGGTATTTTTTAACAGATTTGTTTAATCTTTCCTGTGTTGCACACAGTTAACCTTATTTAATGTGCACAATGCAGAATAACATTCCCCCACCTTAAAAACAAACTAAAAGAAGAAAATGTTAAGCAAATCTAGTGGGTTCGTCAATTCTAATCCTTTCTTCAGTGTTTTTACTCCTTATTTACCGGAAGACAATTTCAGGGATCTTATTTTTGCCCATGTTTCTGAGCCAAGTGTTTGACTGATATTCACTTTAATTATTAAACAAAGTGATAGAAATACATAAACATATATACATATATGGACATATCACACACTTGCATTCATTAACATGCTTTTTAGTCCTTTTTTAATATTTAGCTTTTCATAATCTTTCTCATGCTATGTCTGTAATTCATTATGTAAATAAGTTCTTTTAAAAGAGAAAAAAGTATGTCCAGGATAGAGTGGTAATTTATGGAGTTACCAGTCTCACAGTTCGAATTTCTTGGTGTGTATTAGACAATGAAAACACTGATTTCCTTCATTCCTTTAAATTTCTTTGTGCTTGTGTCAAAACTGTTTAGAGGAATATATTGATGTTATGTAACGCTATCTTTTGAAATATCTCATTTTTTCCCCTGGAATTTAAAGATATACTCACTTTATGGTCAAGTAATTTATTTTTCTTATGTTCTCCCTTTTGGATTTTATTAAGCATGAACAAAATCTTGACTGTCACCAGAAATAAAAATTTCAGCACAAATACACTTCTGAGAAATTAGGTAAGTTTCCAGAGGTTGAGAGAAGCAAATTATTGTCACTGCTATTTTTTTCTGATAGAACAAATTCCTGTTTTTCTAAGTACTAAAATTCTTAGTACATTCTAACGTTAGCAGTGTACTAACATTTTATGCAAACTGTTTTCTTTAAAAACTAGCCTTTGAACAAAAGGCACATTATTTTTTGAAGTGGATATACCTTATTTTATAAAAGTTTTTTAAAGAAAACCTATAACTCTTTAATATAGGGGTATAGTTTTACTTAGCTGGCATTAAAAGCCAGAAAATTGTTCTAAAGCATCATTTATCTTTTATCTTTCTTGGCTGCAATGCCAAAGAAAACCTAAGGTTCAGTGTAAGCAGAACACTTCATGAAAAAAGAAAAAAAAAAGGTTATTTCATGTGCATGCAACACAAGAGGGCACTCTTTAGCAGGTTGCAAGATAGGGACTTTCTTACTGGTATCAGAGCTTGGCTTAGTGATGGAGGTAAGGGTTTGAGGAGCTCAGAGGTTCGGGCAGGTACGGGGTGAAAAAATGGCATTTAACCTTTTATAGTATCTACTCTTCCCAAAAAAACTGGAACATCACAATCATGGCCAATAATACTATGTCTCTTAAAACATATTCTTAAAATTGTTCGTGAAACATGTATTTCTTAGACATTAATAATCTTAGTTACTTCTACATAAGTGTTTCTTCTTGCTATATGAATTGAATAACACTTATTACTTTAACTTGTTTTTAAAATTAAGTACTGTAACGTTGTTCACCCTATGTTTTGGTTTATATCAGTATTTTCTACAGCAGATAGAAAAAGTAACAAGTTCTGATACTTTGTTTCTGAAAAAAGAAGTCTATTTTAATTTTTTTTAATTTGAAAAAGCTGAAATTAAAACCAAAGTAACATTTTTTGTCCTCTAATAAACCTTTTTTTCTTTCTTTTGCTCCACTATAAATGAGACCTCCTTTTTCTTTTGGGTTTGCTTTAAAGAAGCTTCTTTGCATATACTAATCTCATCCTCATGCTTATTATTTTATCCTGGTTCACAAAAGGGATATGATCTCTAAATCATGCATTTTCTCTTGCAATCTTTTGTTTTTTCCTTCTTTCTTTTCTTTTTCTTACATTCATTTTCCCTTTCTTAGTCCACCATGCTATAAGGCTGCAAAAATGAGAGTACTCTAAGGCTTATTAACCAGTTTTTCTGACAAGAAAAATGCTAAATTTACATAAGCAATTAGCATGTACATGCCTGCCTATAGTAGAGATACAATCAACAGATCACCAATATTGAATGATAATATTTAGAAGGCAGCAAAGCATAGCAGTTAGAGATTAGGGTTTTGAGTTAGATCAGCTTGAGTTCCTACTCGCTATGCGACAGTGAGCAATTTTTTATTTGACATCTATAAGCCTTAATTTCCCTACCTGTATAAATGGGAATAATAATGATAATTATACTTTAACTCAGAGTTGAGGACTGAAGGAGATTTTATATGTGTGCGTGTATGTGTGTGTCTGTGTGTTTAT
Source organism: Homo sapiens (assembly GCF_000001405.40). Lineage (NCBI taxonomy): Eukaryota > Metazoa > Chordata > Mammalia > Primates > Hominidae > Homo > Homo sapiens. The sequence goes on along the minus strand of NC_000016.10, from coordinate 72,466,239 downwards.
ATATAAATATATATATAATTGCACACAGCAAATAGTACCAACAGGTATGCTATTAGTTGTTATTCAGATTTAGCTGAGATCTCTATTAATATTGCTCCTCTACGTATTTCATTTTTTTACAGTACTTTTTTGATATAAAGTTTAAAAATTATGTACTTGATTTTTGTTAGCTTTTGAGCAACAACAACAAAAAGATGTGCATCTGAAATAGCACAGCCTTGACTCTGAAAGACCTTTGACAATAAAATCCAAGGCCAGGACTAGGGTGAGGCTAGGAAGGTGCTTATATAGCAAAATTTAAGGAGGTACCCACTTTCTGGTGTCAACCTAGCACTTACATGACCCTGGGATTGAGAGCCTCCTTAAATTTTACACCATAGGCGTTTCTCTTACCTCATCCCAGTCTTGGCCCTGATATAAACCTTAATTTTCACTTTGGCTTTTTCCTTAAGTTCATGAAATAAATGCTTATGGAGAAAGATAATCTGCATATGGCTTAATCAGTCTGCAGGGGCTGGGCACAGAAAAGCTTAAAGAACCTTATCCAAGGCCTTCCAAACTATGGATTGACTTGAACACTCAAGGCATCTTTGTTGTTCAGATGGGTATATGGCTCATAATAATAAAATGCCTTAAATATCTTTAACACTAAAGATGATACAACCCTTTTTTTCAGGCATATTATGACCTAAAAATTCAACTTCAGTTGCCTTGTGGCAACTAAACTTATCTCTGGCACAGCATGTTTTAGGACATTCTAGTAAGGTCACCAATCATGTATATTGCACACAAGTCATTTCAGCTGCAAATAAAATAAAATTAGAATCACTAATGTTATATTCAGAAGCTGAAATTGCATGCAAGTGTAGACTGTAAATACCTACACTGCAATTTAGTAAAGTGACAATGCTAGTATTTGTTCTGGTCATCATTAAGAGTTACACATGTATAAAGGAAGAAAGATCGCCTTTTTGTGTGTTCATGCCAGAGTAAAATTTTATACCTACGCAGAGAACCAGCATCCCTGCTCTTAAGAGACATTGTGTCCACATTCCACTCAGTTCCAAAGCACTCCTTATGCTAGTAATGCAAACACTTGCTCTCTTCATTACTGTATAGTTTGGTTTGTTTGACCCCTTCAAATCTCATGTTGAAATTTGATTTCTAATGTTGGAGACGAGGCTTAAAGGGAGGTGTTTGGGTCATGGGGGCATATCCTTCATGAATAGAATAATCCTCTCCCTGGGGGTGAGGGGGTAAGTGAGTTCTCATTCTATTAGTTCTCATGAGAGCTGGTTGTTAAAAATAGCCTGGTGCAAACCCCAACTCCGCTTGCTTTCTCTGCTTCCTCTCTCGTCATGTGATCTCTGTGCATGCCAGCTCCTCTTTAACTTCTGACATGAGGGGAAGCAGCCTGAAGCCCTTACCAGAAGTAGATGCTGGTGCCAAGCCTCTTGTACAGCCTGCAGAACTGTGTGCCAAATAAACCTCTTTTCCTTGTAAATTACCCAGCCTTAGGTATTTCTTTATAGCAAATCTAAGCAGACTAAGACAGTAACTTTCATTTTGAAATTTAAACTCAGTTAAAGCTTATGTATTTGCCTAATTTGACTTTATTCTTATACTTTCTGGGGACCCCAATATATCAATACTTACAAACATAAAGGCACAAGCATTTTTTTTAAAGTATAAGCATAAAATAAGGTTTCTTGATTTGATAATAATACCCAAAGCTATCTACTTACAAGCCTTTCCTAGATCCTCTTGATTTTCAAATTCTTATCACTTAGTAAACTTTCAACTCCCTCTATGGCTATGATCCTTATTGGGTAATACGTAAACTGAGTTAGATTTTCATATAGCCCAAGAAAAACTAAGTCTTTTGACATGATAACTTTCTGGGAAATACTACTTTCTGTGAGTCAAAACTGAAACCAGTTCCTAAACAGAGTTACTGTTGGATGCCATATTGCTGATGATGATATTTTTTATGGTTTTATGATATGAAGCAATTTAAGGTAACTGAGCAGGAGATTTCTGTCATTTGTGTAAACCAGACTTATTTTATGTTCCTAAAATCTTTGTTCTCCCATAGTTCTATCAAATTAAAGCTGCCATACTCTCTTCCTACATAATTACTTTAAATATGCAGTGTTGCACTCTGCACACAAGTCTTTACAAGACTTTGACTGTTAAAGTTGTTACTGTTTCTGGTTTAATATAAGAAGTACTAAGAAAGCAGCCCAGTACAATAGTTAAGAGCTCAGCCCTAGGTTTGAACTCTGGCTTCTGAATAAGGTAAATTACTTCCCAAAGCTTTAGCCTCTTTATATGCACCATGAGAATAATGATAGTACCTATCCCATAAAATGATTGTGATGTTCAATTAAGATAATACATTAAAATGCTGATTATTATTTGACATTGGAAGGCTTGTGAGAATTTGATACAGTAAATATGTTCTTTTTTCCAAAAGGCCTTAAAATAATGTGTTCTTACATTTTTTAAAACAATTATAGAATACTCTCTCCCTTGGGAGATCTCATTTATACTCAGGTTTCAATTATATGCCTGTGATTCTTTTAATTTGCATTCCTTGTTCTTATTCTGTTCTACTTGACATCTCTAAACATAGCTCAAAATTAACATGTCCAAATATGAACTCATGATCTTCAAACCACCCCCTACTTTAAAAATAAAGAAAAAAATCTGTTCTTTTGTCCCCATTCCTTACTTTTTGTAAATGACTTCACTAATTGCAGAGACATTAGAATTATTTTTGGTAATTCCCTCCCCATGTCTACTTCATCACCTAATGTCCATTTTACCTTACAAATATCTTTTGAATTCAGCCACTTATGTCATTATCCACCGCACTGTCCCAGGGCAAATTACCATGATGTTTCACCTGGCCTACCACAAAAACTTCCTGTTTTTTCAACATCCGTTCTTACCTCTGACAATTATTTCTCCATATCACAACCAAGGTGATGTTTTAGAAATCTGGTCATTTGTCTCCTGTTGGTGAAACTTTTCAAAGGCTTCCTATTTCCCTAAAATGAAGACTGCCATCTTTAATATGGCATTCTAAGCTAAGCATGATCTGAACTTTGTCTGATGCTCCAACTTCATTACATCACATTCTTCCCCCTACTATTTCAGCTGCATACCTATTAACTTGGATCTTTGGACAAGCCTTTCCTTCTACCTACAAATACCATTTTCATCCCATTCCTCCCTTTCCTAGGTAATCCCTACTCATCCTTCAGATCTCAGCTTAAAATTGAGTTCCTCATGGAAATCTTCCCATACTCTCATTCCTTCCCCACCAAACTGAATCAGTCCCCTTCTGTGCATTCAGAGCTCCGTGTGTTTTTATAACACACAATTTTTGATAATATATAGTTTCTTGATTAATGTCTATAAACTATAGGATCTATATCTAGTTTTTCTCTCAGTTGAATAACCTATGCTCACAAAGCTGGCTGGAACATAATAAATATTGTCAAATAAGAAAGAGAAAGTCATCTGACTTCGTAAAATAATGGCAATGTTCTGGATCTTTAGATAGCCAAGAAACCTTAGAAATCATTAAATTATATATAATTGTTTTATAGATTAGAAAGCAACAGGCCGGGTGCGGTGGCTCACGCCTGTAATCCCAGCACTTTGGGAGGCTGAGGCGGGCGGATCATGAGGTCAGGAGATCTAGACCATCCTGGCTAACACGGTGAAACCCCGTCTCTACTAAAAATACAAAAAAATTAGCCGGGTGTGGTGGCAGGCGCCTGTAGTCCCAACTACTCGGGAGGCTGAGGCAGGAGAGTGGCTTGAACCCGGGAGGCGCAGCTTGCAGTGAGTGGAGTTCGCGCCACTGCACTCCAGCCTGGGCGACAGAGCAAGACTCCGTCTCAAAAACAAAAAACAAAAGAAAGCAACATTTTTGCTGTTGCTGTCATTTGTATTAACTTCGTTAAATTATGCTTGTCTTATTGTACATCATCTATCAGTAATTAGGATAGTCTTTGAAATTCTCTGTGTCAGATATTATTTCTTTATTTGTTTATATTTACAGATCTGATTTATTTTAAAATAAATGGTCACACAATCAAAAAATTTTATTACACCATCATCCACAAACAGTTATCACATGCTGGTGCTCACTTTACACATATGCCATTTTGGCTGATGCACTCACCCCATGGAACCTATTGTTTACCAACAGGGCCTAAGAATCCGTATCTTTTTTTGAGGATTAACTCTATAAAGCAGATCTTGTCCCTTCTTACCATGTGTACATGGGAATTATCAACCTTAAACCTGTATCTTTTTCTGAGACCCTATTGGGAATAAGATAGCTCCTTCTGTTTCAGTTTACAGAGAGAAACCTGACATTGGCAGTCATTCTTCAGAAACAATAGCTTTATCCTGATATCTGGTTTTTTCCTAAGGACAAATAAGCAGGTACAGGCTTACCTTAAAGGGCAAAATGGAGAAAACAAATAAAAACCAAAGAAGAAAAATCTATCGTCTTCAGTTATCTATGGATATTTGACTTATCCAGTTGTTAACAATTGGCTTTTAGGTTCCTAATACAGCTCCTAGAATTACAGTTTTAGTCTGTGCTTTTTATTTGCACTGAAGTGAATTTATCTGTGTCATATTGAGTTGAAAACTCTGAAGACACAAGAAATTGGTTCTCAAACCTACTAGTTTACTGTCTTCATTAACTTAACATCTTCTTTCATAATAGCACTTTAAATCTAAGCCAAGATTGAAAAAAAAAAAATAAAAGAACTGGTTTTCAATCCTGTTACTCATTTTGGGTTTATTTGTTGAGACTCCACACAGATGAATATTAGTTGCCCTTGTGGTTTGGAAGTGCAGAAATACATAAACTGAGTCTTAGTATATTCCTTCAGAATAGTGCAAAATAGCAACAACTTTCAGCTGTTGTTTTCTGCAGTAGATTTGTTACCTATAAGACTGTAGGTAAAGATGTTAACATCATGGTTTTTACTGTTTGAGTTACAAAATAATAACCCCCAATTTCAGAGTTGGGTTTTTTCTTTAAAGCTGTTAGATTTAAAACCTTGTTAAATTTTACATCTATTAAAGTGTCTTAATATACTTACTTTTCTCCACTGAAACTTAAGGAAGACTCCAAGTAACATTTATAATAATATACGATTGCTCTACTGAAAATATCCTAGTATTCTGACTCCCATTGAGAGGGGTTTTGGTGCTCAATGTTATGGGTCAAGAAAACATCCTAGTTTCCCTTTAATAACATATGATGAATTTAGCATACATTTATTTATTTTGATAGTTTTTAATCCTGATTATTTTTTTCTCTTGAAGCAATGATTTCTTTCTTTCTTTTTAAAGGCAGGATCTTGCTGTGTTGCCAAGGCTAGTCTTGCACTCCTGGATTCAAGCGATTCTCATGCCTTAGCCTCTCATTCAGCAGGAATACATGTGTGTGCCACTGTGCTCAGCTAGTATCTCATTAATTAGTTTTTTTTTAAGACAGTGTCTCACTATGTTGCCCAGGCTGGGAAATAGCAATTTCTGAAACTTTACTTTGTTATGTCAAGTAATGTTCTGTCTTGTTTTATTTCATCATATTTGTTCTGTGTTTACCACTTTCAAGCTTCAAAAGATGCCCCTGGCTGGGTGTGGTGGTTCATGTCTATAATTCCAGCACTTTGGGAGGCCAAGGTAGGAGGATCACTTGAGGTCAAGAGTTTGAGACTAGCCTAGGTAATGTAGTGAGACCCCGTCTGCCCCCTAGAATTGAAACAAACTAGCTGAGTGTGGTGGTGCATGTCTGTAGTCCTAGCTACTCGGGATTCTGAGGTGGGAAGATTACATGAGCCTAGGAATTTCAGGCTGCAGTGAGCTATGATTGTGCCACTGCCCTCCAGCCTGGGTGACAGAGCAAGACCCTGTCTCTAAAAACAGACAAACAAAACAAAACAAAAAACAAAAGGTGCTCCTAATTTTAGGATTTGGTAAATCAGTTTTCATTCTATAAAAAATCTCCTTTATTCTCAGCTTTCCAGACTGAGACATCTTAATTGTTTTGAGTTTGTCTCCCCATTCCCTGACCTCTTTGATTGTAGTGACCTTTATTTAATGTTTAAAATCTCTGATCTGAACATAGCACATCAAGCATGAGTGAATCATAGTTACTTTGTGAATTCATTCTCATATGGTATGTTTTTCCAATGGTGCCAGGATTTTGTTTTTTAGTTAAAACTTTTGCTGCTCTGACACAGTAAGTCAAACTCTGCAGGGAACACTTAGCAACTCCCTGAGAAAGTCACACATTAACATAATGGATTATTTTTTGACCTCTAAAAGTTGAATTTGCCTTTATTAGTTAATATTTCTCTCAGTTTTATTTCTGACATTCATTGTCTTTTGAGCATGTAGCTTTAATTCAGATAGAAGTTAGCTTCAAATTTTTACATTTTAACTTTCTCTAATCAATGAGTTGATCTGGTAGATAATGCATTTACAATAGCATTATAGGCCGGGCGCAGTGGCTCACGCCTGTAATCCCAGCACTTTGGGAGGCCAAGGTGGATGGATCATAAGATCAGGAGATTGAGACCATCGTGGCTAACACAGTGAAACCCGTCTCTACTAAAAATACAAAAAAAATTAGCCAGGCATGGTAGCGGGTGCCTGTAGTCCCAGCTACTCGGGAGGCTGAGGCAGGAGAATGGCGTGAACCCAGGAGGCAGAGCTTGCAGTGAGCCAAGATCACGCCACTGCACTCCAGCCTGAGTGACAGAGCGAGACTCCGTCTCAAAAAAAAAAAAAAAAAAAGCATTATAACCACATATGCACTTATTCATACCTAATATACACAATATATTTCCTCAGTACCTCCCATCTTTGGAAAAGTTTGGAAGAGAAAATTTCAGGGAACTGTGGCTTTTGTTATTTTATAGAGTGATTTGCCTTAATATGTGGATACCTTTACTTCTATTTGAAAGATAAAGTTATTGTCAACCATTAACCAAACATTGTTTCTAGTTATGTTCAATTACAATATGAACTAAGTGTTTGCTTTATTTTCAGTATAATTTATTTTTATTATACTGACACTGCCTGGTTTTGAGATGCAGTTAGCTGTTTTTCTGTATTGATGAGAATTGGAGGAATGAGGGAACTTACACACCAAGAATGGTTAAGTTATTCTTTCTTACAAAGAAGCCTCAGAGTTTTCCTCTACAAAGAAAGCATCTAGGGAGTGTGACATCAGCAAGATGGCAGAACAGGAGAATCTAGCTCTCATTCCCCTCAAGGAAACACCAGTTGGTGTAACCACCCACAGATGAGAATACCTTTGTGGGAGCCACAAAATATAGCTGAGAGTTTCCAGCACACTGGTGGAGCAAAAAATCTGAGAGTGGAAACATTGAAAAGAGTAAGAAGAGCAATTTCACTTCACTAATGTCACCCCTCCTTAAAGTACCACATCTTTGTGCCAAAAGAGGCCCACAATTTCTCTCAGGAGGGAAAGGGAGAGCAAAGTGAGAGCCTGAGTTACCCAGCCTTGTGGGATGCTGCCTGAGAGTCTCACGTCATCTTTCCCCTCCCAGAACACCAAGGGGATCTGCATGGCTGAATAATCCAGTGGTAGCTAGGAGTAGGGAGAAGAAGTGAACACTCACAGCAACTGGCATGCAGTTTTCAACAGCCAGCCACAGATATAGTTAACTGGTTCATGGACTCCATCAAGTGATCCACCCACAAATCCTGCAATACAATTTACCCATATACATTCCCAACAAGCTGTTGTGCACCCTTAGGACCCCATTCACCACCACCGCCATGGATGGTACCCCATGAGTCCCTGGTGCATGGCCTGTGCAAGCTCCCTCAGACAGTGCATGGATCTCAGTAGCCAATATGTATCTTAAAAGCCTGATCTACTGGTTTGTGAGAAAGCACACAACCTTAAACACTTCAGGGCGCAGCTCTAGGGAAAATAAATGAGAGGCTTTTGGCACCAGTCCCAGCTTTGTAGGATGAAGAGAAGGCAGACAGTATTAAGATTTCCCCATAAGAGGAAACAAGAGGAGTGGAGCAAATGCATTCATAGTAAAGGTCTGAGAAACCTTCAGCATCTCTAACCAGGCTCACTGGTGCAGGTCTTTCTCTCTTCATGGTGATCAATAAAGACAGGAAGAGTTGGCTGTTTCTTCAAACGTGAAGGCTTCAAGGAACATCAAGATTCAAGGAAGTATATTACCACTAAAGAATTACGGGCTTTTGAAATTATCTAGGGAGAAGAACAAAAACATAAAAGAATGAAAAGGATGAAGAAAGCATACGGGATGATGGGACACCATCAAGTGAACCAAAGTATGCATTATGAGAGTCCCAGAAGTAGCTCAGAAAGAGAAAGAGGAAGAAAGTTTATTTAAAGATATGATGAAAGATAACTTCCCAAATCTGGAAAGAGAAATGAGCATGCACTTCCATGAAGCCCAAAAAACTCCAAATAACTTGAGCATAATGAGGTCATCACTGAGACACATTAAAATCAAATTATCAAAAGTCAAAGATGAAGATAATTTTGAAAACAGAAGGGGTTTTTGTCACATGCAAAGGACTCATTATAAGACTATCAGCAGATTTCTCAGCAGAGACTTTACAGGCCAGGAAAGAGTGGAATGATATATTCAAAGTGATGAAAGAAAATAGCTGCTAACCAAGAATAGCATACCTGACAAAGCTGTCCTTCAGAAATAAGGGAGAGAGAAAGATTTTCACAGGCAAACGAAAGCTGAGGGAGTTTATCACCGCTAGACCTGCCTTATAAGAAATGCTAAGGGAAGTTGTTCAGGTTGAAATGAAAGGATGCTTATTAGCATCAGGAAAATATATGAAGCTATAAAACTCAGAAATAAAGGTAAATACGTAGTCAAATTAGAATAGTCTAATACTGTAATGGTGGTATGTAAATCACTTTTAGGATGAAGGTTAAAAATACAAATGTATAAAAATAGCCAGCTACAAAAATTTAATTGATACACAGTATAAAAAGATGTAAATTGTGATATCAATAGCAGAAAATGTTGGCAGGGTGAGTAAAAGTATAAAGTTTTTGTATGTGACCAAAATTAAGCTGCTATCATTTAAAATAGACTGTTATAACTATAAGATGCTTTATATAAGCTTCATGATACTCACAAAGCCAAACTCATAATAAATACATACAAGACAAAAAGGAATAAAAGCATACCACTTAAAAAAAAAAAAGCGAGAGGAAGAAAGAAACCAAAGAACTATAAAATAATCAGTTTTATTCAAATGGCAACAGTAAGTTCTGACCTATCAATAATTAATTTAAATGTAAATGGATTAAATTCCCCAATCAAAAAACAGAGTAACCCAATGAATTAAAAAAATGTGATTTGACTGTAGGCTACCTGCAAGAAACTCACTTTAGAATTAAGAAGACACATGGGCTGAAAGTCAAGGGATAGAAAAAGATATTCCATTCAGAAAGTAACCAAAAGAGAGCAGGAGTGGCTATCTGTCACAGAAATAAAGAATATTTCTATGTAATCATAAAGGGATCAATTCATCAAGAAAATACAAAGCAAATATTAACAGAATTGAAGGGAGAAATAGACAACAACATAATAGTAGGGGACTTTGATACTCTGCTTTCAACAATGGATAGATCATCCAGACAGAAAATCAATAAGGAAATGTCAGACTTGAACAAATGGACCTAACAAACATATACAAAACATTCCATCCAACAGCAGTAGAATACACATTCTTCTCAAGGGCACAAGGACCATTTTCCAAAATAGATTATGTGTAGGCCACAAACCAAGTCTTAACACATTTAAGAAGCTTGAAATGGTATCAAATATCTTCTGACCACAAAGGTATGAAACTAGAAACAGGAGGAAAATTCACAAATTAAATAACACACTCCTTTAGGTGGAGCAATATGGCAGAACAAAAGGCTCCACTGATCACCCTGAATTGCTGGGTGATTGAATTGCTGACGCCACCTCTCTACCTTCCTGACAGTGTTGGCATGGTGCCAAGGTGTTTCTTTGCTCTGGGAAGAGGAAGAGCAGCACAGCAGTTGTGAGGCACTGAACTCAGTGTTGCCCTGTTATAGCAAGGAAACAAAACAAAAAAAAACAACCAAATTCAGCTGATGCCCACCTACAGAGTGAGCATTTAAACCAGCCCTAGCCAGGAGGGATTGACTGATCCCAGCAGTCTGAACTTGAGTTCCTGCAAGTCTCACCATTGTGGGCCAAAGCACTCTGGGACTCTAAATAAAGTTGAAAGGCAGTCTAGGCCACAAGGACTGCAAACTTTTAGGCAAGTCCTAGTGCTGAACTGGGCCCAGAGCCAGCGGACTAGTGGGGTATGCAGCCTACTGAGACACCAGCCTGAGCAGCTAAGGGAGGACAGACATCATCCCTTCCCTAATCCCAGGCTACACAGCTTACAACTCCTAAAGAGACCCCTTCCCTCCACTTGAGGAAAGGAGAGCAAAGAGTGGGGAGGACTTTGTCTTGCATCTTGGATACTAGCTCAGCCACAACAGTATAGGGCACCAGTCAGAGTCATGAGGCCCTTTTTCCAGGCCCTAGCTCCTGAACAACATTTCTAGACACACCCTGGGTCAGAAGGGAACCTGCTACCTTGCAGTGAAGGACCCAGTCCTGGCAGGATTCCTTACCTGCTAATTGAAGAGCCCTTGGGCCCTAAATAACCAGCAGCAATAACAAGCTACTACATTGAGGGCCTTGGGTGAGACTCTGAGACCTGCTGACTTCATGTGAGACTCAGCACACTTCCAGCTGTGGTGGCTATGGGACAAGACTCCTCTGCTTGAGAAAAGCAGAAGGAAAAGTGAATGGGACTTTGTCTTGGACCTTAGGTACCAGCTCAGCCACAGGTAGGTAGAGCACCAAGCAGGCTCTTGGAGTCTCTGATTCCAGGACTTGGATCTTGAATGGTATTTCCGGACCTACCCAGGGCCAGAGAGGAGCCTACTGCACTTAAAGGTCAGTTTCAGACCAGGCAGCATTCACCCCAAGCTTGGTGAAGAGCCTTTGGGCCTTAGGGAACATCAGCAGTAGTCTGGCAGTATACCCCATGGGCCTGTGATGGCAGTGGCTATGGGATGAGGCCTTGGGAAAGAGAAAGGAAGAATGGGAAAGACTGTGTCTTGTGGTTTGAGTGCCAACTCAGCTATAGTACAGTAGCACACTAGGTAGACTTTGAAGGTTTTTTATTCTAGTTTTGGTTTCAGGATGGCAGCTGTGGACCTGCCTGGGTCCTGGGAAAACTCACTACTCTGAAGGGAAGGACACAGGCCTGGCTAGCTTTGCCATCTGCTGATTGCAGAGCCTCAGAGTCTTGAGTGAACATAGGGAGTAGCCAGGGGGTGGTTACAGAAGGCCGTGGGTGAGACCCAGTGCTGTGTTGGCTTCCAGTGTGACCCAGCATAGTCACAGGGTCATGGTGGCCACAGGGGTGCTAATGTCACTCCACCCCCAGCTCTAGGTGGCCCAAAACAGACACAGAGAGAGACTCTGTTTGTTTCAGAGAAAGTAAGAGAAGAGAACTAGAGTCTCTCCCTTGTAATCCGGAGAATTCTCCCTGATCTTGTTCAGGGCCATCAAGGCAGTATCTCTATGAGTGTCCAAGAACCACAGCATTACTGGTCTTGGAGTGCCCTCTAAAGCAGACTAAGCTTTGATAATAACATCCAAGTCCTTTCAAATATTGAGAAAGCCTTCCCAAGATGGATGGGTACAAATGTGTCCAGACTGAGAAGACAGCAGTAAATACCTAAGTGTTCAATGCCCAAATACAGACGAACATCTGCAAGTATCGAGACCATCTGGAAAATATGACCTCACCAAATGAACTAAATAAGGCACCATGGACTATTCTTGGAGAAACAGAGATTTATGACCTTTTAGACAAAGAATTCAGAATAGCTGTTTTGAGAAAACTCAAAGAAATTCAATATAACACAGAGAAGGAACTCAGAATTCTATCACACAGATTTAACTAAGAGATTGAAATAAAAAGAAGCAGAAATTCTGGACCTGGAAAATGCTATTGGCGTACTGAAGAATACATCAGAGTCCTTTGATTGCAGAATTGATCAAGCAGAAGAAAGAATGAGTGAGCTTGAAGACGGACTATATAAAAATATACTCAGAGAGCTGGGTGTGGTGGCTCACGCCTGTAATCCTAGCACTTTGGGAGGCCGAGGCAGGCGGATCACGAAGTCAGGAGATCGAGACCAACCTGGTTAATATGGTGAAACCCCATCTCTACTAAAAATACAAAAAGTTAGCCGGGCATCGTGGTGGGCACCTGTAGTCCCAGCTAGTCAGGAGGCTGAGGCAGGAGAATGGCATGAACCTGGGAGGTGGAGCTTGCAGTGAGCCGAGATTGCGCCATTGCACTCCAGCCTGGGCGACAGAGCAAGACTCCATCTCAAAAAGAAAAAAAAAAAAACACTCAGAGGAGATAAAAGAAAAAAGAATAAAAAACAATGAAGCATGCCTACAGGATCTTGAAAATAGCCTCCAAAGGCAAATGTAAGAGTTATTGGCCTTAAAGAGGAGGTAGAGAAAGAGGGGTAAAAGTTTTATTCAAAGGGATAATAGAACTTCCCAAACCTAGAGAAAGATATCAATATCCAAATACAAGAAGGTTGTAGAACATCAAGCAGATTTAACCCAAAGATTACTACCTCAAAGCATTTAGTAATGAAATTCCCAAAGGTCAGGGATAAAGGATCCTAAAAGGAACAAGAGAGAAGAAACAGATAACATACAATGGAGCTCCAGTACATCTGGCAGCACACTTTTCAGTGGAAATCTTAGAGGTTGGGGGTGATTGACATGACATATTTGCTGAAAGGAAAAAAAATTTACCTTAGAATAGTATATCTGGTGAAAATACCCTTCAAACATGAAAAAGAAATAAAGACTTTCCCAGACAAACAATAGCTGAGGGACTTCATAAACACCAGAACTGTCCTGCAAGAAATGCTAAAGGGAGTACTTCAATCAAAAAGAAAAGGATGTTAATGAGCAATAAGAAATCATCTAAAGGTACAAAACTCACTGGTAATAGTAAGTACAAAGAAAAACCCAGAATATCGTAAAACTGTAACTATGATGTATGAACCACTCTTAAGCAGAAAGACTAAATGATGAACCAATCAGAAATAATAACTACAACTTTTGAAGACACAGTTCAATAAGATACATTAATAAATAGAAGCAACACAAAGTTAAAAAGTGGGGGGACTAAGTTAAAGTGCAGAATGCTTATTTTCTTTTTGCTTGTTTCTTTGTTGTGTATGCAAACAGTGTTCAGTTGTGTTCAGCTTAAAATAATGGGTTGCAAAATAGTATTTGCAAGCTTCATGGTGACCTCAAACCAAAAAACATACAACAGATACACAAAAAAATAAAAAGTAAGAAACTAAATTATATCATGAAAGAAAATCATCTTCACTAAAAGGAAAACAGGAAGGAAAGAAAGAAACGAGAGGACCACAAAACGACCACAAAAATAACAAAATGGCAGGAGAAAGTTCTTACTTATCAATAATAGCATTGAATGTAAATAGACTAAACCCTCCAATCAAAAGACATAGAGTGGCTAAATGGATTTTTTTAAAAAAGACCTAGTGATCTGTTGCCCACAAGAAACACACTTCAACTATAAAGACACACATAGACTGAAAATAAAGGAATGAAAAAAGATATTCCATGCCATGGGAAACCAAAAAAGAGCAAGAGTAGCTATACTTATATATCAGGCAAAATAGATTTCAAGACAAAAACTGTAAGAAGAGACAAATAGGTCACTATATAATGATAAAGGGGTCAATACAGCAAGAGAATATAACAATTGTTAATATATGTGCACCAAACACTGGAGCACCCAGATATATATACTAAATACTATTAGAGCTAAAGCGAGATATAGGCCTCAGTGCAATCATAGTTAAAGACTTCAACACCCTGCATTCAGCATTGGACAGATCTTCCAGACAGAAAATCAACAAAGAAACATTGGACTTAATCTGCTCTATAGACCAAATGGACCTAATAGATATTTACAGAACGTCTCATCTAATGGCTGCAGAATATACATTTTTTTCCTCAACACATGGATCATTCTCAAGGATAAACCGTATGTTAACTCATAAAACAATATTCAAAAAATATTGAAATAATATCAAGCACCTTCTCTGACCACAGTGGAATAAAACCAGAGATCAACAACAAGAAGAATTTTGGAAACTATGCAAACAAATGAAAATTAAATAGTATGCTCCTGAATGACCAGTGGATCAGTGAGGAAATTAAGAAGGAAATTGAAAAATTTATTGAAACAAACAATAATGGAAATACAACATTTCGAAACCTATGGTATACAGCAAAAAACTGTACTAAGAGGGAAGTTTATAGCTCTTAGTGCTTACATCAAAAAAGACGAAAAACTTGAAATGAACAGCCTAATGATACATCTTAAAGAACTGGAAAAGCAAGAGCGAACCAAATCCAAAATTGATAGAAGAAAATAAATAATAAAGATCAGAGCAGAAATTGAAATGAAGAAAACAACACAAAAGATCAATGAAACAAAAAGTTGGTTTTTTGAGAAGTTAAACAAAATAGGCAAACCTTTAGCCAGATTAACTAAGAAAAAAAGAGAGAAGACCCAAATAAATAAAATCAGAGATGCAAAAGGAGACATTAAAACTGATACCACAGAAATTCAAAGGATCATTAGTGGCTACTATGAGCAACTATATACAAATAAATTGGAAAATTTAGAAGAAATGGATAATGAATCATTAGTGGCTACTATGAGCAACTACATACCAATAAATTTGAAATGTTAGAAGAAATGGATAAATTTCTTGACACATACAACCTGCCAAGATTGAACCTTGAAGAAATCCAAAACTTTAACAGACCAATAATGAGTAATGAGATTGAAGCCTTAATAAAAAGTCTCCCAGTAGAGAAAAGCCCAGGATCCTATGGCTTCACTGCTGAATTCTACCAAACATTTAAAGAAGAACTAATACCAATCCTGCTCAAACTATTTTGAAAAATAAAGGAGGAGGCAATACTTCCAAACTCATTCTACATGGCCAATATCATCCTAATACCAAAACTAAAGACACATTAAAAAAAAAAAACTACGGGCCAATATCTCTGATCAATATTGATACAAATATCCTCAACAAAATACTAGCAAACCAAATTCAACAATACAATAAAAAGATCATTCATCATGACCAAGCGAGATTTATCCCTGGGATGCAAGGATGGTTCAAAATGTGCAAATCAATCAATATGATAGGTCATATTAACATAATGAAGGGCAAAAACCATAGGATCATTTCAATTGATGCAAAAAAGCATGTGACAGAATTCAATATCCCTTCATGATAAAAACCCTCAAAAACTAAGTATAGAAAGAACATACCTCAAGAGAATGAAAGCCATATATGGCTGACCTCAAGCCAATATCATACTGAATGGGAACAAACTGAAAGCCCTTCCTCTAAGATTTGGATCACCACAAGGACACTCTTTTTCACTGTTATTGTTCAATATAGTACTGGAGGTCCTAGCTAGAGCAATCAGACAACAGAAAGAAATAAAGGGCATCCAAACAGGAAGATAAGTCAAATTATCCTTGTTTGCAGATATATGATCTTATATTTGGAAAAATCCAGAGACGCCATCAAAACTGTTAGAACTGATAAACAAATTTAGTAAAGTTGCAAGATGTAAAATCAACATACAAAAATCAGTATCATTCCTGTATGCTGACTGAACAATCTGAGAAAGAAATGCAAAAAGTAATCCCATTTACAACAGCCACAAATAAAGTGAAATACGTAGGAATCAACTTGATCAAAGATGTGAAAGATCTCTATAATCAGAATTAGGAAACACTGATAAAAGAGATTGAAGAAGACCTCAAAAAATGGAAAGATATTTCATGTTCATGAATTGGAAGAATCAATATTGTTAAAATGTCCATGCTACCCAATGCAATCTACAGATTCTATGCAATATGTAGACTGCATTCTGTGACATTCTTCACAGAAATAGAAAAAACAGTCCTAAAACTAATATGGAATTACAAAAGACCCGGAATACCCAAAGCTATCTTATGCAAAAAGAACAGAACTGGCCAAATTACTTTACCTGACTGTAAATTGTACTGTAGAGCTGTAGTAACAAAAACAACATGGTACAGGCATAAAAACAGACACACAGACTAATGGAACAGAGTATAGAACCCATAAACAAATCCACATACTTAGAGTTAACTCATTTTTGAGAAGGGTACCAAGAATGTACACTGTGGAAAAGACAGTCTCTTCAATAAATGGTGCTGGGAAGACTGGATGTCCATATGCAGAAGAATGAAACTGGACCCCTGTCTCTCTATATATATACAAAAATCAAGCAAATGGATTAAAGAATTAAATATAAGACCTCAAATACGAAACTACTACAAGAAAACATTGGGGAAAATCTCCAGGACATTAGTCTGGGCAAAAATTCCTTTCTTGAGTAATAGCCCACAAGCACAGACAACCAAAGCAAAAATTGACGAATGGAATCATATCAAGTTAAAAAGCTTCTATACAGCAATGGATATAGTCAACAAAGTGTAGAAAAACCCACAGACTGGGAGAAAATATTTGCAAACTACCCACCTGACAAGGAATTAATAGCCAGAGTATGTAAGGAGCTCAAACAACTCTATAAGAAAAATATCTAATAATCCAGTTTTTAAATGGTCAGAAGAAGACATACGAAGGTGCTCAGCATCATTGATCATCAGAGAAATACAAATCACAACTGCAAAGAGATTTCATCTCACCTCTGTTAAAATGGCTAATATCCAAAAGACAGGCAATAACAAATGCCGGCAAGGTTGTGGAGAAAAGAGTACCCTCATACATGTTGATGAAACTGTAAGTTAGTGCAACCAGTAGGGAGAATAATTTGGAGGTTCCTGAAAAAACTAAAAATAGAGCTACCATATGATCCAGCAATCCTGCTCCTAGGTATATACACAAAAGAAAGGAAATCAGTATATCAGAGAGATATCTGCACTCCTATGTTTGTTACTGCATTGTTCACAATAGCTAAAATTTGGAAGCAAGTTAAGTGTCCATCAACGGATGAATGGATAAAAAAATGTGGTACATATACACAATGGAGTACTATTCAGCCATAAAAGGAATGAGATCCTGTCATTTTCAACAACGTGGATGGAACTGGAGGTCATCATGCTAAGTGCAATAAGCCAGGCATAGAAAGACAAATATCACATGTTCTTACTTATTTGTGGGATC
This sequence comes from Homo sapiens, assembly GCF_000001405.40. NCBI lineage: Eukaryota > Metazoa > Chordata > Mammalia > Primates > Hominidae > Homo > Homo sapiens. Next base: position 72,448,805 of record NC_000016.10, on the reverse strand, counting down.
TGAAAGTCAAAACAATAGAACTAATGGAGATAGAGAGTAAAAGGATGGTTACTAGAGGCTGGGAAGGGTAGTTGGAGTATAAGTGGAAGGTGAGGATGGTTAATGGGTCAAAAGAAAAAAAGGAAAGAATGTGAACAAGACCTAGTATTTGACAGCACAATAGGGTGTCTATAGTCAAAAATAATGTTATTGTACATTTTAACATAACTAAAAGATAATTGGATTGTTTGTAACACAAATGTAAATGTTTGAGGGGATATCCAATTTTACATGATATGATTATTACACATTGCATGCCTGTGTCAAAACATCTCATGTACCCTGTAAATACATATGCGACTATGTATGCACAAAAATTAAAATCAAAAATCAAAAAAGTAAATATTCACAACTAAGAGTCACAAAGAAGAAATCAAAAGGGAAATCAAAAAGTATCTTGAGAGAAACAAAAATGGAAAATCAACATACCAAAACTTATGCAATGCAGCCACAGAAGTTCTAACAAAGAAGTTTATAGCAGTAAATGCCTACTTTAAGAAAAAAAGAGAGATCACAAATAAACAGCCTAACTTTATGTCTCAAGGAACTAGAAGAAGAAGAACGAAATAAGCCCAAAGTTAGCAGAAGGAAGAAAGGAATAAACATCTAGAAGAAATAAATGAAACAGGCTAGAAAAACCATAGAAAAAAATCAACAAAACAAAGAGTTGTTTTTTGAAAAGATAATGAAAATGATAATGAAAATCTTTAAGGAAAAATGAGAAAAGAATCAAATGAATAAAATTATAAATGAGAGAAGAGACATTACAGGTGATATCACAGGAATACGAAGGATCATAAGAATCTTCTGTGAAAAGTATATGCTAACAAATTGGATAACCTAGAAGAAATGGATAAATTTGTAGAAGCATACAAATTAACAAGGCTGAGCTTTGACAAAATAGGAAATTTGAATAGACCAATAGCAAGTAATGGGATTGACTAAGGAATCCAAAACCTTTCAACAAAGAGTATCTCGGGACAAGATGGTTTCACTGGTGAATTCTACCAAGTATTTAAAGAAGAAGTAACGCCAGTCCTGCTCAAACTCCTCCAAAAATGTGAAAAGGAGGGAACACTTCCAAACTCATGCTACAAGGCCGGCATTACCCTGATACCAAAGCCAGACAAGGACACTGCAAGAAAAGAAAATTACTAGCCAATATTTGTAACGAACATAGATGTGAAAATACTAAAAACAAAACTAGTAAACTAAATTTTACAGCACATTTAAAAGATTATATACCATTGTCAAGTGGGATTCATCCTTGGGATCCAGTCATGGTTCAACCTACACAAATCAGTAAAAGTAATATACCACATTAACAGAATGAAATATAAAAATCATATGATCATCTCAATAGATGCAGAGAAAGCATTTGATAACATTCAACATGATTTCCTGATTTAAAAAAAAAAAAACACCTCTCAATAGACTACGTATAGAATGAATGTACCACAACATAATAAAAGCCATGTATGACAAGCCCCAGCTAGCATCCTACTCAGTGATGAAAAACTGAAAGGCTTCCTGCAAGATCAGGAACAAGACAAGGATGCCCACTCTTGCCACTTTTTTCAACACAGTGCCTAGAGGTCCTAGCTAAAGCAGTTAGGGGGGAAAATCCATCCAAATCAGAAAGAGAAGAGCAAAATTGTCTCTGTGTGTAGATAACTTTACCTTATTTCAAAAAAAAAAAAAAAAAAAAAACCCTAAAGAATCCACCAAAGAGTTGTTAGAACTAATAAAAGTAATAAAGTTGCTGGAATTAATAGAGTTGTATTTATATCACTAACAACAAGTTTTCTGGAAAAGAAATTAAGGAAACAATTCCATTTACAATAACATCAAAAAAGAATAAAATACTTAGGTATAAATGTAACCAAGGAGGTGAAAGATGTGTTCACCTGTATTTATTATACTACATTGTATTGTACAATGTAGTACAATAAAATACTGATTAAAGAAATTGAGGTAGATGAAAGAAATGAAAAGATATCTCAAAGAAAATGAAAGATATATCATGTTTGTGGATTGGAAGAATTTATGTTGTTAAAATGTAAAATTCAGTGTGATCCCTATCAGAATTTCAATGACATTTTTCACAGAAATAAAAACCCAATCTGAAAATTCACTTGGAAGCACAAAAGGCCCCAAATAGTCAAAGCAATCTTGAGCAAGAACAAAGCTGGAGATATCACCCTTCCTAATTTCAAATTATGTTACAAAGCTATAGTAATCAAAACAGCATTTAGTACTGGCATAAAAACAGACCCATAGACCAGAGGAACAGAATCAAGAGCCCAAAAATAAACCCACATATATGCAGTAAACTAACTTTTCACAAGAGTGCTGAGAATACACCACAGGAAAAAAAATTAGTCTCTTCAATAAATGGTGTTGGGAAAATGGGATATCCACATGAAAAAGAATGAAATTAGACCTTTATATTACACTATACACAAAAATCAACTCAAAATGGATTTAAGACATAAACATAAGACCTGAAATTATAAAACTCCTAGAATAAAACATAAGACAAAAGCTCCTTGACATTGGTATTGGCAATTATCTTTTGAATATGACACCAAAAGCACAGGCAACAAAGCAAAAATAAGTAGGACTGCATCAAACTAAAAAGCATCTGCACAGCAAAAGAAACAATCAACAAAATGAAAAGGCCACCTACGGATTGGGAGAAAAGATTTGCAAACCATGTATCTGATAAAGGGTAGCTGGGTGCAGTGGCTCACCTGTAATTCCAGCACTTTTGGAGGCCAAGGCAAGCAGATCACTTGAGTCCAGGAGTTTGAGACCAGCCTGGGCAATGTGGTGAAACCTTGTCTCTATAACAAAAACAAAAATTATCCCGGCATGGTGGTGCATGCCTGTAATCTCAGCTACTCGGGAGGCTGTGGTAGGATCACCTGAGCCTGGGAAGGTAGAGGCTGCAGTAAGGCAAGATCACACTACTGCACTCCAGCCTGGGCAACAGAGTGAAACCCTTTCTCAAAAAAGGGGGGGCTAATATCTAAAATGTAAAAGGAAATTACACAATTGATAGCAAAAATGAAATAGCCTGATTTTAAAATAGGCAAAGGACCTGCATAAACATTTCTCCAAAGATAACATACAAATAACTTTTCAGGTATATGAAAAAATGCTCAACACCACTAATTATAAGGGAAATGCAAATCAAAACTGTAATGAGCTATCACCTAACACCTGTTAAGATGGCTATTATAATAGATAAAGAAAATGTGGCACATATATACCATGGAATACTGTACAGCCATAAAAAAGGATGAGTTCATGTCCTTTGCAGGGACATGGATGAAGCTGGAAACCATCATTCTCAGCAAACTAACACAAGAACAGAAAACCAAACACTGCAGGTTCTCACTCGTAAGTTGGAGTTGAACACATGGACACAGGGAAGGGGATATACACTGGGGCCTGTTGGGTGCTGGGGGGCTAGGGGAGGGATAGCATTAGGAGAAATACCTAATGTAGATGATGGGTTGATGCGTGCAGCAAACCACCATGGCACGTGTATACCTATGTAACAAACCTGCACATTCTGCACATGTATCCCAGAACTTGAAGTATAATTTTAAAAAAAAGATGGCTATTACAAAAAAGACAACAGATGACAAGTATTGGCAAGGATATGGGGAAAAGGGAATCCTTGTATACTGTTAGTGAGAATGTATATTGGTACAGCTATTATGGAAAATATGGAATTTTCTGAAAAAATTAAAAAATAGAACTGCCATATGACCCAGCCATCTCACTTCTGAGTATATCTAAAGGAAATGAAACCAGTGTCCAAGAGATATTTGCACTTCCGTCTTCATTGCAGCATGATTCACAATAGTCAAGATGTGGAAACAATTTAAATGTCCAACAGATGCATAGATAAATTATGACATATAAATACAATGTAGTATTTTTCAGCCTTAACAAAAAAAAAAAAAAAAGAAGAAGAAGAAGAAAATCCTGTCAGTAACAACATGGGTTGACCTGGAGTGCATTATGCTAAGTAATGCAGGCACAGAAAGACAAATACTGTGTAATCTCACTTAAATGTAGAATCTTTAGAAGTAGAAGTTACAGAAACAGAGAGTAGAATGGTGGTTGCCACAGGCCGTCGAGAGGGCAAAAGAGGGAGGTTATGGTTAATGGGTACAAAGTTTCACTTATACAAAATAAGTTAAGTTCTGGTGATCTACCATATAACATGATGCCCGTAGGCAAATTTGCTAGGAGAGTAGATCTTATGTTAAGTGTTCTTACCATACACACACCAAAAACAATAACAATAATAATGGTAAAGCAGGCGTGAGAAAACTTGAGGAAGTGATGGATATGCTTATGACCTTGATAATGGTAGTGGTTTCTTGGGTGTATACTTCTCCTCAAACTCATTGAGATATATACATTAAATATGTGCAGCTTTTTATATGCCAACCATGCCTCAATAAAGTTAAAAAGAAGCATCTAATGTAATCAAATAGATTTTCTGGTTGGATATAGTTTCATAGAAATTCAAGTATTACCAAAAAAATAATGGTAGGGTTATGGGCAGGGGCATCAGTGGTTTGATTTCTACTACTCAGTGCTTTAGCATCTGTACAAGGTACAAAGGATTTGATTCATAATTTTATTTGACTCACAATGTGTCTCTGTCGAGTTTGCAAGTGGAACTTCAAGCTCAACTATATGGAAACCAGATGACTGTTTAAATTTGAAGACAGAGAATAGAAAAGGATGGAATTCCAAAGTACTGTATCCAGAACACATAGAAGCTATGACTCACAAAGTCAAGGAGAGATGACTTCTTTTGGCATTTAAGATTAGCAACACCTTTAGGTCTTGACCAGTCATTCTCATAAAGAATGAAAATTCATCCTCCCAAGTAGTTAATGCATAAAAGAAAGCCTTTCCTCAAGAAAGAGCCAACATTTTCTTAATAGCATCCTATTATCTCAAACTCTAGAACGACTATGGAGAGGCAGATTATATTTTGTTTCTCTCAGAGAAGATATAAAGTTTTATCCACTTAAAGCTTTTTTTCTCCTAAAATCATCATCTAAACTGAATTGAAATATAATTTTATGAGAGAAAGAATTCACAATTTCTAACCGATGAATGGTTGTGAATAGCAAAAGCTCAGAATTTTCATTTTAAAAAGGGATTGGGGGAAAGAAGGTGATACTATGGGAAGAATATTGATCAAGGAGATAGGAGACCCAAGTTTTAAACCTAATTCTGGTATTAACCAGCTATGTGAACTTGGATCAGTAACTTTACACCTTTAAGTCCTAGTTGCTTTCACTCTAACTTGATAGAATTAGATTAGGCGATCTGGTCTCTAATGCATATGATTCTGAAAAGAAGGGGGATATCTTTCTTTGAAATTATATGGACTTTATTATCTAATAAGAAAAAAGTCAGAAGAAAATAAAATGAGTTATATGGATATCTAAATCTAACATCTATTAACTTGGAAGTGAGCATCCATAAAGCCCTTGCAGTTCTCTGTGCTTTGCAGCTCTTTCCTCTACATTAGATGGAGGTGGACGAATCAAAGAGAAGTGTACTTTTTGTTCACTGAAAGCTTTTGGCATATACATCAGCTAGAGTTGGTGTGACATTGCTGGCTACTGTGTCCTTTTCTTCTGGTCTGGAAATTCATAGCTAACTTAGGGAATTTATAAAGCATTTGCGTTCTCCGTTCTTTATCAATCACTGACAGACTCATTGTTTTATAATGTACTTCTCAGCAAGCTGTTTGTGACTCATCGCCTGCTTGCTTTATAGTCTATAAATATTTAATTCTTTAATAAACTGCTTATATGTAATATAAAATGACTGATGCTATTCTCTCTCTGCTCTTTTAATAGTGCTACTATTTGCAAAACAATTCTCTTTTTTTCTAAATAGCAATATGTTTCACAAATGTTTGACTTCCCTTTTTCTAAGTAGCAATTTATTCTGGGAGGTTGGTAGAATGACAGGCAGGAAAACAGCCCCTTACTTCTGGGAGTACAATATAACTCTTCCCTCATCCTCACCCCTACTAAGCTGCAAATTGATGAGGTAAAGAAGATGGACTTTGAAATTGTGACAGAGAGCAATCGCCTGTCTCTCTATAGACTCAGTGTGCAAAACAGCCTTTAAATCTCTAGACTAAATGTTTACAATGGACAAATATGGTTCCCTCTTTGCTCGACATCCTTTGTCTAGGGGAATCATAAAAAATAGTCAGGGATAATATACCAACACCTTAGTGTGCCCATCTTTATAACTGTGTACTTGATTTTTTAATGTTGGCTGATGTGCTTTCTGTGCCATGAAATAATTTTTCAATATTTAATGTCTCATTTTTTAAGTTGGATAAGTCAGATGCTTATTGAGTGCTTGTTGTGTGCCCTGCACAGCTGTTAGTGTGTTTTCAAGCAAGCTACTATTATTTGTCTATGGTATTTCAATATAATTTATAAAACCCTACAAATTGTGAACTCCCTTGTGCTAAGGCAGGGAGGAAAAATTGGAGAAACCAGAACAAATAACATTTCTTCAGTGCTACCATTAATCAGGTACATTTGATCTTGGAAAATTCGTGGGGAGAGTGGGGATAGAACATTTGTTTCCAAGTTTGAAAATCTTGATTTATATGCTACTTCCGTGATGTATTAGCTATTACTTTAAGCTTTTCACCTACGCTTTTTTACCTGTAATATGGGCATAAAAATTATGCAGTTTATATGAACACCTGACATATACAGGTTTACTTTGTTTTATTACCCTCCTCTGCACTTCACAGATATTGTGTTGGTTTTTTTTTTTTTTTAACAAATTGATGGTTTGTGGCAACCCTGGGTGAGCAAGTCTGTGGTGCTCACTTTGTGTCACATTTTGTTAATTCTCTCAATATTTTAAACTTTTCAGTCTATTACGGTGTTCTGTGGTCAGTGATCTTTGATGTTACTATTGTAATTGTTTTGGGATGCTATGAACTATGCTCATATAAGATGGCTAACTTAAATTATCAATGTTGTGTGTATTCTGACTGCTTGAGCAAGTGGGCATTCCCCCATCTCTGTTGCTCTCTTCAGGCCTCCCTGTTCCCTAAGACCATATGGATGTTAGACACAACAATATCGAAGTTAGACCAATTTATAACCCAACAATAGCCTCTAAAAAGTGTTCAAGTGAAAAAAAGAGTCACATATCTCTCGCTGTAAATAAAAAACTAGAAATGATTAAGCTTAGTGAGGAAGGCATGTAAAAAGTGAAGATAGGTCAAAAGCTAGACCTCTTGCACTAAACACTTAGTCAAGTGGGAGTGCAAAGGAAAAATTCTTGAAGGAAATTAAAAATGCTACTCCAGTGAAGTAGTGAAAGTGAAACAGCCTCATTGCTGATAATGGAGACAGTTTTGGTGGTCTGAATAGATCAAATTAGCCACAACA